>NC_000023.11:57923467-58239523 GCF_000001405.40 Homo sapiens | reverse complement strand
GCAAGAACTCTCCATCATTGGAATGCCTTGAGATGGCATGGAGTATCTCTCATTGGAATGTCTGTGGTTGACCAGGTTTCTCTTCTTTGAATGCCTGGGGTCAGTCAAAATCTGCCTCGTTAGAATGCCTGTAGTTGGCAAGGTGTCTTCAACCTTAAAATGCCTTACGTTTTTGTGGTGTCTCTATCATTATTATGCCTGCGGTCAGCCAGGAGTCTCTCCTGTCAGAATGCCTGGGATCAGACAGGTGTCTTTATCTTTAAAATGCCTGTGGTCGTACAGGTTTCACTATCATTAGAATGCATGATTTGCCTTGTATTATCTCCCGTTAGAATTCCTGAGTTCGTCCAGGAGTCTCTCTTGTTAGAATGTCTGGGGTAGGCCAGGTGTCTCTATAAGAATGCCTGGGTTGCCTAGGTGTCTGTGTCATTAGAATGCCTGCGGGAGGCCGGAAGGCTGTATCACTGAAATGCCTGGATTTGGCCAGGAGTCTCTATCTTTAGAAAACCTAGGTCAGCCAGGAATCTCTCCCGTTTGAATGCCTGTGGTTGGCCAGGATTCTCTCCCATTAGAAAGACTGAAGTTGGCCAGGTGTCTCTATCCTTAGAATGTCTTAGGCCACACTGGTGTCCTTATCATTAGAATGCCTGGGGCAATCAAAAGTCTCTATCCTTGGAAGGAGTGGGATCAGCAAGAAGTCTTTCCCATTAAAATCCCTGTGGTCGGCCATGTGTTCCTATCCTTAGAATGGCTGAGGTTGTGCAGGTGTCTTTATCATTAGAATACCTAGGGTCAGCCAGGAGTCTCTATCATTATAATGCCTGAGGTCAGCCAAGAGTGTCTCCCAATAGAATGCTTAAGGTTGGCCAGGTTTCTCTATGCATAGATTTCCTTGGTTCAGCCATGTGCTTCTATCCTAAAAATTCCCAAGTTCCCACAGGTGCCTCTGTCATTAGAATGACTAAGCTAGGCCAGCAGTCTGTATCATTAGAATGCCTGGGGTTGTCCCAGAGTCTCTCCCATTAGAACGCATGGGGTTGGCCAGGTGTCTCTATTCTTAGAATGGTGAGGTCGCCTAGGTGTCTCTACCATTAGAACGCTTGGGGTCAGTCAGGAGTCTCTCTCCTTAGAACACGTGGTGTTGACCAGGAGTCTCTTCTGTTAGAATGCCTGGGCTCAGCCAGGTGTCTTTATCTTTAGAATGCCTTAAATCACACAAGTGTCTTTATCATTAGAATGCCTAGGGTATGGCAGGAGTCTCTACCGTTAGAATGCCTGAGGTCCCACAGGTTTCTCTATCATTAGAGAGCCTGGGGTAGGCCAGCAGTCTCTATCATTAGAATGCCTGGGGTTGGCCAGCCATCTCTCCCATTAGAATGCCTGGGGTAGGCCTGCTGTCTCTACTCTTAGATTGCCTGAGGTTGCCCAGGTGTCTTTATCATCAGAATGCCTGAGTTCGAGTTTGGTTAGGAATCTTTTTCTCTTTTCCATTAACATGTCTGGGGTCAGCCAGTGTTTCTATCCTTAGAATGCCTGATGTCCCACAGGAGTCCCTATCATTAGGAAGCCTGAGGTCGGCCAGGAGTCTCTCCCATTAGAATGCCTGAGATCAGCCAGGTGTCTCTATCCTTAGAATGGTGAGGCTGCCCAGGTGCGTCTTTCACTAGAAAGCCTTGTGTCAGCCAGGAGTCTCTATCATCAGAATGCCTGCGGTCCGCAAGTAGTCTCTCCTATTAGAATGCCTGTGATCGGCCAGGTGTCTCTATCCTTAGAATGGTGAGGCCGCCCAGGTGTCTCTCTCACTAGAAAGCCTTGGGTTGGCCAGGAGTCTCTATCATTCGAATGCCTGCAGTCCACAAGTAGTCTCTCCCATTAGAACGCCTGCGGTTGGCCACGTGTCTGTATTCTTAGAATGTCTGAGGTCACAGAGGTTTCTCTAACGTTAGAATTAATGGGGTAGGCCAGGATTCTCTAGATTAGAATGCCTGAGGTCAGCCAAGAGTTTCTCCCATTACAATTCCTGTGCTCGGCCAGGTGTGTTTATCCGTAAAATGCCTGAGGTGGCACAGATTTCTCTGTCATTGGAATGTCTGAGTTAGGTCTGGATTCTCTATCATTAATAAGCCTGGTGTCTGCCAAGAGTCTCTCCCATTAGAATGCCTTGGGTTGGCCTGTTGTCTCTTTCCTTAGAATGTCTGAAGTCGCCCAGGTGAATCAGTAACTAGAATGCTTGGGGTCGGCAGTAGTCTCTCACATTAGAATGCCTGGGGTCGACTAGGTGTCTCTTCCATAAGAACGCCTGGGGTCAGCCAGGAGTCTCTCCTGTTAGAATTCCTGTGGTTGGTCAGGTGTGTCTATCATTAGAATACCTGGGTTCCCCCAGGTGTCTCTAACATTAGAATGCCTGGGGTCGACAAGGAGTGTCTATCATTAGAATGCCTGAGATCACCTAGTTGTCTCTATCATTAGAATGCCTAGGGTTGGCCAAAGGTATCTATCTCTAAAATGCCTGGGTTTGGTCAGAAGTCTCTATGGTTAGAATGCCTGGGTTTGTCAGGTGTCTCTATCCTTGGAATGAGACTGAGGTCACACAGGTTTCTTTATCATTAGAAGGCATGGGATTGGCCAGGAATTTCTATCATTTGAATGCCTTGGGTCGGCCAGCTGTCTCTACCATTAGAAAGCTTGGGTTCAGACATGTGTCTATATCCTTAGAAGGCCTAAGGTTCTGAAGGTGTCTCTATCATTAGAAGGCCTGAGATAGGCTAGGAGACTTTATCACTACAATGCCTGTGCTCAGCATGGAATCTCTCCCATTATAATACCTGGGTTCAGCCAGGAGTCTCTTTCGATAGAATGCCTGGGGTTGGCCAAATGTCTCTATCTTCAGAATGCCTGAGTTTGCTCTGGTGTCTGTATCATTAGAATGCCTGAGGTTGTCCAGGATCTCTATCCTTAAAAAGCCTGGGTTCCTGCAGGAATCTCTCCCATTAGAATGCTTCTGTTTGACCAGGAGTCTTTCCTGTTAAAATGCCTGGAGTTGGCCAGGTGTCTCTATCCTTAGAGTACCTGAGGTCACCCAGGTGTCTCTATCATTAGAATGCCTAGGGTCAGCCACCAGTCTCTATCATTAGAATGCCTGGGATTGGTCAGGAGTCTCTTCCATTAGCATGTCTGAGTTTGTCCAGGTGTCTCTATACTTAAAATGAATGAGGTCACACAGGTGTCTGTTATTGGAATGCCTGGGATAGGCTAGGAGTCTCTATCATCAGAATGCCTGAGGTCAGCCTGCACTCTCTTCTGTTAGAATGCGTGATATGGCCCAGGTGCCTCTACCATTAAAATGTGAGGCGTTGGCCAGGAATTCCGCTCATTAGAATGCCTGTGGTCAGCCAGGTGTCTCTATCTTTAAAATGCCTGAGGTCGTATAGTTGTCTCTATAATTAGAATGCCTGGGGTCGTCCAAAAGTCTTTATCATTAGAATGCCTGGGTTCGGACAGGAACCTCTATCATTAGAACGCCTGAGGTCGGACAGGAGTTTCTCTCGTTAAAATGCCTGTGGTCGTCTAGGTGTCTCTGTTCTTAGGATGACTGAGATCAAACAAGTGTCTCTATTATTAAAATGCCTGGGGTCAACCAGTAGTTTCCCCTGTTAGAATGACTGGGGTCAGCCAGGTGTCATATCCTTAGAATGCCTGAGGACACCCAGGTGTCTCTGTCATTAGAATGCCTGAGGATGGCCAGGAGGCTCTATCGTTAGAATGCTTTGGGTCAGCCAGGAATCTCTCCCGTTTAAATGCCTGTGGCAGCCAGGTGTCTCTGTTTTTACAATGGTTGAGATCTCTCAGGTGTTTCTGTCATTAGAATGCCTGGGGTTTGCCAGGAGCCTCTATCATTAGAATGCCTGGAGTCACCCAGGACTTTTTACTGTTATAATGCTTGGGGTCGGCCAAGTGTCTCTATTCTATGAATGTTGAGGTCCCCCAGGTGTCTCTATCATTGGATTGCCTAAGACCAGCAGGAGTCTCTCTTATTAGAATGCCTGGGGTCGACCAGGATTCTCTCCCATTACATTGCTTGGGGTTGGCCAGTTGTCTCTAACCTTAGAGCACCTGAGGTGGCCCAAGTGTCTCTATCATTAGAATTCCTGGGGCTTGCCAAGAGTCTCTCCCCTTAATATGCCTGGGGTCAGCCAAACGTCTCTACCCTCAGAATACCTAAGATTGCTCAGGTGTCTCTATCATTAGACTGCTGGGGGTTGTCCAGGAATCTCTATCATTAAAATGACTGGGGTCATCCGGGCACTGTGGCTCACACCTGTAATCCCAGCACTTTGGGAGGCCTAGGTGGGTGGATCACCTGAGGTAAGGAGTTCAAGACCAGCCTGACCAACATTGAGAAACCCTGTCTCTACTAAAAACACAAAATTAGCCAGACACAGAGGCACATGCGTGTAATTCCAGCTACTCAGGAGGCTGAGGCAGGAGAATCGCTTGAACCTGGGAGGTGGAAGTTGTGGTGAGCCGAGATCATGCCATTACACTCCAGCCTGGGCAACAAGAGCAAAAAGCCACCTCAAAAAAAAAAATGACTGGGGTCCGCCAGAGGCTCTCTCATTAGAATGCCTGTGGTCAGTCAGGACACTCTTCTGTTACTCTGCCTTGGGTCGCCCAGGTATCTTTATTTCTAGAATGCCTAAAGTCACACAGGTGTCTCTATCATAGAATGTCTGGGGTAGGCCAGAAGACTATATCATTAGAATGCCTGGGGGCAGCCAGGAGTCTCTCCCATTGGACTGCCTGGTGTCGGCCAGATGTCTCTATCCTTAGAATTCCTAATGTTGCCCAGGTGTCTCTATCATTAGAATGCCTGGTGTCAGCCAAAAGTCTCTATCCTCAAAATGCCTGAGTTCACTCAGGTGTCTATATTATGAGAATGCCTGGGGTCGTCCAGGAGTCTCTATCATTAGAATGCCGGGTTTCCTGCAGGAATCTTTCTCTTTAGAATCCCTGGGTTCGACCAGGAATATCTCCCACTAGAATGCTTGGATTTGGCCTGGTGTCTCTATTTTTAGAACGCCTGAGGTCGCACAGGTTTCTCTATCATTTGAATGCATGGGGTAGGCCAGCCAAGAGTCTTTATCATTTGAATGCCTCAGGTCGGCCAGGAGTCTCTCCCGGTAGAATGATTGGGGTCTTCCAGGTGTCTCTAGCTTTAGAATGACTGAGGTCACACAGCTGTCTCTATCATTAGAATGCCTGATGTCACCTAGGTGTCTCTATCATTAGAATGCCTGTGGTTGGCTATGAGTCTCTCCCGTTAGAGTCCAGGGATCAGCCAGGAGTCTCTCTTGTTAGAAGGCCTTGGGTGGGGCAGTTGTCACTTTCTTTGGAATGCCTGAGGTCTCCCAGGTGTCCGTCATTAGTGTGCTTGTGATAGACCAGGAGTCTCTATTATTAGAAAGCCTGGGGTTGGCCAGGAGTCTCCTTCATTAGAATGCCTAGGGCTGGCCAAATGCCTCTATCCTTTGAATGGTAGGGTCACCCAAGTGTCTCTATCATTAGAATGCCTAGGGTCGACCAGGAAACTCTCATGTTAGAATGCCCGGGTTCACCCGGGTGTCTCTACCCTTAGAATGCCTTATGTCATTCAGGGGTCTTTATCATTAGAATGCCTGAAGTTGGCCAGGAGTCTCTATCTTTGGAATGCCTGAGGTCACCCAGGTGTTTCTGTCATTAGAATGTCTAAGGTCATCCAGGAATCTCAATCACTGGAATGTCTGCTGTCATCCAAGGGTCTTTCCCATTTTAATGCCTGGTGGTTCAGCCAGGTGTCTCTATCTTTAGAATGCCTGATGTCGAACAGGTGTTTCTATCATTAGAATACCTGGTGTATGCCAGGAGTCTTTATTATTGGAATGCCTGGGGTTGGCCAGGAGTCTTCATCTTTAGAATGCGTGAGGTTCCCCAGGTGTCTCTATCATAATCCTGCCTAAGGTTGGCAGGGTGTCTATTTTTAGAATGCCTGATGGTGAACAGTTTTCTTTATCATTAGAATGCCTGGAAAATGCCAGGAATCTCTCCCTTTAGAACACCTAGGATAGGCCAGGTGTCTCTATCCTTAGAATGCCTGAGGCCCCCCAGGTGTCTCTATTATAACAATGCCTGTGGTCAGCCAAGAATCTTTCTCATTAGAATGTCTGGGATCAACCAAAATTCTTTCCCTTTAGAATGCCTGTGTTGGCCAGGTGTCTTTATGCTTAGCATGCCTTAGGTCGCCCAGGTGACTCTATCATTAGAATGTGTGGGGTAGGCCAGGGGTCTCTATCATTAGAATGCCTGGGCTCGTCCATGAGTCTTTTCCGTTAGAATGTCTGCGGTCGGCCTGGTGTCGCTACTGTTAGAATGCTTGTGGTCGCCCAGGTGTCTCAACCATTAGATTCCTGGGGTTGGGCAGCAGTCTCTTCTGTTAGAATACCTGGAGTAGGCCAGTTGTCCTTCTTGTTTTAATTCCTGGGGTCACTCAGGTGTCTCTATCCTTAGAATGCTACAGCTCTCACAGGTGTCTTTTTCATTAGGGCTGCTGGGGTAGGCCAGGAGTCTCTATCACTCTTATGCCTGTGGTACATTAGAAGTCTCTCCCGTTACAATGCCTGGAGTCAGTGACCGAGCGTGGTGGCTCATGCTTGTAATCCCAGCACTTTGGGAGGCTGAGGTGGTCGGGTCACTTGAGGTCAGGAGTTTGAGACCAGCCTGACCAACATGGAGATACCCCATCTCTACTAAAAGTACAAAATTAGCTGGGCGAGGTGGCACATGCCTGTAATCCCAGCTACTCAGGAGGCTGAGGCAGGAGAATCACTTGAACCCAGGAGGCGGAGGTTGCGGTGAGCTGAGATGGCAACTTTGCACTCTAGCCTGGGCCACAAGACTGAAACTCCATCTCAAAAAAAAAAAAAAAAAAATGCCTGGGGTCAACCAGGTGTTTCTGTCCTTAGAGTGCTTGAGGTCCCCCAGGTGCCTTTATCTTTGAAATGCTTGAAGTCTGCCAAAAGTCTCTCTTGTTAGATAGCCTGGGTTGGCCAGGTGTCTCTATCCTTGAAATGCTTGAGGTTGCCCAGGTGTCTCTGTCATTAGAATGGTGGGTTTGAGCAGAAGGCTTTATCATTAGAATGCTTGTGTTTGGCCAGTAGTCTCTCATGTTAGAATGACTGGGGTCAGCCAGGAGTCTCTCCCATTCAAATGCCAGGGGTTGGCCAGGTGTGCCTATCTATAGAATGCCTGAAGTCGCCCAGGTGTCTCTATTATTAGAATGTTCTTGGTTGGCTGGGAGTCTCTCCTATTAGAATGCCTGGGGCCAGCAAGGTGTCTTTGTCCTTAGAATGCCAGAGGTGGCAAAGGTGTCTTTATCATTAGAATGCCTGAGTTAAACAGAAGTCTCTAACATTAGAATGCTTGGGGTCAACCTGGGGTCACTCTTGTAAGAATGCCTGGCTTCGACCAGATGTCTCTATCCTTAGAATGCCTGAAGTTGACCAGGTGTCTCTATCCTTAGAATGGGGAGGTCACCCAGGTGTTTCTATCATTAGAATGCCTGTAGTTGGCCAGGAGTCTCTGTGTTTAGAAAGCCTGGGGTCGTCCAGGAGTCTCTATCATTAGAATGCCTGTGGTCAGCCAGGAGGGTCTCCCATTAGAATGCCTGTTGTCAGCCAGGAGTTTCTCCCATTAGAATGCCTGGGGTCAGAAAGGTGTCTCTATCCTTAGAATGCCTGAGGTCACACAGGCATTTCTATCATTAGAATGCCTGGGGTATACAAGAAGTCTTTATCATTAGAATGTCTCTGGTTGGCCAGGATTCTCTCCCATTAGAATGCCTTTGGTGGGCCAGCTGTGTCTATCCTTAGAATGCCCAAGTTTGCACAGGTATCTTTATCATTTGAATGCCTGGAGTAGGCCAGCAGTCTCTATCATTAGAATGCCTAGGGGCGGCCATAAGTCCCTCCCTTTAGAATGCCTGGGGTCAGAAAGCTGTCTCTATCCTTAGAATGCCTGATGTCACTTAGGTGTCTCTATCTGTAGAATGGTGAGGTTGCCCAGATTTCTCTATCTTCAGAATGCCTGGTGTCAGCCAGAAGTCTCTGTCTCTAGACTGCCTGAGGTCTTCCAGGAGTCTCTATCATTAGAATGCCTGTGGTCGGCCAGGAGTTTCTACCATTAAAATTCCTGGGGTCGGCCAGGTGTCTCTATCCATAGAATGCCTGAGGTCACACAGGTGTTTCTCTCATTACGATGACTCCGGTAGGCAAGAATTCTCTATCATTAGAATACCTCTGGTTGGCTAGGAGTCTGTCCCATTATAATGCCTTGGGCAATCCAGGTGTTTCTATCCTTAGAATGTCAAAGTTTCACAGGTGTCCCTATCATTTGAATGTCTGGAGTATGTGAGCAGTCTCTATCATTAGAATGCTTGGGACAGCAAGGAGTTGCTCACTTTAAAATGCCTCAAGTCGGCCAGGGGTCTCTATCCTTAGAATGCCTGATGTCACTTAGGTGTCTCTATCATTAGAATGCCAGGTGTCAGCCAAAAGCATCTATTATTAGAATGCCTGGGTTAGGCCTGAAGTCTCTCCCATCAGAATGTCTGGGGTCAGCCAGGTGCATCTATCCTTAGAATTGTGAGGTTGCGGGGTTGCTCAAAAGTCTCTATCATTAGAAAGCCTGGGGTTGGACTGGAGTCTCTCTCATTAGAATGCCTGAGGTTGGCCAGGTGTCTTTATCTTTAGAATGCCTGAGGTCACACAGGTTTCTTTATCATTAGAATAAATGCAGTAAGCCAGGAGTTTCTATCTTTCAAATGCCTGGGGTTAGCTGGGAGTCTCTCCCATTAGAATGCCTAGGGTGAGCCAGGTGTCTTTATCCTTAGAATGAATGAGATCTCACAGGAGTCTCTATCATTAGAATGCATGGGATAGGCCTGGAGTCTGTATCATCAGAAAGCCTCATGTCCAGAAGAAGTCTTTCACGTTAGAATGCCTTGTGTCTACCAGGTGTCTTTATTCGTAGAATGCCTGAGGTCCCCCAGGTGTCTCCCTCATTAGAATGCCTGAGTTCTGCTAGAAGACTTTATCATTAGAATGCCTGTCGTTGACTAGTAGTTTCTCCCATTAGGATGACTTGGGTTGGCCGGGAGTCTCTCTCGTTAGAATGTCTGGAATTGGCCAAGTGTGTCTATCTGTAGAATGCCTGAGGTCACCCCGGTGTCTCAATCGTTAGAATTCCTGTTTTTGGCCAGGAGTCTCTATCATTAGAATGCCTTGGGTTGACCAGGAGTGTCTCCCATTGAAATGCCAGGGCTCAACCAGGTTTCTTTGTTCTTAGAATGCTTGAGGTTCTCCATGTGTCTCTATCATTAGAATGTTTGTGGTCGGCCAGGAGTCTTTATTATTAGAATGCCTGGGGTTAGCCAGAATTCTCTCCCATTGCAATGCTTGGGGTCGGCCATATGTTTCTATCATTAAAATGTCTGAGGTCGGTCGGCCAGCAGTCTATTATTAGAATGCCTGGAGTCAGCCAAGAATCTCTGCCATTAGAATGCCTGGGGTCGGCCAGGTGTCCCTATTCTTAGAATGCCTGTGGTCACCCAGGTGGTTTTATCATTAGGATGCCTGTGGCGGCCAGGGAACTGTTGTTAGAATGCCTCATGTCAGCCAGTAGTTTTTTCCATTAGAATGTCTTGGGTCAGTCAAGTGTCTCCATCCTTAGAATGTCTGAGGTCCCCCAGGTGTCTCTTTTATTAGAATGCCTGGGTTAGTCCATGAATCTTATCATTACAATGCCTGGGTTCAGCCTTAGGTCTCTCCCATTAGAATGCCTGGGGTTGGCTAGGAGTCTTTCCCATTAGGTGAATAGGTGTCTCTAAGAATGCCTGAGGTTGCCCTGATGTCTCTCTCATTAGATTGACTCAAGTCAGCCAGGAATCTCCCCAGCAGAATGCCTAAGGTCGGCCAGGTGTCTCTGTCCTTAGAGTGCCAAAAGTTGCACAGGTGTCTCTATTCTTAGAATGCTTGGGGTCAGCCAGGATTCTGTCTCATTGGAATGCCTGGGGTCAGCTAAAAGTCTCTCCTGTTAGAATTACCGAGGTCAGCTAGGTGTCTCTATCCTTAGAGTGACTGAGGTTTTACACGTGTCTCTCTCATTAGAATGCCTGGAAAAAACCAGGAGTCTCTTTCATTAGAATGTGTGGGGATGGCCAGGAGTCTCTCCTGTTAGAATGCCTGGGGTCCTCCATGTGTCTCAATCCATAGAATGCCTGTGATCACCTGGGTGTCTCTATTATTAAAGCGCCTCGTGTAGGCAAGAAGTCTCCATCATTAGAATGCCTGGGGTCAACCAGGAGTCTCTCCAGTTAGAATGCCTGAGGTCATCCAAGTGTCACTATCTTTAGAATGCCTGAGATTGCCAGGGTGTCTTTATTATTAGAATGCCTGGAGTTGAAATGGCGTCTCTCTCATTATAATTCATGGGGAAGGCCAGGTGACTCTATTTTTAAAATGCTTGATGTCACACAGGTGTCTCTATCATTAGAATGCCTAGAATAGGCCAGGAGTCTCTCTCATTAGAATGCCTGGGGTCAGCCAGGAGTCACTCCCATTATTATGGCTGGGCTCAGCCAGGTGTCTATCCTTAGAATGCCTGAGGCCTCCCAGGAGTCTGTATCATTAGAATGCCTGGGTTCGGCCAAAAGTCACTGTGGTTAGAATTCCTGGGTTGACCAGGTGTCTCTATCCATAAAATACCTGAGGTCGCCCAGGTGTCTCTGTCATTAGAAAGCCTGGGTTCGTCCAGAAGACTTTATCATTAGAATGCCTAGGGTTGGCCAGTAGTCTCTCCCATTAGAATAACTGGGGTTGGACAGGTGTCTCTAACCGTAGAAAGACTGAGGTCACACAGGTGTCTGTATCATTAGAATGCCTTTGGTCAGCCAGGAGTATCTTCCGTTGAAATGCCTGGACTCGCCCTGGTGTCTTTATTCTTAGAATACATGAGGTCAGCCATGTTCTGTATCATTAAAATGCCTTTGGATGGCCAGAGGTGTCTATACTTAAAATGCCTGGGGTCTGCCAGGAACCTCTCCCATTAGAATGCCTGGAGTCGGCCAGGAGTCTCTCCAGTTAGAATGCCTGGGGTTGGCCAGGTGTCCCTGTCCTTAGAATGCCTGATGTCGCCCAGCTGTCTCTATCGTTAGGATGCCTTTGGCGGCCAGGGGTCTCTATCATTAAAATGCTTTGGGTTGGCCAGTACTCTCTCCCGTTAGAATGCCTTAGGTCAGCCAGGCGTCTTTATCCTTAAATGACTGATGTTTTCCACGTGTCTCTATCCTTAGAATGCCTGGATTTGGCCGACAGTTTCTTTTGTTAGAATGTCTGGGGTCAGCCCGGATTCTCTCCCATTAGAATGCCTGGGGTAGTCCAGGTTTTCTGTACTTAAAAATGCCTGAGGTCACACAGGCGTCTTTATAATTATTATTCCTGAAGTAGGCCAGGAGTCTCTATCATTACAATGCCTCTGGTCGGCCAGGAATCTCTCTCATTAGAATTCCTGGCATAGGCCAGATGTCAGTATTTTTAGAATGCCTGATGCTGCCCAGGAATCTCTCTCATTACAACGAGCGGGGATGGCCAGGAATGTTTTCATTAGAATGCTTAAGGTCAGCGATGTATCTCTATTCTTAGAATGCAGGAGGTCACACAGGTGTCTCTATCATTAGAATGCCTATGGTCGCCCACGTGTCTCTATTATTATGATGCCTGGCTTCATTCAAGAGTTTCTATCATTAGAGAGCTTGGGGTCAAACTGGAGTCTTTTCCATTAGAATGCCTGAGGTCGTCCAGGTGTCTCTATCCTTAAAATGACTGAGGTTGCACAGGTTACTGTATCATTAGAATGAACGCAGTAGGCCAGGAGTCTCCATCATTAGAATGTCTGGGGTCAACCAGGATTCTTTATCCTTAGAATACCTGAGATTACACAGGTGTCTCTTTCATTAGAATGCCTGGGGGAGGCCTGGAGTTTCTATCATTAGAAAGCCTGGTGTCCAGCAGAAGTCTCTCACATTAGATTGCCTTGGGTCGGCCAGATGTCTCTATCCTTAGAATGCCTGAGGTCGCCCAGGTGTCTTTATCATTAGAATGCATGTGTTCGGCCAGGAGTCTCTCCCATTAAAATGTGTGGGTCTGCCAGGAGTCTCCCATTAGGATGACTTGGAATTGCAAGGTGTCTCTTTACTTAGAATGCCTGAGATCTCAGAGGTGTCTCTAACTTTAGAATTCCTGGGATAGGCCTGGAGTATCTCCCACTAGAATGCCTGGAGTCAGCCAGGAGTCTCTTCCATTAGAATGGTTGGGGTCGGCCAGGTATCTCTATCCTTAAAATGCCTGAGGTCGCAGAGGTGTCTCTAACATTAGAAAGCCTGGTGTATGCCAGGAGTTTCTATCATTAGAATTTCTAGAATCGGCCAGGAGTATCTCCCATTAGAATTCCTGGGGTAAGTCAACTGGCTCTATTTTTAGAATGCCTGTGGTCGCCCAGGTGTCTTTATCATTAGAATGCCAGGGGTCAGCCAGGAGTCTCTATCATGAGAATGCCTCTGGTTGACCAGGAATCTCTACCGTTAGAATGCCATGGGTCAGCCAGGTATTTCTAAACTTAGAATGCATGAGGTTGCACAAGTGTCTTTATACTTAGAAAGACAGGGATTGGTCAGGAGTCCACCAGGAATCTCTTCTCTTACAGAATCAAGGTTTGGCCAGGAGTCTTTCCGTTAGAATGCCTCAGTTGGCCAGATGTCCCTATCCTTGGAATGCCTGAGGTCACATATTTGTCTTCATCGTTACAATGCTTAGGTTTGGCCAGGAGTCTCTCTGGTTAGAATGACTGGGTTCGGCCAGGAGTTGCTCCCGTTCGAATGCCTGGAATCAGCCAGGTGTCTTTATCCTTAGAATGCCTGAGGTATCACAGGTGTCTCTATCCTTGGAACTTTTGAGGTAGGCCAGGAGTCTTTGTCATTATAATGCCTAGGCTTTGCCAGAACTTTCTCCTGTTAGAAAGCTGAGGGTCTGCAAATTTTTTTTCCATTGGAATGCCTTGGTTCGGCCATGCGTCTCTATCTTTAGAAGGTCACCAAGTTGTATCTACTTTTAGAATGCCAAGGGTCTGCCAGGATTCTCTCCCTTTAGAATGCCTGGGGTCAACCAGTTGTCTCTATCCTTAGAATGCCTGAGGTCCCCCAGGTGTCTCTATCATTAGAATTCCTGAATCAGCCAGAAATCTCTATGATTAGAATGCCTAGGGTCGGCTAGTAGTCTGTCCTGTTAGAATGCCTATTGTTGGGCAGGAGTCTCTCCCTTTAGAATACCTGGGGTCAGCCAAGTGTTTCTATTTTTAGAATGCCTCAGGTCACACAGATGTGTCCATCATTACTATACCTGGGGTAAGCCAGGTGTCTACATTAGAATGTCTGGGGTCGTCCAGGAGTCTCTCCTGTTTAAATTTCTGGTTTAGGCCAGGTGTCTCCATCCTTAGAATGCTGGGGGCTCACCAGGTGTCACTACTTTCAAAATGCCTGAGGTTTCAGATGTTTCTCTAACATTAGAATGCCTGGGGTAGGCCAGGAGTCTCTCTTATTAGAATGCCTAGGGTCAACCAGGAGTCTCATTAGAATGCCTTGTGTCGGCCACTTGTCTCTATCCTTAGAATGCCTGAGGTCGCCCTGGTATCTCTATCATTAGAATGCTTGGGGTCAGCAAGGGATCTCTATTATTAGACATCCTGGGTTTGGCCAGGACCCTCTCCTGTTAGAATCCCAAGGGGTCCGCCAAAATTCTCTCTTGTTAGAATTCCTCAGTTCAGCCACGTGTCTCTATTTTTAGATTGTCTGCAGTCTCCCAGGTGTCTCTATCATTTAATGCCATGTTTCACCCAGGAGTCTCTCTTGTTAGGATGACTGAGGTCAGTGAAGTGTCTCTATTCCTAGAATGCCTGAGGTCTCAGAGGTGTCTGTAAAATTAGAATGCCTGGGATAGGCCAGGAGTCTCTCCTGTTAGAATGCCTGGGGTCAGCAGGGAGAATCTTTCATTTGAATGCCTGGGGTCGGCCAGGGATCTCTATCCTTAGAATGCCTGAGGTCGCATAGGTGTCTCTACCATTAGAATGTCTGGGTTAGGCCAAGCATCTCTATCACTATAGTGACTGGGTTTGGCCAGTAGTCTCTCCCATTAGAATGCCTGGGGCAAAAGAGCTTTCTCTATCCTTAGAGTTCCTGAGGTTTCACAGTAGCCTCCATCATCAGAATGCCATGGCTCAGCCATGAGTTTCTATCATTAGAATACCTGGTTTCAGCCTGAAGTCTCTCCGGTTAGAATGCATGGGGTTGGCCAAGTTTCTTCCTCTTAAAAATGTCTGAGGTCACACTGGTGTTTTTATTATTAGAATGTCTGGGCTAGGCCAGGAGTCTCTATCATTAGAATGCCTGAAGTCGGCCACAAGTCTCTCCTGTTAGAATTCTTGGGGTTGTACAGGTGTTTCTATCCTTTGAATGATGAGCTCGTTCTGGTGTCTCCATTATTAGAATGCCTGGGGTCAGAAAGCAGTCTCTTTCGTTAGAAAGCCTGGGTAATGCAAGTGTCTCTATCCTTAGAATTCCTGAGGTCGCACCTCTGTCTCTATCCTTAGAATGCCTTAGATAGGCCAGGAGTCTCAATCATTAGAATTCCTTGGGTCAGCCAGGAGTCTCTATCATTGGAATGCCTGGGGTGGGTCAGGTGTCTCTATCCTTTGAATGCCTTATGTCGCCCAGGTGTCTCTGTTATTAGAATGCATGGGGTTCACCAGGAGTATTTTTGTTAGATTGCCTGAGGTCACACAGGGGTCTCTATCAATAGAAAGCCACAGGTAGACCAGGAGTCTTTATCAGTAGAATTCCTGGGGTCAACTGGGAGTCCCTCCCATTAGAATGCCTGGGGCCAGACAGCTCTCTCAATCATTAGAATGACTGAGACAGCACAGTTGTCTCTAACATTTTAATGTCTGAGGTCTCCCAGCTGCCTCTATCATTAGAATGCCTGGGGTGGCCAGGGGTGTCTATCCTTTAATTGCCTGAAGTCCCTCAGGTGTCTGTATCATTAGAATGCCTGGGGTGAGCCAGGAATCTCTACCATTAGATTGCCTAGGTTTGGCCAGGGGTCTCTTCCATTAGAATACCTGAGGTTGGCCAGGAGTCCCTCCCATTAGAATGCCTGGGGTAAGCCAGGTATTTTTATTTGTAGAATGCCTTAGGTAACACAGGTGTCTCTATCATTACTATTCCTGGGCTAGGTCAGTAGCCTCTATAATTAGAATGTCCCAGTTGGCCACCACTCTCTCTCATTAGAATATGTGGGGTAGGCCGTGTCTCTATCCTTAGAGTGTTTGATGTCACCCAGGTGTCTCTATGATTAGAATGCCCGGGGTTGGTCAAAAGTCTCTCCATTTAGAATGCCTGGAGTTGGCCAAGTGTCTCTATTGTTAGAATGCCTGATTTCACACAGGTTTCTTTATCATTAGAATGCCTGTGGTCAGCAAGGAGTTCTGTTACAATGCCTGGGGTTGCCCATGTGTCTCAATCTTTAGAATGACTGAGATCCCACAGGGGTCTCTGTCATTAGAATGCCTGGGATAGGCCAGGAGCCTTTATCTTTAGATTGCCTTGGGTTGTCCAGAAGTCACTATAATTAGAATGCCTGGGGTCAACAAGGTGTATATATCCTTAGGATTCTTGAGGTCCCACAGGTGTCTCTATTATTAGAATACCTAGGGTGAGCCAGGAGTCTCTATCAGTAGAAAGCCTGGGGTTGGCAAGGAGTCTCTCCCCTTACAACGCCTGGGGTTGGCCAGGTGTCTTTATCCTTAGAAAACCTCATGTCACCTATGTTTCTCTATCATTGGAATGCGTGTGGATGTCCATAAGCATTTCCAGTTTGAATGCCTGGGGTTGGCCAGGTGTCTCTATTCTTAGAATGTGTGTGGTCCCACAGGAATCTCTGTCATTAGATTGACTCCGGTAGGCTGGAAAACTCTATCACTCGAATGCCTGTGTTTGACTAGGTGTCTGTCCCATTACAATGCCAGGGGTCAGGCCAGTTGTCACTATTCTTAGAATGCCTAAGTTCTCCCAGGTTCTTTCATTAGAATGCCTGGGGTAGGACAGGAGTCTCTATCATTAGGAAGCCTGGGGCTGGCCAGGATTCCCTTCCATTAGAATTCCTGGCATTGGTTAGGTGTTCCTATAATTAGAAGAAATGGGGTAAGCCAGGAGTCTCTATCATTAGAATACCTGGAGACTGCCAGGAGTATGTCTCTTAAAATGCCTTGTGTCAGCCAGCTCTCTCTATTTTCAGAATGCCTAAGGTTGCACAGATGTTTCTATTATTGGAATACCTGGGGTAGACCTAGAGTCTCTATAAATAGAAAGCCTGGTGTTGGCCAGGGGTCTCTCTTGTTAGAATGCCTTGGATCAGCCAGCTGTCTCCATCCTTAGAAGGCCTGAGCTCACTCAGGTGTCTTTATCATTAGAATGCCTGGGATCAGCCAGGGGTCTCTCCCATTAGATTGTTTGGGGTCTCCCATGAGTCTCTCTTGTTAGAATGCCTGGGCTCCAGCAGGTGTCTCTATCCTCAGATTGCCTGAGGTCACTGAGGTGTTTCTATGATTAGAATGCCCAAAGTTGCACAGGTTTCTCTATCATTAGGATGGATGGGATTAGCCAGGATTCTCCATTATTAGAATGCCGGGGGTTGGCCAGGAGTCTCTCCTTAATGTCTGAGGTCACAGGTAGCTTGTTTCTAGTTGTTATCATGGCGTATTATTATACGCCTCAATGGGCTCAGACATGTCCTTTTGTAGATTCTAGAAAAAGAGGGATTCCAACCTGATGAAACAAAACTAAAGTTCCACTCTGAGAGATGAATCCACACATCACAAAAGTTTTCATAGATAGCTTCTTTCTAGATTTTATCGCAAGATATTCCACTTTACACTATAGGCTTCAATGGACTTAGAAATGGCCCATGAGTTACATTACAAAAAGAGTTTGTCCCTCCTAGTGAATCAAAACACAGGTTCCATTTTGTGAGAGGATTCCACACATCACAAAGGTTTTTCACATGTAGCTTGTTACTCGTTATTATCATGGGATATTCTGTTTTTCACTATAACCTTCAGTGGGCTCAGAAATGTCCCTTATACATTCTAAAAAGAGTGTTTCCAGCCTAGTGAATCAAAACACAGGTTTAAATCCGTGAGATGAATCCACACACCCCAAAAAACTTTTACAGACAGCTTGTTTCTAGTTTTTATTGAGGACTATTAGGTTTTTCACTATCAGCTTCTATGGGCTCAGAAATGTCCTCTCGTAGATTTTACAAAGAGTGTTTTCAACCAGGTGGAACAAAACACAGGTTCCATTATGTGAGATGAATCCACATATCACAAAGCATTTTCATGGAATGCTTCTTTGTACTTTTTATTGTGGAATATCTGGTTTTTCACAATAGGCTTCAATAAACTCAGAAATGTCCCTTCGTAGATTCTATATAAAGAATGTTTCCAACGTGGTGAATGAAAACAATTTTTAAATTCTGGAACATAAATCGACACATCTCAAAACATTTTCATACATAGCTTTTTCCTAGATTTTATTGTGGGATATTCAGTTTTTTAATGCAGGCTTCAAATGGCTCAGAATTTTTTTTTTTTGTACATTCTACAAAAAGTGTATTTACAACATGGTGAACCAAAATACGTTTTTAACTCTGTGAAACGAATCCACACATCAAAACGCATTTTCACCGATAGCTTTTTTTTTTAGTTTTCATCACAGGATATTTGATGTTTTACTGTAGGCTTCAATAAGCACAGAAATGTCCACTCATAGATTCTACAAAAATAGTGTTTCCAACCTGGTGAATTAAAATAGAATATTATCCCTGTTAGATGTATCAACACATCACAAAGCATTCTCACATATTGCTTGTTTCTAGTTTTTACATAAGGATATTGAGTTTTTCATCATAGGCTTCAAAGGGCTCAGAAATATCCCTTCACATTTTCTACAAAAAAAAAAAAAAAAAGGTTTGCAACCTGGTGGATAAAAACAGAGGTTCAATTTTGTGAGATAAATCCGCACATCACGAGGTATTTTCACAGACAGTTTGTTTCTAGTTTTTCTCATTGGATATTCTATTTTATCTTATGAGCACCAATCGGCTCAGAAATGTCCCTTCGCTGATTCTACAACAAGACTGTTTCCAACCTGGTGATACAAAATACAGGTTTCTTTCTGTGAGATGCATTCACACATCACAAAACATTTTCAAATATAGCTTGCTTCCAAGTTTTATTGTGGGATATTTGATTTTTGAGTAAAGCTTCAATAGGCTCAGAAATGTCCCTTTGTAGATTCTACAAAGAGAGGATCTCCAATCTGGTGAACCAAAACACACGCTTAACCATGTGAGATGAAGCCACACATCACAAAGCATTTTCACGTATACCATGTTTCTATGTTTTATCACGGGATATTAGGTTTTATCATGGGATATTAGGTTTTTCACTATAAAATTCAATGGGCTCTGAAATGTCACCTCATAGATTCTACAAATAGTTTCCAACCTGCTGAATGAAAACACAGGTTTAACTCTGTGAGAGAATCGACATATCACAAAACATTTTCACACATAGATTCTTTCAGGTTTTTATCATGGGACATTCAGTTTTTCACTGTAGGCTTCACTGGGGTCAGAAAAGTCCCTTTGTAGGTAATACAAAAACAGTGTTTAATAACTAGTAAATCAAAACCGAGTTTTAACTCTGTAAGATGAATTCACATATCAAAAAGCCCTTTCACACATACCTTGTTTCTACTTTTTATCACAAGATGTCCGGTTTTTCAGTATAGGCTTCAATGGGCTCAGAAATATCCCTTCGTAGGTCCTACAAAAAGGATGATTCCAACCTGGGGAATAAAAACACATGTTCCGTTATAGTCAGATGAATTGATAGATCACAAATCATTTTCAGACACTGCTATTTTCTAGGTTTTAGTTGGGATATTCTGTTTTTAACTATAGGCCTTGATGGGATCAGAAATGTCTTTTCATAGATACTACAAAAAGACAGTTTTCAACCTGGTAAATCAAAATAAAAGTCCATTTTGTGAGATGAATCCACACAACACAAAGCATTTTCACAGATAGCTTGTTTCAGTTTTTCACTATCTGTTTCAGTTTTTCACTATCAGTTTCAACAAGCTCAGAAATGTCCCTTCATAGATCCTACAGAAAGAGGGTTTTCAACCTGGTGAATAAAAACAGTAGTTTATCTCTGTGAAATGAATCTATAAATCATGAAGCATTTTCACATATAACTTATTTCTAGTTTTTATCATGGGATATTTGGTTATTCACTATAGGCTTCAGTGGGCTCAGAAATTTCCCTTTCCAGATTCCACAGGAAAAGTATTGTTCCAGGAAGTCAGGAACTCCCGAAAGGAGGGACCTGCTGAAGCCATGGCAGAAGAACATAAATTGTGATGATTTCATGAACATTTGTCAGTTCCCAAATTAATACTTTTATAATTTCTTATGCCTGTCTTTACTGCAATCTCTGAACATAAATTGTGAAGATTTCATGGACACTTATCACTTCCCCAGTCAATACCCTTGTGATTTCCTATGCCTGTCTTTACTTTAATCTCTTAATCTTGTCATCTTTGTAAGGTGAGGAGGATGTATGTCACCTCAGGACCCTGTGATGATTGCGTTACCTGCACAAATTTTTTGTAGAGCGTGTGTGTTTGAACAATATGAAATCTGGGCACCTTGAAAAGAGAACAGGATAACAGCAATGTTCAGGGAACAAGAGAGATAACCTTAAACTCTGACTGCCGGTGAGCCGGGAAGAACAGAGCCATATTTCTCTTCTTTCAAAAGCAAATAGGAGAAATATTGCTGAGTTCTTTTTCTCAGCAAGGAACATCCCCGAGAAAGAGAATGTGTCCCTGAGGGGAGGCCTCTAAAATGGCTGCTTTGGGGGCAGCTGTCTTTTACGGTCACAGCAGTGGGATGAAATAAGTCCTGGTCTCCCGTAGTGCTCCCAGGTTTATTAGGACGAGGAAATTCCCACCTAATAAATTTTTGTCAGGCCGGTTGTCTGCTCTCAAACCTTGTCTCCTGATAAGATGTTATCAATGATAATGAGTGCCCAAAACTTCATTAGCAATTTTAATTTTGCCCCTGTCCTGTGGTCCTGTGATCTCTCCCTGCCTCCATTTACCTTGCAATATCTTATTAGCTTGTGAAGCATGTGATCTCTGTGACCCACATACTTTTCATACACCACCTCCCCTTTGAAAATCACTAATAAAAACTTGCTGATTTTATGGCTCAGGGGGCATCACGGAACCCGCCAATGTGTGATGTCTCCCCCAGACACCCTGCTTTAAAATTTCTCTCTTTTGTACTCTTTCCTTTTATTTCTCAGACTGGCTGACACTTAAGGAAAATAGAAAAGAACCTACGGGAAATATCGGGGGGTGAATTTCACCCACTAGAGTGTTTCTAACCTGGTGAATCTAAAACACATGTTTCATTTTATGAAGTGAATCCACATATCACAAAGCATTTTCACACATGGGGTATTTCACGTTTCTTTGGGGGGATATTTGGTTTCTCAGTATAGGCTTCAATTGGCTCAGAAATGTCCCTCTGTAGATTCTACAAAAAGAGTGTTTAAAACCTGGTAAATCAAAACACTGGTTTAACTTAGTGACATGAATCCACACATCACAAGGCATTTTCACATATAGCTTCTTTCTAGTTTTTAGCATGGGATATTCGGTTTTTTTTAAATGTAGGCTTTAATGTACTCACATATAGAAGTTTCTAGTTTTTATCATGGGATATTCATATTTTATTATAGGCTTAAATGGGCTCATAATTGTCCCCTCATAGAGTCTAGAAAAAGATTGTTTGGAACCTGGTGAATCAAATCACATGTTTCATTTTGTAAGATGAAACCACACATCACAAAGCATTTTCACATATTGCTTGTTTCTAGTATTTATCATGAGATATTCAATTTTCCTTTTTGACTACATGGGCTCTGATCTGTCTTGTTGTAAATTCTACAAAATAGTGTTGTGAACATGGTGAATCAACACAAAAGACCCATTTTGTTAGATGAATACACACTATAAAGCATTTTCACAGAGAGTGTGTTTATAGTTTAACAGCAAGATATTCAATTTTTTCTTGTTGGCCTCATTGGGCTGAAAATCACCCTTCATAGGTTCTACCACAAGAGTGTTTCCAACCTGGTGAATAAAAACACAAGTTCCATTTTGCGAGATGAATCCACACATCACAAAACATTCTCACAGATATATTTTTCTAGTTTGTATCACAGGATATTTCATTTTCTATTAGAGAGGTGTCAATAGGCTCAGAAATGTCCCTTCCTAGCTTCTACAAAAAGAGTGTTTCCTACCTCGTGAATCAAAACACAGGTTCCATTCTCTAAGATGGAGCCACACATCACAAAGCATTTTTATAAATAGCTTGTCTTCTATTTTTTATTGCAGGATATTTTATTTTTTACCACAGGCTTCAAGGGTTCAGAAATGTCCCTTCGTAGACTACACAACAAGAATGTTTATAACCTGATAAATCAAAACACTGGTTCCATTCTGTCAGATAAATTGACACTTCTTAAAGCATTTTTACACGTATCTTTTTTTGAAATTTTTCTTTATCTCGGTTTATTCAGTTTTTAACTATAGGCCTCAGTGGGCTCCAAAATGTCCCTTCATAGATTCTACCAAAAGAGTGTTTCCAGCCTGGTGAATTGAAACACAGGCTCCATTCTATAAGATGAATCCACACATCACAAAGCATTTTCATAGATAGCTTGCTTTTAGTTTTTATAGCACGATATTAGATTTACTCTTGTGGGCCTCAATGAGCTCAGAAATGTCACTTCAAACATCCTAAAAAAAGAGTGTCTCCAAACTTGTTAATCAAAAAACTGGTTCCATTCCTTGAGATGAATCCACACATCACAAAGCGTTTTCACAAATAGCTTGTTTCTCGTTTTCATCGCAGATTATTTGATTTTTTTAGAGGCCCCTATGGTCTCAGAAATATCTCTTAGTTCTTTCATGGAAAGAGTGTTTTCAACCTGGTGAATCAGAACACGGGTTCCATTCTGTGACATGATTTCACAAATCATGAAGCATTTTCACGTATAGCTTGATTTCAGTTTTTATCACAGGTTATTAGGTGTTTTACTATAGGTTTCAGTAGTATCAGGAATGTCCCATTGTATATTCTACAAAAAGAGTGTTTCCAACCTGGTGAATAAAAACACAGGTTCCATTCTGTGAGAGAAAACCACAAATCTTAATGCATTTTCACAGACTGATTGTTTCTACTTTTTAACATGGGATATTTGATTTTCCTTGGTAGCCACAATGGGCTCAGAAATGTCCCTTTGTAGATTCTACAAAGTGAGTGTTTCCAACCTGATTTATAAAAATAGAGATTCCATTTTGTGGGATAAATCCACACATCACAAATCATTTTCACAGATAGCTTATTTCTAGATTTTATTGTGGGATATTCAATTTTTTTTATGGACCTCAGTGGGCTCAGAAATGTTTCTTCATAGAATCTACAAAAATGTGTTTCCAATCTGGTGAATGAAAACACATATTCCATTAATCCACACAACATAAATATATTCACAGATAGCTTGTTCCTTGTTTTGGTCGACCAGGTGTTTCTCCTACTAGAATGCCTGAAGTAAGCCAGGAGTCTTTTCTTCAGAATTCCTGAAGTCAATCAGGAGTCTCTCATGTTAGAATAAATGAGGTTGGCTAGTTATCCCTTTCACTAGAATGCCTGAGGTTGCCCAGGTGGCTCTCCCCTTATAATTTCTAATATCGGCCAGTAGTCTCTCCAATTAGAACAACTGATGTCGGCCAGGAGTCTCTGTCCTCAGAATGCCTGAGCTCAGCCAGCTATCTCTATCATTAGAATGCCTGAGTTAGGCCAGGAATCTCTCTCCTTAGAATGCCTGAGATCAACCAGTTGTCTATTATTAGAATGCCTGGGGTTGGTCAGGAGTCTCTCTTCTTAGAATGCCTGAGGTCACACAAGTGTCTCTATTGCTGGAATGTTTGGATTCGGCCAGGAGAATCAACTTTTAGAATGCATGAGTTCAGACAGATTTCTCAATCATTAGAATGTCTGAGGTCGCTTGGCTATCTCTATCATTAGAATGAATGGGGTTGGCCAAAAGTTTTTATCCTTAGAATGCCTGGGATCACACAGGTATCTCAATCATTAGAATGCCTGGGTTCGACAAGGAGTCTCTATTTTTAGAATGCCTGAGGTCGCCCAGGTCTCTGTAATTAGAATGCCTGTGGTCAGCGAGATGTCTCTATCCTTAGAATGCCTAAGGTCAGCCAGGCCTCTCTGCCGTTTGAATGCCTGAGGTCAGCCAGGTGTCTCTATCCTTAGAATGCCTGTGTTCAGCCAGGAGTCTTTCCTGTTAGAATGCCTGGGGTCACACAGGAAACTTTATTGTTAGAATCCCTGAGGTCAGAGAATTGTCTCTATTTTTACAATGCCTGGGATTAACCAGGAGTGTTTACATTAGAATGCTGGAACTCGACCTCATGTCTCTATCCTTAGAATGCTGGAGGTCGCCAGTTGTCTCAATCATTAAAATGCCTGTTGTGGGCCATGAGTCTCTTCCATTAGAATGCCTGAGGTCTAGCAGTTGTCTCTATGATTAGAATGCCTAAGGTTGGCCAGGAATTTCTCTCATTAGAACACCTGGGGACGGCCAGGAGTCTATCTTTAGAAAGCCTGAAGTCAAAAAGGTGTCTCTGTTATTAGAATGGCTGGGGTCAGCCAGGAGTCTCTATCCTTAGAATTTCTGAGGTCACCCATGTGTCTATCATTAGAATGCCTAGGATCAGCCAGAAGCCTCTATCCATAGAATGCCTGAGGTCACCCAGGTGTTTCTATCATTAGAATGCCTGGAGTTTGCCAGAAGTCTCTATCCTAAGAATGCCTAAGGTTGCCCAGGTGTCTATCATTAGAATTTCTGTGGTCAGCCAGGAGTCTCTATTTTTAGAATGCTTGAGGTCGCCCAAGTGTGTCTATCATTAGAATGCCTGGATTCACCAAGCAACTCAACTGTTAGAATAAATGAGGTGTACCAGATGTCTCTGTCCTTAGAGTGTCTGAGATCACCCAGGTGTCTCTATTATTAGAATGCCTAGAGTCGGCCAGTAGTCTTAATTTTTAAAATTTCTGAGGTCACCCAGGTGTCTTTATTATTAGAATGCCTGGGGTCAGCCAGGAGTCTCTAACCTTAGAATGCCTGAGGTCGCCCAGCTGTCTCTATGCTTAAAATGTCTGGGGTTGCCCATGTATCTCCATCATTAGAAGACCTGGGGTTGTACAGGGGTCTCTCCCATTAGAATGCCTGAGGTAGGCTGGGAGTCTCTATTTTTAGAATTCCTGATGTCACCCATGTGTCTACCATTGGAAATCCTGGGGTCAGCTAGGAGCCTCTATCCATAGAATGCCTGAGGTCACCCAGGTGTCTCTATCATTAGAATGCCTGGGGTTGGCCAGGAGATGCTCCCATTAGAATGCCTGATATCAGTCAGATATCTCTAACCTTAGAATGCCTGGGGTCAGCTAGGAGTCTCTCCCATTAAAATGCCTGAATTCGGCCAGGTGCCTCTATCCTTAGAATGCTGGAAGTCATCCAAGTGTCTCTATAATTAGAATGCCTGAAGTCAACCAGAAGTCTCTCCCATTAGAATGCCTGGAGTTGGCCAGGAGTCTCTATCTTTAAAATGTCTGTGGTCACCCTGGTTTCTCTAGCATTAGAATGTCTATGGTCGGCCAAGAATCTATCACATTAGAATGCATGTGGTCAGTCAGGAGTCTCTATCATTAGAATGCCTGCAGTCACCTAGGTGTCTACCATTAGAATGCCTGGAGTCGACCAGGACTCCATGCATTTTATTTTTAGAATGCATGATATTGGCTGGATGTCTCTATCATTAGAATGCCTGAAGTCGGCCAGGGATCTCTATCCTTAGAATGCCGGAGGTCGCCTAGGTTTCTATCATTAAAATGCTGGTGGTCGGCCAAAAGTCTCTATCCGCATAAATCCTGAGTTCTATCAAGTGTCTTTATCATTAAAATGCCTCGGGTTGGCATGGAGTGTCTATCCATAAAATGCCTGATGCCACCTAGATGTCTCTTAGTAGAATTCTTGGGGTCAGCTAAGAACCTCTGTCCATAGACTTCCTGAGGTCACCCAGGTTTCTCTATTATTAGAATGCCTGGGTTGGCCAGGAGACTCTTCGGTTAGAATGCCTGAGCCCAGGAGATGGGTGTGGTGGCTCATGCCTATAATCCCAGCACTGGGAGGCTGAGGTGGGTGGATCACAAGGTCAGGATTTCCGGACCAGCCTGACCAACATGGTGAAACCACATCTCTACTAAAAATACAAAAATTAGCCAGGTGTGATGGTGTGTGCCTGTAATCCTAGCTACTCAGGAGGCTGAGGCAGGAGAATCGCTTGAACCCAGGAGGCAGAGGTTGCAGTGAGCCAAGATCATGCCACTGCACTCCAGCCTGGGCAACAGAGTGAGACTAAGTCTCAAAAAAATAATGTTTCAGTTTGGCCAGATATCTCTACCCTTAGAATGCCTGGGGTCAGCCAGGAGTCACTCCCGTTAGAATGCTTGAATTTGGCCAGGTGTCTCTATCTTTAGAATGCTGGAAGTCGCCCAGGTGTCTCTATAATTAGAATGCCTGAGGGTGGCCAGAAGCCTCTCCCATTAGAATGCCTGGATTCTGTCAGGTGTCTCTATCCTTAGAATGCCTAAGTTTGACCAGGAGTCTCTTTCATTAGAATGCCTCCGGTCAGCCAGGAGTGTCTTCTATTAGAATGCCTGAGTGTGGCCAGATGTCTCTATTTTTAGAATGGCTAGGGATGGCTGGACTCTCTCACATTAAAATGCCTGAAGTCAGACAGGTGACTGTATCCTTAGAATACAGGGTTTCACCCAGGTGTCTCTATCATTAGAATGCCTTGGGTAAGCCAGGCAGTCCCTGTACTTACAATTCCTGCGTTCTGCCAGATGTCTTTATCCTTAAAATAAATGAGGTCAATGAGGAGTCTCTCCCGTTAAAATGCCTGAGGTTGCCTAGGTGTTTCTATTCTTAGAATGCCTGGGGTTGTCCAAGAGACTATCCCATTAGAATACTGAGGTCGGCCACATGTCTCTATTTTTAGAATGACTGGCGTCGGCCAGGAGTCTCTCCCATTAAAATGCCTGAGGTCGGCCAAGTGTCTTCATTATTAGCATGCCTGAGGTCAGTAAGGAGTCTCTAAGATTAAAAGGCCTGGGGTCGTCAGGAGTCTCTCCCATTAGAATGCCTGGGGTCAACCTTTAGTATCTCCTGAGAGAATGCCTGGGATCAGCCAGTGTCACTATTCTTTGAATACTTCAAGTCACCCAGGTGTCTCTATCATTAGAATGCCTGGGGTCAGCCAGGGGTCTGTATCATCAGAATGACTAGGGCCAGCCAGGTTTCTCTTTCATTGGAATGTTGGGCTTGGCCTGGTGTATTTATCTTTAGAAGGCTGAGGTCTCCAAGGTGTCTCCATCAATAGAATGCCTGTGGTTGGCCAGGAGTCTCTATCATTAGAAAGCCTGTGGTCAGCCAAAGGTCTCTCTCATTAAAATGCCTAAGATCAGTCAGGTGTCTCTATCCTAAGAATGCCTGATATCGCCAAGGTGTCTCTATCTTTAGAATACCTGGGGCTGGCCAGGAGTCTCTCCCATTAGAATGCCTGTGTACTGCCAGGTGTCCCCATCTTTAGAATGCCTGAAGTCGCCCAGGAGTTTCTATCAGTAGAATGCCTGAGATAGGCCAGAAATGTCTATCATTATAATGCCTAGATTTGGCCAAGGGTCTGTACCCTTAAAGTACTTGTGGTCGCACAGGGATCTCTATCATTAGAATGCCTGGAATTCGGCCAGGACTTTCTCCCTTTAGAATGCCTTGGGTATGCCAGGTATCTCTATTGTTAGAGTGCCTGAGATCACCGAGGTGTCTCTATCATTAGAATTCCTGGGGGCGGCAAGGAGTCTCTCCCATTAGAATGCCTGAAATTGGCCTGGTGTCTCTAACTTTAGAATGCCTGAGGTCGCAACTGTGTTTCTATCATGAGAATGCAGGGGTCAGGCCAGGAGTCTCTATCATTAGAACGCATGGGTTCGGCCAGTACTATCTCCCATTAGAATTCCTTGGGTCAACCTTTAATCTCTCCTGTTAGAATGTCTGGGTTCAGCCTAGTGTCTCCATTTTTAGAATGCCTGACTTTTCCCAGGTGTCTATTATTAGAAAGCCTGGGATCAGCCAGGCATCTCTAGCATTAGAAAGCCTGCTGTTGGCCATGAGTCTCTCCCGTTAGAATGCCTGGGTTTGGCCAAGTGTCACTATCAGAATATGTGTGATCGCCCAGGTGTCTGTATTAATAGAACGACTTGGGTTGGCCAGGAGTCTGTCTTGTAGAATTCTTGGGGATGATCAGATGTCTGTATTCTTAGGATGACTGAGGTCTCACAGTTGTCTATCATTAGAATGCCTGGGAAAGGCCAGGAGTCTCTATCATTATAATGTCTGATGTCAGCCTGGATTCTCTTTCGTTAGAATGCCTGGTGTGGGTCAGGTGTCATCATACTTAAAATGCCTGAGGTCCCACAGGTGTTTCTATCATTAGAATGCCTGGGGTTTGGCCAAAAGTCTCTCCCATTAGAAAGCCTTGGGTTGGCCAGGTGTCTCTATTTTTAAAATGCCTGATATCGCTCAAGTGTTTCTATCATTAAAATGTTTGGAGTAGGCCAGGTGTCTCTCCCATAAGAAACCCAGGGGTCAGCCAGGTGTCTTTATCCTTAGAATGATGGAGGTCGCCCAGGTATACTATCATTAGAATGCCTGGGGTTGGCCAGTAGTCTCTATACTTGCATTGCCTGAGGTGGGTCCAGAGTCTCTCCCGTTAGAGTGCCTGTGATTGATTAGATGTCTCTATCCTTAGATTGCCTCAGGTCACACAGTTGTCTCTATCATTGAAATGCCTGATGAGGGCCATTTGTCTCTACCATTAGAATGCTTGGGATGGGCCAGGAGTTTCTATCCTTAGATTACCTAATGTCCCACAGGTGTCTCTATCACTAGAATGCATGAGGTTGGCCAAGAGTCTCTTCAGATAAGAATGCCTGTGATCAACCAGCTAGATCTCTCCTGTTAGAATGCCTGAAGTAGGCCAGATGTCTCTATCCTTAGAATGCCTCGGGTACCATAGGTGTTTCTATCTTTAGAATGTCTCAGGTTGCACACATGTATCTATTATTAGAATGCCTGGGGTTAGCGAGAAGCCTCTCTCATTAAAATGCCTGTGGTTGGCCAGGTGTCTCTATTTTTACAATTCCTTAGTTCACCTAGGCATCTCTATCATTAGAATGCTTTAGGTCAGCCAGGACTGTCTATTGTTAGAATGCCTGGGATCGGCCAGGAATCTCTGTTGTTATAAAGTCTGGATTCAGCCAGGAGTCTCACCCATTAGAATGCCTGGGTTCTTCCAGATATCTCTATCCTTACAATGCCTGAGGTCTCCCAGGTGTCTCTGTCATTAGAATGCTTGAGGTCAATGAAGAGTCTCTGTCATTTTAATGCCTGGGGTCGGCCAGCTGTCCTTCCCATTAGAATGCCTTTTGTCAGCCAGTTGTCTCCATCCTTAGAATGCCTGATGTCGCCCAGGTGTCTCTATCATTAGAATGCTTGGGGTCATTCAGGATTCTCTTCTGTTAGAATGCCTGGGCTGGGACAGGAGTCTCTCCCATTAGAATGCCTGTGTTTCGGCCAGGTGTCTTTATCTTTAGAAATCCTGAGATCACCCAGGTGTCTCTGTCATTAGAATGCCTGAAATCTGCTAGGAGTCTCTCCTGTTACAACCTGGTATTGCCCAGGAGTCTCTCCTGTTAGAATATCTGGTGTCCGCCACATGTCTCTTTTCTTATGATGCCTGAGGTAGCACAGATGTCTGTAACATTAGAATGCCTGGTTTTGGCTCAGAGTCTCTCCTGTTAGAATGCCTGAGGTCGGCCAGCTGTCTCTATCTTTAGAATGTTTGAGGTCATCCATTTGTCTCTATCCTTAGAATGTTTGGGTAGAACATGATTGTCTATCCTTAAAATGCCTGGGGTCACACAAGATTCTCTCCCATTAGAATGCCTTGGGTTGGCCATATGTCTCTACCTTTAGATTGCCTTACATCAAACAGGTGTCCCTGTCATTATAATAACTGTTGTAGGCCAGGAGTCTCTACTATTAGAATACCTGGGGTCGACCAGTAGTCACTCCCGTTAGAATGCCAGGGTCAGCCAGGTGTTTCTATACTTAGAATGCCTGAAGTCACCCAGGTGTCTCTATCACTAGAATGCCTGGGGTCTGCCAGGAGTCTCTATCATTAGAATGTCTAATGTCAGCCTGGAGTCTCTCTTTTTACAATGCCTGGGATTAACCAGGTGTCTCTATCCTTAGAATGCCTGAGGTTGCCCAGTTTTGTCTCTCATTAGAATGCCTGGAGTTGGCCAGGAGTCTCTCCCATTAGAATGCCTAGGGTCTGCCAAAATTCTGACCCATTAGAATGAGTTGGGTAGGCCGTATGTCTCTATCCTTAGAATGCCTGATATCGCACAGGTGTCTCTATCATTACAATGCCTGGGGTAGGCCAGGAGTCTATTAATAGAATGTCTCTGGTAACCCAGGAGTCTCTTCTGTTTGAATGCCTGGTGTCAGCTAGTTTTCTCTATCATTAGAATGCCTGAGGTTGCCCAGGTGTGTCTATCTTTAGAATGTCAGGATTCGGCCATGAATGTCTATCATTAAAAAGCCTCAGTTGGTCAAAAAAATCTCTCCCGTTAAAATATCTTGGGTCAACCAGATGTCTCGATCCTTAGAATGCCTTAGTGCACCCAGCTGTCTCTAGCATTAGAATGTCTGGGGGTCAGCCTGGAGACTCTTCCATTAGAATGCCTGATGTAGGCCACACGTCTCTATCTTTGAATTGTGAGGTCGTCCAACTGTCACTATCTTTAGAATGCCTGGAATTGGCCAGGTGTCTCTCCCATAAGAAGACCTGAGTTCGTTCAGGTGTATCTACCCTTAGAATGCTTGAGATCACAGAAGATTCTCTATCATAAAAATGAGTGGGGTAGGCCAGGAGTCTCTCCCTTTAGAATGCCTGAGGTCCCTTAGGTGTCTCTATGATTAGAATGACTGGGGTCGGCCAGGACCCTCTCCAGTTAGAATGCCTGTGGGAAACCAGAATTATCTCTCATTAGAATGCCTGAAATCGGCCAGGTGTCTCTATCAATAGAATGTCTGAGGTCACACAGGTGCCTCTATCTTTAAGGCGCCTCGGGTATGTAAGGAGTCTCTATCATTAGAACACATGGGGTTGGCCAGGAGCCTCTCCCATTAGAATAACTGCGGTCCATCAAGGCATCCTTAGAATGCCTGAGTTCGCCCCTATTTCCCTAGCATTAGAATGCCTGAGGTCGCCCTTGTGTCTCTATCATTAGAATGCCCAAAGTCATCCAGAAGTCTCTATCATTAGAATGTCTGGGTTTGGCCAGGAGTCTCTCCCATCAGAATGCGTGGTCGGCCAGGAGTCTCTCCCACTAGAATGCCTGGGGTCTGCCAGGTATCTCTATCACTAGAATGACTTACTCGCACAGGTTTCTCTATTATTAGAATGCCTGAGGTAGGCCAAGAGTCTCTCCTGTTACAACGCCTTGGGTCAGCCAAATGTCTCTATTGTTAGATTGCCTGATGTTGCCAATGTATCTCTGTCATTAGAATTCCTGAGGTTGGTCAGGAGTCTCTATCATTAGAATGCCTGGAGTTGGCCAAAAGTCTCTCTCATTAGAATGCCTTTGGTCAGCCAGGTGTCTCTATTTTTAGAATGCCTGAAGTCACCAAGGTTCCTCTATCATTAGAATGTCTGTGGTCAGCAGGAGTCTCTCTTGTTAGAATGCCTGGGTTGTCCAGGTGTCTCTATCTTTAGAATGCTTGAGGTCGTCCAGGTGTTTTTATCATTACAGTGCTTGGAGTTGGCCAGGAGTCTCTCCCGTTAGAATGCCCAGGGTCTGTCAAAAGTCTGACCCATTAAAATGAGTTGGGTAGGCCGTATGTCTCTATCCTTAGAAAGCCTGATGTCATACAGGTGTCTCTATCATTAGAAAGCCTGGGGTAGGCCAGGGGTCTCTATTATTAGAATGTCTCTGGTAACCCAGGAGTCTCTTCCGTTTGAATGCCTGGTGTCAGCTAGGTGTGTCTATCTTTAGAATGCCTGAGGTTGCCCAGGTGTGTCTATCTTTAGAATGCCAGGATTTGACCATGAACTTCTATGATTAGAAAGCCTCAGCTGGTGAAAAAAATCTCTCTCGTTAAAATGTCTTGGGTCAGCCATTTGTCTCTATCTTTAGAATGCCTGAGGAGTTCGCCCAAGTGTCTCTAGCATTAGAATGCCTGGTGTAGGTCAGATGCCTCTGTCCTTAGAATGTTGAGGTCGCCCAAGTGTCACTATCTTAGAATGCCTGGAATCGGCCAGGAGTCTCTGCTGTAAGAGGGCCTGGGTTCGTTCAGGTGTATCTATTTTTAGAGTGCTTGAGATCACAGAAGTTTCTCTATCATGAGAATGAGTAGGGTAGGCCAGGAATCTCTATAATTAGGATACCATGGTTTGGCCACAAACCTTTATTATTAGAATGGCCAGGGTTGGACAGGAGTCTCTCCCTTTAAAATGTCTGAGGTCCCCCAGGTGTCTCTATGGTTAAAATGACTGGGGTTGGCCAGGAGTCTCTCCGGTTAGAATGCCTGTGGACAACCAATAGTATCTCTCATTAGAATGCCTGAAATCTGCCAGGTGTCTCTATCTGTAGAATGCCTGAGGTCGCACAGGTTTCTCTATTATTAAAGCACCTTGGGTGTGTAAGGAGTCTCTATCATTAGAATGTGTGGGTTCAACCAGGAGTTTCTCCCGTTAGAATGTGGGGTCAGCCAGAAGTCTCTCCCATTACAATTCCTGAGGTCAGCCAGGTGTCTCTGTCCATAGAATGACTGATTCATACAGAATTATTTATTATTAGAATGCCTGGGTTAGGCGAGGATTCTCTATCATTAGAATGCCTGGGGTTGGCCAGGTGTCTCTCCTGTTAGAATCCTTTGGGTCAGCTAGATGTTCCTATTGTTAGAATGCCTGATGTCACCAACGTGTCTCTATCATTAGTATTCCTGAGGTCGGTCAGGAGTCTCTATCATTGGAATGCCTGGGGTTGGCCATAAATATCTCTCATTAGAATGCCTTTGGTCAGCCAGGTGTCTCTATTTTTTAGAATACCTGAAGTCGCCCAGGTTCCTCTATCATTAGAATGTCTGTGGTCAGCATGAGTCTGTCTTGTTAAAATGTCTGGGGTTGGCCAAGGAGTCTCTCCTGTTTGAATGGCTGGGTTGGCCAGGTTTCCCTATCCTTAGAATGCCTGAGGTCATACAGGAGTCTTTATCATTAGAGTGCCTGGGGTAGTCCTGGGTTCTTTAACATTAGAATGCCTAGGGTCAGCCAAAAGTCTTTCCAGTTAGAATGCCTGGGTTCACCCAGCTGTCTGTACTGTTAGAATGCCTGATGTCACTTAGGGGTCTCTATTATTAGAATGACTGGGGTCGGCCAAGAGTGTCTACCATTAGAATGCCTAGGGTGGGAAAGGAGCCTCTCCTATTAGAATGTCTGGAGTTGGCCATGTGTCTCTATCCTAAGAATGCCCATGGTCCGACAGGTTTCTCTATTATTAGAGAATAATACCCCAGACTCCTGGGGTAGGCCAGGAGTCTCTATCTTTTGAATGCCTGTGGTCAGCCAAAAGTCTCTCCCTCTAGAATACCTATGGTGGACCAGGTGTCGTTATCCTTAGAATACCCGAAGTCACCCAGTGTGTCTCTATCATTGGAATTTCTGTGTTCAGACAGAGGTATCTAGCATTAGAATGCCTGTAGTTGGTCAAGAGTCTCTCCTGTAAGAATGTCTGGGGTTGATAAAATGTTTCTCTCCTTAGAATGACTGAGTTTGCACAGGTGTCTATCATTAGAATGCCTGGGCTCAGAGAAGGCTCTCTATCATTAGAATGCCTGGGTTCAGCCTGGAGTGTCTTCCATTAGAATGCCTGTGGTTAGCCATTTGTCTTTATTTTAAAAATGCCTGAGGTGGCACAGGTGTCCCTATTATTAGAGTGCCTGGGCCATGCCAGGCATCTCTAACATTAGAATGCCTGAGGTCAGCAAGTAGTCTCTCCTGTTAGAATGCCTGGGGTCATCCAGGAGTCTCTCTCATTAGAATGCCTGGAGTCAACTAGGAGTTTGTCCCATTAGAGTGCCTGGGGTTGGCCAGGTGTCTCTATCTTTAGAATGTCTTAGGTCACATAGGTGTCTCTATAATTAGAATGCCTAGGTTAGGTTAGGAGTCTTTATCATTAGAATGCTGAGGGTCAGCCAGGATTGTCTCCCATTATAATGCCTGGGGTCAGCCAGGTGTGTCTATTGTTAAAATGCCTGATGTCTCCTAGGTGTTTATCATTAGAATGCCTGGGGTCAGCCAGAAGTCTCTCCTGTTAGAATGCCTAGGGTGTGCCAGGAGTCTCTCTTGTTAGAATACCTGGGGTCTGCCAGGTGTCTCTATCCTTAGAAGGCCTTGTTGCCCCACAGGTGTCTTCTTTACTAAACCACCTGTGGTAGGGCAAGAGTCTTCATTACTTGAATGCCTGGGATCAGCCAGGAATCTCTCTTGCTAGAATGCCTGGGGTGAACCAGGTGTCACTATCCTTAGAATGCCTGAGGTTGCCCAGTTGTCTCCATCATAATTCCTGTGTTCGGACAGGGGTCTGTAGCATTAGAATGCCTGCGGTTGGCCAAGTGTCTTCCCCTTCAGAATGCCTGAGATTGACCAGGTGATTCTCTGCTTAGAATGACTGAGTTCACACAGGTGTCTATTATTAGAATGCCTGGGTTCAGACAGGGATCTCTATCATTAGAATGCCTGGGGTCGGCATGGAATCCCTTTGGTTAGAATGTTTGTGGTAGGCCTGTGGTCTCTATCATTAGTAAGCCTGGTGTCGGTCAGTAGTCTCTCCAGTTAGAGTGCCTGGGGTCAACCAGGTGTCTCTATCCTTAGAATTCCTGAGGTAGCACTAGCACTGTTGTCTCCATCATTAGAATGTCTGCAGTAGGCCTAAAGTCTCTATGATTAGAAAGCCTAGTGTTGGCCAGGAGTTCCTACCATTAGAATGCCTTGGGTCAGTCAGTGTCTCTCCCGTTAGAAAGCCTGGGTCGGCCAGGTGTCTCTATCATTAGAATGCCTGAGGTAGCCCTCTTGTCTCTATCATTATAATGACTGGATTTGGCCACAAGTTTTTTTTTTTGACGGAGTCTCGCTCTGTCACCCAGGCTGGAGTGCAGTGGCATGATCTCGGCTCACTGCAAGCTACACCTCCTGGGTTCACGCCATTCTCCTGCCTCAGCCTCGTGAGTAGCTGGGACTACAGGTGTCTGCCACCACGCCTGGCTATTTTTTTTTTTTTTTGTATTTTTAGTAGAGACAGGGTTTCACCATGTTAGCCAGGAAGGTCTCTATCTCCTGACCTCATGATCTGCCCGCCTCGTCCTCCCAAAGTGCTGGGATTACAGGCATGAGCCACCACGCCCAGCCGGCGACAAGTCTCTATCATTAGAATGCCTGGGTCGACCAGGAGGAGTCTCTCCCATTAGAATGCCCAAAGTCGGCCAGGTGTCTCTATTTTTTAGATTGCCTGAGTTCACCCATGTGTCTCTATAATTAGAATGCCTGGAGTTTCACAGGAGTCTGTCTTCTTAGAATGCCTGTGGTCAGCCTGGATTCTCTCCTGTTAGAATGCCTGGGGTTTGCTTGGTGTCTCTCTCCTTAGAATTTCTATTGTCTCCCAGATGTCTCTATTTTTAGACTGCCTGGGTTTGGCCAGTAGTATCTCCCATTAGAATGCCTGTGGTCGGTCTGGTGCCTCTATCCTTAGATTGCCTGAGTTCTCCCAGGTATCACTATCACAAGAATGCCTTGGGTCATCCAAAAGTCTCTTTCATTACAATGCTTGGGCACGGCCAGGCGTCTCTGTTGTTAGAATGTCTGTGCTTGGCCCAGAGTCTCTCCCGTTAGAATGCCTGTGGTTGGCCAAGTGTCTCTATCCTTAGAAAGTCTGGGATAGGCAGGGATTCTGTATCATTAGCATGTCTGTGGTCGGCCAGTAGTCTCTTAAGTTAGAATACTTGAAGTCAGCTAGGGGTCTCTATTTCTAAAATGCCTGAGGTTGCACAGGTGTCTCTATCATTAGAATGCTTGGAGTAGGCCAGGAGTCTCTTCTGTTAGAATGTCTGGGGTCGGCCAGGAGTCTGTATCTTAAGAATGCCTTAAGCCTCATAGTTGTCTCTACCATTAGAATGCCTGGAATAGGCCAGGCATCTCTATTATTAGAATGCCTGTGCTCAGCAAGGAGTATCTCACGTTAGAATGCCTTGATAGGCCAGGAGTCTCTATAATTAGAATGCCTGTGGTCAGCCAGGAGTCTCTATTTAAAGAATGCCTTAAGTTACACAGGTGTCCGCCCTGAGTCCCTCTCGTTAGAATGCCTGGGGTCAGCTAGGTTTCTCTATCCTTAGAATGCCTGAGGTGCCACAGGTTTCTCTATCATTAGAGCACCTGAGATAGTCCAGGAGTCTCTATCATTCGAATGCTTGGAGTCTTCCAGGAGTCTCTCCCGTTAGAATGCCTGGGGTCAGCCAGTTGTCACTATCCATAAAAATGCCTGAGGTTGCCCAGGTGTCTATCATTAGAATGCCTGGGATAAGACAGGAGTCACTAATATTAGGGAGGCTGGTGTTGGCCAGGATCCTGTTTTGTTAGAATGCCTGGTTTTGGCCAGAGGTCTTTATCATTAGAACGCCCACTGTGTGCCAGGAGTCTCTATCATTAGAATACCTGAGTTTGGCCAGAAGTCTCTTCTGTTAGAACGCCTGTAATAGACTGAGTGTGTCCCTCCTTAGAATGCCTGAGGTCACAAGGATTTTTTTATTATCAGCATAAATGAAGTAGGCCAGGAGTCTTTATCATTATAAATCTGGGAGTTGGCCAGGAGTCTCTTTCTTTAGGATGCCTGGGTCGGCCAGGTGTCTCTATCCTTAAAAAATGCCTGAGGTGGCCCAGGTGTCTATCATTAGAATGCCTGGGGTCAGCCAGGAGTCTTTCCTGTTAGAATGCCTGGAATCAGACAGGATTCTCTCCCATTGGAAAGCCTGTGTCTGTCAAATATCACTATCCTTAGATTGTCTGAGGTCACCAGGTGTCTCTATCATTACAAAGCCTGGGGTAGGCCAGAAGTCTCTATCATTAGAATGCTGGGTTTTGTCAAAATTCTCTCCCACTAGAATACCTGGGGACAGCCACGTGTCTCTATCCTTAGAATGCCTGAGGTCCACCAGGCACCTCTATAATTGAAATGTCTGAAATCTGCCAGTATTCTCTCTCATTAGAATGCCTGGGGTGAACAAGAATTCTTTTTCATTAGAATTCTTGGGGTCTGCCAGGTGTCTTCATCCTTAGAATGTCTTAGGTCACACAGGTGTATTTATTATTAGAATGCCTGCGGTTGGATAGGAGTCTTTATTATTATAATTTTTGGGGTCAACCAGGAGTCATTCCCATTAGAATGCCTGGGGTCAGCCAGGTGTCTCTATCATTAGGTCCCAGAGCTGTCTCTATTATTACAGCACCTGGGGTAGGCCAGGATTCTCTATCATTCAAATGCCTAAGGTCAGCCAGGAGCCTCTCCTGTTCGAGGTCCTGGGGATGGCTAGGTGTCTCTATCCTTAGAATGCCTGAAGTTGCACAGGTGTCTCTATCATTAGAATGCCTGGGGTAGGCCTGTAGTCTATGCCATTGGAAAGCCTGGTGTCGGTTAGGAATCTCTCTTGTTAGAATGCCTTGGTTCATCCAGGTGTCTCTATCATCAGAATGCCTGAGTTTGCCCAGGTGTCTCTATCATTAGAGTGCCTGTGATTGGCCAGGAGTCTTTCCTGTTAGACTGCCTAAGGTCGGCCAGGGGTCTCCCCTGTTAGAAAGTTTGTGTGGGCCAGGTGTTTCTATCCTTAGAATGCCTAAGGTGGGCCAGGTGTCTCTATCCTTAGAATGCCTAAGGTTGACAAAGTGTCTCTATCATTAGAATAAATGGGGTAGGCCAGGAGTATCTCCTGTTAGAATGACTAAGGTCAGCCAGGAATCTCTCCCATTAGAGTGTGTGAGGTTGTCCAGGTGTCTGCATCTTTAGAATGCCTGAGGTTGCACAGGTGTCTCTATCATTACAATGCCTGGCATAGGCTAGGAGTCTCTATCATTAGAAGCCTGGAGTCGGCCAGGAGGGTCTTTGGTTAGAAAGCCTTAGGTCAGCCAGGTTCTCTATTCTTAAAATGTCTGAAATCTCCCAGGCGTGTCTATTATTAGAATGTCTGTGTTCAGACAGAATTCTCCCCTGATAGAATTCCTGGGGTCAGCCATGTGTCTCTATCCTTAGAATGACTGAGGTTGCACAGGTGTCACTATTATTAGAATGCCTGTGGTAAGCCAGGAGTCTCCATTTCAACCATGCCTGGGTTTTCCCAGGTGTCTTTATTTTTAGAGTGCCTGAGGTAGCTTAGATGTTTTTATCCTTAGAATGCCTGAGTTTGCTCTGGTGTCCCCATCATTAGGATGCCTGGGGTAGGCCAGGAGTCTCTATCATTAAGAGTACCTGGGGTAGGCCATGTGCCTCTCCCATTAGAATGCCTGTTTTGGCCAGGTGTCTTTGTCCTTAGAATGCCTGATGTAACCCAAAATTCTCTGTCATTAGAATGACTGCGGTTTGTCAGGAGTCTCTTCCATTAGAATGCCTGTGGTGGTCCAGGTTTCACTCTGCTTAGAATGTCTGATGTCACCCATGTGTCTCTATCAATAGAATGCCTGGGGTGGGCCATGTGCCTCCCTTGTTAGAATGCCTGGGTCATCCAGTCATCTCTCCCATTAGAATGCCTGGGTCAACCAGGTGTCTCTAACCATAGAATGCCTGGCGTTGCTCAGGAGTCTCTATCACTGAAACGCCTGGGGTCATCCAGGGGTCTCTGTTATTAGAATGCCTGAGGTGGCACAGATGTCTCTGTCATTAGCATGTCTGTGGTAACCCAGAAGTCTCTACCATTAGAATGTCTGGGATTGGCCAGGATTCTCTCTCGTTAGAATGCTGGGGCAAGCCAGGTGTCTGTATCCTTAGAATGCCTGAGGTCGTCCAGGTGTCTCTATCATTAGAATGCCAGGGGTCAGCCAGAAGTTTCCATCAGTTCAATGCCTTGGGTCAGCCAGGACTCTCTCTCCTTAGAATACCAGGGTCCTGCCAGGTGTCTCTCCTATTAGAATGCCTCGGTTTGGCCAGTTGTCTTTATCTTTAGAATGCCCAAGTTTGTTCAGATGTTTCTACCATTAGAATGCCTAGAATCAGTCAGAGTGTCTTTGGTAAAAATGCCTGGGTTTTGCTAGGAGTCTCTCCCATTAAATTGCCGGGGTCAGCAATGTGTCTGTAACCTTAGAATGTCTCATGTCTCACTGATGTCTCTATCATTAGAATGCCTGGGGTAGGCCATGGATCTCTATCATTAAAATGCCTTGGGTTGGCCAGGAATCTCTCTTGCTAGGATGGCTGTGGGGTTGATGATGTGTCTCCATCCCTAGAATGCCAGAATTTTCCCAGGTGTCTATATCATTAGACTGCCTGGAAATGGCCAGGAGTCTCTGTCATTAAAATGCCTAGGGTATGCATGGAATCTCTATCTATCCATAGAATGCCTGAAATTGCCCAGTTGTTTCTATTATTAGAATGCCTAGGTTTGGCCAGGAGTCTCTCCTGTTAGAATGCCTGGGGTCCACCAGGAGGGTCTCCCATTAGAATGACATCATTTGAAGACATGTCTCTATCTTTAGAATGCCTGAGGTCTCAGAGGTGTCTCTAACCTTAGAATGCCTGGTGTAGGCCAGGAGTCTCTCCCACTAGAATGCCTGGGGTCAGTGAAAACCCTCTTTCATTAGAATGCCTGGTGTCATCCAGGAGTCTCTATCCTTAGAATGCCTAATGTCGCCCAGATGTCACTATCATTAGAATGCCTGTGGTTTGCCAGAAATTTCTCCTGTTAGAATGCCTGGGGTCAGCCAGGTTTCTCTATTTTTAGAATGCTTGAGATTTCACATAATTCTCTATCATTAGAGTGCCTGGGTTGGCCAGGAGTCTCTATCATTCAAATGCTTGGGGTTGGTCAGAAGTCTCTTTTGGTAGAATGCCTATGGTTGACCAGTTGTCACTATCCATTGAATGCCTGAGGTCACAAAGGTGTGTCTCATTAGAACTTTTGAAATAAGACAGGAGTCTTTAATATTAGGAAGCCTAATGTCGGCCAGGAGCCTCTCTTTTTAGAATGCCTGAAGTTTGCTAGGTGTCTCTATCCTTAGAATGGTGAGGTTGCCCAGGTGTCTCTATCGCTAAAGTGCCTGGGATCAGTGAAGAGTCTCTCTCATGAGAATGCCTGTGGTTGGACAGGAGTCTTCTCCCATTAGAATCCCTGGTGTCAATCAGGAGTCCCTCCCATTGGAATACCTGTGGTGAGCCAAGGTGCCTTCATCCTTAGAATGCCTGATATCAGGGAGGTGTCTCTTATCATTAGAATGCCTTTGGTCCACAAGGAGTCTCTCCCATTAGAAATCCTGGGTTCAGCCATGTGTCTGTATCCTTAGAATGCCTGAGGTTACCCAGGTGTCTCTATCATTAGAATGTTTAGAATCATTCAGGAGTCTCTATCATTGGAATGCCTGGTTCACTTTGGATTCTCTATCGATAGAATGCCTGGGTTCAGCCAGGTGTCTTTATCCTAAAAATGCCTGAGGTTGCTCAGGTGTCTTTATCATTAGAGTGCCTGGGCTAAGCCAGAAGTTTTTATTGTTAGTATGTCTGGGCTCGGCCAGGAGTCTCTCCCATTAGAATGCCTGGGGTTGGCCAGTTGTGTCTATCATTAGAATGGTGAGCTCACCTAGGTGTCTCTATCATTAGAATGCCTGGAGTTGGCCTTGAGGCTCTATAATTAGAATGCCTGGGTTCAGCCATAAGTCTCTTTGGTTAGAATGCCTGGGGTCAGCCAGGTGTCTCCATTTTTAGAATGCCTGAGGTCGCCCAGGTTTCTCTATCATTAGAATTCCTGGGGATGTCCAGGTGTCTCTTTTATGAGAATGCCTGTGGTCGACCAGGAGTCTTTCCCGTTAGAATGCCTGTGTTTGGGCATGAGTCTTTATCATTGGAATGCTTGGGGTCACCCATTAAACTTTTCCGTTAGATGCCTGGGGTTGGCCCAGTGTCTGTATTGTTAGAATGCCTGATGTTGCCCAGGTGTCTCTACCATTAGAATTCCTGGGGTCGGCCAAGAGTCTCTCCCATTAGAATTCCTGAGGTTGGCTAGGAGTTTTTCCCATCAGAATGCCTGGGGTTGGTCAGGCGTCTATATCCTTAGAATGCTACAGGTCTCACAGGTGTCTTTTTCATTAGAGAACCTGATGTAGACCAGGAGTCTGTCATTCTTATGCCTGTGGTCAGCCAGGAGTCTCTCCTGTTAAAGTGCCTGGGGTGGGCCATGCATCTTTATCATTGAAATGCCTAAGTTCACCCATGGGTCTGTATAATTAGAATGCATGGAGTCAGCCAGGAATCTCTCCTATTAGAATGTCTAGGGTTGGCCAGATGTCTTTCCTATTATAATGCCTGGGTTGGCCAGGTGTTGGTCTTTTTAGAATGCCTGAGGTTGCTCTGGTGTCTCTATCATTAGAATGCCTGGGGTAGGCCCAAAGTCTCTATTGTTAGAATGCCTGGGGTTGGCAAGGGGTGTCTTTTGTCAGAATGCCTGGGGTCAGCCAGGTGTCTTTAGAATGCCTGGGGTGGGCCAGGTTTCTCTATCCTTAAAATGCCTGAGGTCGCCCAAGTGTCTCTATCATTAGAATGGCTGGTATCAGCCAGGAGTCTGTCCTGTTAGAATGCCTGGCATTGGCCAGCAGCCTATATTCTTAGAATCTCTGAGGCCATCTAGGTGTCTCTATCATTAGTATGCCTGGGGTTGGCCAAAAGTCTCTCTCATTAGAATGCCTGGGGTCGACCAGGAGTCTTTCCTGTTAGAATGCCTGGGGTTAGTCGGGGTCTCTATCCTTAGAATGCCTTAGGTCACACACGTATCTCTATCATTAGAATGCCTGTGGTAGGCCAGGAGTCTCTATGGCTTGAATGCCTGGGGTCAGCCATGAGTCTCCCCCGTTAGAATGCCTGGGGTCACTCAGGTGTCTCTATCCTTAGAATGCTACAGTCTCACAGGTGTCTTTTCATTAGAGTGCCTGAGGTAGGCCAGGAGTCTCTATCATTCTTATGCCTGTGGTCAGCCAGGAGACTCTCCCGTTAGAGTGCCTGGGGTGGGACAAATGTCTCTATCATTGAAATGCCTGGGGTCGCCCATGGGTCTGTATAATTAGAATGGATGCAGTCAGCCAGAAATCTCTCCCAATAGAATGCCTAGAAATGTCCAGGTGTCTTTCCTTTTATAATGCCTGGGTTGGCCAGGTGTCAGTATTTTTAGAATGCCTGTGGTCGCTTTGGCATCTCTATCATTAGAATGCCTGGGGTAGGCCAAAAGTCTCTGTCATTATAATACCTGGGGTCGGCAAGGGGTGTCTTTTGTTAGAATGCCCGGGGTCGGCCAGGTTTCTCTATCCTTATAATGCCTGAGGTTGCCCAAGTGTCTCTATGATTAGAATGGCTGGGGTCAGCCAGGAGTCTCTCCCATTAGAATGCCTGAGGTCGACCAGGAGTCTCTCCTGTTAGCATGTATTGGGTCAGCCAGCTTGTCTCTATTCTTAGAATCTCTGAGGTTGCCCAAGTGTCTCTATCATTAGAATGGCTGGGGTCAGCCAGTAGTCTCTCCCATTAGAATGCCTGAGGTCGACCAGGAGTCTCTCCTGTTAGCATGTATTGGGTCAGCCAGCTTATCTCTATTCTTAGAATCTCTGAGGTCACCCAGGTGTTTCTATCATTAGTATGCCTGGGGCTGGCCAAAAGTCTCTCTCATTAGAATGCCTGGGATCGACCAGGAGCCTTTCCCATTAGAATGCCTGGGGTCAGCCAGGGGTCTTTAACCTTAGAATGCCTTAGGTCACACAGGTATCTCTATCATTAGGATGCCTCTGGTAGGCCATGAGTCTGTCCTGTTAGAATGCCTGGGCTCAGTCAGGTGTCTCTATCCTTAGAATGCTACTGTCTCACAGGTGTCTTTTTCATTAGAGCACCTGAGGTAGGCTAGGAGTCTCTATCATTCTTATGCCTGTGGTCAGCCAGGAGTCTCTCCCATTAGAGTGCCTGGGGTGGCCCAGGTGTCTGTATCATTGAAATGCCTGAGGTCGCCCAGGGGTCTGTATGATTAGAATGCTTGCAGTCGGCCAGGAATCTCTCCCGTGAGAATGTCTAGGGTTGGCCAGGTGTCTTTTCTGTTATAATGCCTGGGTTGGCCAGGTGTTGGTATTTTTAGAATGCCTGCGGTTCCTCTGGTGTCTCTTTCATTAGAATGCCTGGAGTAGGCCCAAAGTCTCTATCATTAGAATACCTGGGTTTGGCAAGGGGTGTCTTTTGTTAGAATGCCTGGGGTCATCCAGGTGTCTTTAGAATGCCTGGCATCAGCCAGTTTTCTCTATCCTTAAAATGCCTGAGGTCGCCCAAGTTTCTCAATCATTAGAACTACTGGGGTCAACCAGGAGTCTCTCCCATTAAAATGCCTGGGGTCAGCCAGCTGTCTCTATTCTTAGAATCTCTGAGATCACCCAGGTATCTCTATCATTAGTATGCCTGGGGTTGGCCAAAACTCTCTCTCATTAGAATGCCTGGGGTGAACCAGGAGTTTTTCCCATTAGAACACCTGGGGTCAGCCAGGAGTCTCTTTTGTTAGAATGCCTGATGTAGCCCAGTTGCCTATAGCATTAGAAAGCGTGGGGTCGGCCAGGAGTCTCTCCCGTTAGAATGCCTGTGGTCAGCCAGGAGTCTCTCTTATTAGAATGCCTGGGTTCAGCCAGGGGTCTTTATTCTTGGAATGCTTTATGTTTCACAGGTGTCTCTATCATTAGAATGTCTGGTGTATGCCAGCAGTCTCTATCATTGGAATGCCTGGGATTGGCCAGGAGTGTTTATTTTTAGAATGTGTGAGGTTCCTCATGTGTCTCTATCTTAAGTTTGTCTGGGGTAGGACAGGTGTTTCTATTTTTAAAATGCCTGATGTCAAACATGTGTTTCTATCGTTAGAATGCCTGGGGAATCCCAGTAGTCACTCCCGTCATTATGCCTGAGATCAGCCAGGTGTCTCTATTTTTAGAATGCCTGAGGTCCCCCAGGTGTCTCTATCATAAACATGCCTGAGGTTGGCCATGAATCTTTCTCATTAGAATGCCTGGAGTCGACCAAGATTATTTCCCTTTAGAATGTCTCTGTCAGCCAGGTGTCTTTATCCTTAGCACGCCTTAGGTTGCCCAGGTGTCTCTATCATTAGAATGCCTTGGGCAGTCCAAGAGTATCTGTCATTGGAATGCTTGGGGTCACACATTAGTCTTTCCATTAGAATGCTTGGGGTTGTCCTGGTGTCTCTATTGTTAAAATGCCTGATGTCGCCCATGTGTCTCTGCCATTAGAATTCCTGGGGTCAGCCAGGAGTCTTTCACATTAGAATTTCTTGGGTTAGCCAGGAGCCTCTTCCATTAGAATGCCTAGGGTCAGTCAGATGTCCCTATCCTTAGAATGCTAGAGGTCTCACGGGAGTCTTTTTCATTAGAGCACCTGAGGTAGGCCAGGAGTCTCTATCATTCTTATGCCTGTGGTCAGCCAGGAGTCTCTCCCGTTAGAGCATCTAGGGTGGGCCAGATGTCTGTATCTTTGAAATGCCTGAGGTCACCCTTGGGTCTGTATAATTAGAATGCATGCAATTGGCCAGGAATCTCTCCCATTTCAATGTGTAGGGTTGGCCAGGTATCTTTCCTGTTATAATGCCTGGGTTTGCCAGGTGTCAGCATCTTTAGAATGCCTGCAGTCTCTCTGGCGTCTCTATCATTAGAATGCCTGTGGTAGGCCAAAAGTCTCTATCATTAGAAAGTCTGGGGTCGGTAATTGGTGTCTTCTGTTAGAATGCCTGGGGTTGGCCAGGTGTCTTTATCTACAGATTTCCTGAGGTTGCCTATCTGTCTCTGTCATTAGAATGCCTAAGTTAGTCTAGGACTCTCTATCATTAGAATGCCTATGATCAGCCAGGAGTCTCTCCCATTAGAATGCCTGGTGTCAGCCAGCTGTCCTTATTCTTAGAATCTATGAGGTCACCCAGGTGTCTCTATCATTAGAGTGTCTGGGGTCAGCCAGAAGTCTCTATCATTAGAATGCCTGGTGTCGGTCAGGAGTCTCTCCCATTACTATGCCTGGGCTTGGCCAGGTGTATCCATCTTTAGAATGAATGAGGTCACACAGGTATCTATCATTGGAATGCCTGGAATTTAGGCTAAGAGTATCTATCAGTAGAATGCCTGTGGTCAGCCTGGAGGCTCTCCTATTAGAATGCCTGGGGTCTGCCACGTGTCTCTATCTTTAGAATGCCTGAGGTTGCACAGGTTTATTTATCATTAGAATGCATGGGGTCAGCCCAAAGTCTCTCCTATTAGAATGCCTGGGGTTCAGCCAGCTGTCTCTATTCTGAGAATCTCTGAGGTCACCCAGGTGTCTCTATTATTAGTGTGCCTGGGATTGGCCAAAGTCTCTCTCATTAGAATGCCTAGGGTCAACAAGGGCTCTTTCCCGTTAGAATGCCTGGGGCCAGCCAGATGTCTCTATTCTTAGAATGCCTTAGGTCACAACAGGTGTCTCTATCATTAGAATGCCTGTGGTAGGCCAGGAGTCTTTATCATTTGAATGCCTGGGATAAGCCATGATTCTCTCCGATTATATTGCCTGGGGTCAGCCCAGTGTCTTTACTGTTAGAATGCCTGATGTTACCCAGTTGTCTATCGCATTAGAATGCCTGGGGTGGGCCAGGAGTCTCTCATGTTAGAATGCCTGGGGTCGGCCAGGTGCCTTTATTCTTAGAATGCTTTATGTCCCACAGGTGTCTCCATCATAAGGGCACCGGGGGTAGGTCAGAAATCTATATCATTCAAATGCCTGTGGTCAGCCACGAGTGTCTCCCATTAGAGTGCCTAGTGTCAGCGTGGTGTCTATATTTTTAGAATGCCAGAGGTTGCCCAGGAGTCTGTATCATTAGAATGCTTGGGTTCAGCTAGGAATCTCTCCCATTAGAAAGCCTAGAGTTGGCCAGGTGTCTCTCTTGTTAGAAAGCCTGGGTTGGGCATGTGTCTTTATTCTTAGAATGTCTGAGGGTGCCCAGATGTCTCTATCATTAGAATACCTGGGTTAGGCCAGGAGTCACTATCATTAAAATACATGAAGTCAGCAAGGAGTGTCTCTCTTGAGAATGCCTGGGGTATTCCCAGTGTCTCTTTCCATAGATTTCCTGGGGTCACCCAGGTATCTCTATCACTAGAATGCCTGGGTTTGGCCAAAAGTCTCTATCATTGGAAGGCCTGGGCTTGGCCAGGAGACTTTCCCATTAGAATGCCTGGGGTCAGCCTGGTGTCTCTATCCTTAGAATGCCTGAGGTCGCCCAGGTGACTCTATCATTAAAATGCCTATGGTCGGCCAGGAGTCTCTATCATTAGCATGCATGTGGTCTTCCAGTTGTCTCTCTCGTTGGAATGTCTGAGGTTGACCAGGTGTCCCTATTTTTAGAATGCCTGAGGTCACAAAGGTGTCTCTCTCATTAAAATGCCTATGGTGGCTAGAAGTCTCTATCGTTAGAATGTCTTGTGTTGGGAAACAGTCTCTTACGTTAGAATGTCTGGTGTCAGCCATGTGTCTCTATCTTTAGAATGGCTGAGTTTTCTCAGGTGTCTCTATTGTTAAAATGCCTGCAGTTGGCCAGGAGTCTTTATCATTAGAATGCCTGTGGTCAGCCAAAAGTCTCTCCCAATAGAATACCTGGGGCAGCAAGGAGTCTCTTTATTTTGAATGCCTGTGTTCGGTCAGGTGTCTCTATCCTTAGAATGCCTGAGGTCGCACAGGTTTTTATATTATTAGATTGCCTGGACTAGATCAGGTGTCTCTATTATTAGAATGCCTGTGGTTGGCCAGGAGTCTTTCCATTAGAATGCCTGATTAGAATGCCTTGACCATAAGAATGGTCAGGTCGCCCAGGTGTCTTTATCTTTAGAATGCCAGGGGTCTGCCAGGAGTCTCTATAATTAGAATGCCTGTGCTTGTCCAGTAGTCTCTCTCGTTAAAATGCCTGGGTTCGACCAGGTGTCTCTATCCTTACAATGCCTGATGTCACACAGGTTTCTCTTCCATTACAATGAATGGGGTAGTCTAGGAGTCTCTATAACTAGAATGCCTGGTTTTCACCAGGAGTCTTTTCCATTAGAATAGCCATGGTCGTCAAGGTGTCTCCATGCTTAGAATGCCTGAGGTCACTTAAGTGTCTCTATCATTAGAATGCCTGTGGTTCTCTATGAATCTATCCCATTAGAATGCTTGGGGTCGACCAGGTGTCTCTATCCTTAGAATGCCTGGATTCACCCAGGTGTTTCTGTCATTAGAATGCCTAATGTCTTCCGAGAATCTCAATCATTTGAATGTCTGGTGTCGGCCAGGATCCTCTCCCATTATAATGCCTGGTGTTGGCCAGATGTTTCTATTTTTAGATTGCCTAAGTTTGAATAGGTATCTCTATCATTATAATCCCTGGTGTATGCCAGCATTCTCTATCATTGGAATGCCTGCTGTCGCCCAGGAGTGTTTATCTTTAGAATGTGTGAGTTTCCCCACATGTCTCTATCATAAGCATGCCTTGGGTTGACCAGGTATTTCTATTTTTAGAATGCCTGATGTCAAACAGGTGTCTCAATGATTAGAATGCCTGGGGAATTGCAGGAGCCTGTATCATTAGAATGCCTGGGGTCGGCCAGGAGTCTCTTCCATTGGAATGTGTGGGGATGACCAGGTGTCTTTATCCTTAAAATGCCTGAGGTACCCCAGGTGTCTCTATCATTAGAATTCCTTGGGTTGGCTAGGAGTTTTTATTATTAGAATTGCCGGGGTCGGCCAGGAGTCTCTCCTGTTAGAATGACTGGGTACAGCAAGGAGTCTCTCCCATCAGAAAGCCTGGAGTGAGCCAGGTTTCTCTATCCTTAGAATGTCTGAGGTAAGACAGGTGACGCTATAATTAGAATGCCTGGGGTAGGCTATGAGTCTCTATTATTCGAATGCCTGGGGTCGACTAGGAGTCTCTTCCACTAGAATTCCTGTGGTCAGCCAGGTGTCTCTATGCTTATATTGCCTGATGTCACCCAGGTGTCTCTATCATTAGAATGCCTGGGGTTAGCCAGGAGTCTCTCTTGTTAGAATGCCTGGGTTTGGCCAGTTGTATCTACCCTTTGGATGCCTGAGGTCGTCCAGGAGTCTCTATCATTAGAATGCCTTAGTTCACTTAGGAGTCTCTCCCGTGAGAATGCCTTGGATCATCCAGGAGTCTCTTCTGTTAGAATGCCTGTGGTCAGCCAGGTGTGTCTCTTCTTACAAAGCCTGAGGTTGCACAGGTGTCTCTATCATTATAATACCTGGGGTAGGCCAGGAGTCTCCATCATTAGAATGCCTGAAGTCTGCTAAGAGTCTCTCTTGTTAGAATGCCAGGGTTGGCCAAGTGTCTCTATCCTTACAATGACTGGGGTTGGCTAGGTGTCTCTATCCTTACAATGACTGAGGTAACACAGGTGTCTCTATCATTAAAATGCCTAGGGTCGTCCAGGAGTCTTTATCATTAGAATGCCTGGGTTCAGCCAGTTGACTCCCCCGATAGAATGTTTGGGGTCACAAGGTGTCTCTACACTTAGAATGCCTGAGGTCACTTAGGTGTCTATACCATTTGAATGCCTGGGGTTGGCCAGGATTCTCTATCATTAGAATGCCTCGGTTAAGCCATTAGCATACCTAGGGTAACCTTAGAATGACTCTGGTCCCCAAGATGACTCTATCATTAGAATGCCAGGGGTCAGCCAGGAGTCTATCATTAGAAGGCCTGGGGTTTGCCAAAAGGCTCCCACCTGATGTCTGCCAGGTGTCTCTGGCTTTAGAATGCCTGAAGTCTCACAGGTGCCTCTATCATTAGAGCACTTGTGGTAGGCCAGGAGTTTCTATAATTAGAATGCCGGGGGTCAGACAGGAGTCTCTTCCATTAACATGCCTGGGTTTGTCCAGGAATCTCTCCCATTGGAATGGCTGGTGTCGGCCAAGTGTCTTCATCCTTAGAATGCCTGAGGTTCCTTAGGTGTCTCTATTATTAGTATGCCTGGGATTGGCCAGGATTCTTTATAATTAGAATGCCTAGGGATGGTCAGGAGTATCTCTTGTTAGAATAACAGGTTGGCCAGGAGTCTCTCCCCTTAGAATGACTGAGTTCTGCCAGATGTCTCTATCCTTAGTATGCCTGAGTTCCCACAAGTGTGTTTATCATTAGAATATTTGGGGAAAGCCAGGAGTCTCTATCATTAGAATGCCTGGGTTTGGCCAGGAGTCTCCATAATTAGGATGCTTGGGGTCAGACAGAAGTCTTTCCCATTTAAATGCTTGGGGTTGGCCAGAAGTCTCTCCAGTTAGAATGCCTGTCATTGGCCAGGAGTCCATCCCGTTAGAATGCTGGAGTTTTTCAGGTGTCTTCATCCTTAGAATGCCTGAGGTCTTCCAGGTGTCTCTATTATTAGTATATTTGGGGTTGACCAGCTGTCTGTCCCGTTAGAATGCCTGTGGTCAGCCAGGTGTCTCTACCCTTAGAATGCCTCGGGTGGCCCAGGAGTTTCTATCACTAGAATGCCTGAGGTTGGCCAGGGGTCTTTATCACTAGAATGTTTGGTTTCAGCCAGGAGTCTCTTTCATTAGAATTTCCAAATTTGGGCTGGTGTCTCTATCCTTAGAATGCCTGAGGTGGAACAGTTGTCTCTATCATTAGCACACCTTCGGTAGGCCAGGAGTCTCTATCATTAGAATGCCTATGGTTGGCAAGGACTCTCTCCCCTTACAATGCCGGGGGTCTGCCAGGAGTCTCTTCCATTAGAATGCATTGAATTGGCCAGGGGTCTTTATCTTTAAAATGTGGGAGGTTGCCCAGTTGTCTCTATCATTAGAATCCCTAGGGTCAGCCAGTAGTCTCTTCATTTAGAATGCATAGGTTCTGCCAGCAATCTCTCCCTTTAGAATACCTGGGGTCAGCCATGTGTCTCTATTCTTAGAATGTCTCATGTTGCACAGCTTTCTTTATCATTAGAATGCCTGGAATAGGCCAGGATTCTCTATCATTAGAGTGCCTTAAGTTGGCCAGGAGTCTCTCCTGTTTGAATGACTGGGGTTGACGATGTGTTCCCCCATCCTTAGAATGGCTGAGGTCACCCAGGTGTCTATATCATAAGAACGCCTGAGAACAGCCAGAAGTCTATCATTAGAATGCCTGGAGTATGCCAGGAGTCTCTACCACTAGAATGTATGGGCTATTCAGGTGTCTCTATCCTTACAATGCGTGATGTTGCCCAGGTGTCTTTGTCATTAGAACGCCTGGGTTCGGCCAAGAGTCCCTTTCATTAGCATGACTGGAATTGGCGAGGTTTCTCCATCATTAGAATGCCTGAGGTCTCAGAGGTGTCTCTAACATTAGATTTCCTAGGGTCGTCCAGGAGTCTTTTCCATTAGAATGCCTGGGGTTTGCCAGGTTTCTCTATCTTTAGAATGCCTGAGGTTGCAGAGGTGTCTCTAACGTTAGAACGCCTGGGTTAGGCCAGGAGTTTCTATCATTAGAATTCCTAGAATTAGCCAAGAGTACCTCCCATTAGAATGCTTGTGGTTGCCCAGGTGTCTCTATCATTAGAATGTCAGGTGTCGGCCAGTAGTCTCTATAATTAGAATGCCTCGGGTTGACCAGGAATCTCTAACATTAGAATGCCTGGGGTCAGCCAGGTATCTCTAAACTTAGAATGTATGAGGTCGCACAAGTGTCTTTATCCTTAGATTGCCTGGGATTGGCCAGGAGTCTCTATCATTCGAATGCCTGGAATTTGCCAGGAGTCTGTTTTCTTAGAAAATCAAGGGTCCACCAGCAGTATCCCCATTAGAATGCATCAGTCAGCCAGGTGTCTCTATTTTTAGAATGCTTAAGATCGCACATTTGTCTCTACCATCAGAGTGATACCTGAAATCGGCCAGGTTTTTCTATACCTAGAATGCCTGAGGTATCACAGGTGTCACTATCACTGGAATGTTTGCGGTAGGCCAGGACTGTCTGTCATTAGAATGCCTGGGGTTGGCCAGGACTCTCTCCTGTTAGAATGCCGTGGTTCCACCAAAAGTTTCCACTGCTAGGATGCCTCGGTTCAGCCAGGTGTCTCTATCTTCAGAATGCCTGTGATCGCCCCGGTGTCGCTATCTTTAGAATGCCAAGGGTGGGCCAGCATTGTCTCCCATTAGAATGCCTGGGTTCGACCAGATGACTTTATTCTGAGAATGCCTGAGTTCCCCCAGGTGGCTCTATCATTAGAATGCCTGGGGTCAGCCAGGAATCTCTACCATTAGAATGCCTGGGGTCGGCCAGTGGACTCTCTTGTTATAATGTCTAGTATTGGCCAGTAGTCTCTCCCATTTGAATGCCTGGGGTCGGCCAGGTGTTTCTATCCTTAGAATGCCTCAGGTCCCATAGGTGTCTCTATCATTACCTGTGGTAGGTGAGGTATCTCTACCATTGGATTGTCTGGGGTCAGCCAGGAGTCTCTCATTTTAAAATTCCTGGGGCAGGCCAGGTGTCTCTATCATTAAAATGCCTGGGGCTTGCCAGGTGTCACACTTTTAAAATGCCTGAGTGTGCACAGGTGTCTCTAACATTATAATGCCTGGGGTAGGGCAGAAGTCTCTATCATTAGAATGCCTGGGGTCAACCAGGGATATCTCCCATTAGAATGCCTTGAGTTGGCCACGTGTCTCTATTCTTAGAATGCCTGAGGTCATCAAGGAATCTCTATCATCAGAATGCTTGGAGTAGGCCTGGAGTCTCTATCATTACATATCCTGGATTTGGCCAGGGCCCTCTCCTGTTAGAATGCCAGGGGTCCACCAAAAGTCTCTGTTGTTAGAATGCTTCAGTTCAGCCCAGTGTCTCTATCTTTAGAATGCTTGTGTTTCCCCAGGTGTGTCTATCATTAAATGCCAAGGTTCAGCCAGGAGTCTCTCTTGTCAGGATAACTGAGGTCAGTGAAGTGTCTCTAGCCTTAGAATGGCTGAGGTCTCAGAATTGTCTCTAAAATTAGAATGTCTGGGGTATGGCAGGAGTCTCTCCCTTAAGAATGCCTGGGGTCGGCCAGGAGAATCTTCCATTTAAATGCCTGCAGTCGGCAAGGTGTCTCTATCCTTAAAATGCCTGAGGTCGCATAGGTGTCTCTGTCATTAGAATGCCTGGGTTAGGCCAGGCTTCTTTATCTACTAGAATGCATGGGTAGGGACAGAAGTCTCCCCCGTTAGAATGCCTGGGATCATCCAGGTTTCTCTATCCTTACAATTCCTGAAGTCAGTCAGTTACCTCTATCATTAGAATGCCTGGGCTAGGCCATGAGTCTCTATCATTAGAATATTTGTTTTTGGCCTGGAGTCTCTCCCGTTGGAATGCCTGGGGTTGGCCAAATTTCTTCATCTTAAAAATGCTTGAGGTCGCACTGGTATTTCTATCACTAGAATGCCTGGGCTAGACCATAAGTCTCTGTCATTAGAATGTCTGAAGTTGGCCACATGTCTCCCGTTAGAATGCTTGGGGTTGGCCAGGTGTCTTTATCCTTAGAATGGTGGGGTCGCCCTGGTGTCTCTACCATTACAATGTCTGGGGTCGGAAAGAAGTCGCATTAGAAAGTCTGGGTCAAGCAGGTGTCTCTACCTTTAGAATGCCTGAGGTCACCCGGCTGTCTCTATCATTAGAATGCCTGTGGTCAGCTCGGATTCTCTACCGTTAGGATACCTAGGATTGGCCAGGAGTCTCTCCCAATAGAATGCCTGATTGGGCCAGGTGTCTCTATCCTTAGAATGCCTGGGGTAGCCCAGGAGTTTCTATCATAAGAATGCCTGGGTTTGGCCAGTTGTCTCTATCCTTTTATTGCCTGATATCCCCCAGGTGTCTCTATCATTGGAATGTCTGGATTCGTCCAAGAGTCTCTATCATTAGAATGCCTGGGGTTGACTAAGAGTCTCTCTGGTTCTCTAACATTAGAATTCCTGAGGTTGGCCAGGAGTCTCTCCCATTAGAATGCCTGTGGTCTACCTGGTGTCTCTATCCTTAAAATGGCTGAGATCCGCCAGGTGTCTCTAGTATTAGAATGTCTTGAATAGGCCAGGAGTCTCATTGTAATGTCAGGGATTTTCCAGGTGTCTCTAACAATAGAATGCCTGACGTCGCCCAGATGTCTCTATTATTAGAATGCCTGTAGTCAGCCAGGTGTCTCTATCTTTAGAATGCCTAAGGTCACACAGGTGTCTCTATCATTAGAATTTCTTAGTTAGGCCAGGAGTCTCTATTATTAGAATGCCTTCGGTCGGCCAGGACTCTGTCATTGGAATGCCTGCCTTGGGCCGCGTGTCTCTATCCTTAGAATGACTGATGTCGCCCAGGTGTCTCTTTATTAGAATGCCTGGGGTTGGGCAGGAGTATCTGTTGTCAGAATGCCTGAGGTCACGCAGGTGTTTCTATCATTACAATACCTGGTGAAGGCCAGGGTCTCTATCACTAGAATTCCTGGGGTCAACCAGGAGTCTCTCAAATTATAATGCCTGGGGTCTGCCAGTTCTCTCAATCATTAGAATGACTGAGGTAGCACAGGCGTCTCTAATATTAGAATTCCTGAGGTCAACCAGTTTCCTTTACCATTAGAATGCCTGGGGTGGCCAGGGATCTTTATCATTACAATTCCTTGGGTAGGCCAGTAGTCTCTCCCATTAGAATTCCTTTGATTAGCTAGGTGTCTCTATCCTTAGAATGCCTGTGGTCAGACAGGAGTATCTCCCATTAGAATGCCTGGGGTTCATGAGGTGGCTCTATTTTTAGAATGACCAAGTTTGCACAAGTTTCTCTACCATTAGAATGCCTGTGGTAGGCCAGGAGTCTCTCCTGTTAGAAAGTTTGGTGTCAGCCACGAGTCTCTCCCGTTAGAATACCTTGGGTCGGGAAGGTGTCTCTGTCCTTAGATTGATTAAGGTTGCCCAGATGTCTCTATCATTGAAATACCTTGGTTTGACCATGAGTCTCTATCATTAGGTCGGCCATAAGTCTCTTTCATTAGAATGCCTGGGTTCAATGAGGTGACTCTATTTTTATAATGATGGAGGGCACATTTTTACAAATAGTTTGTTTCCAATTTTTATCACTAAATATAGGTCTTTCACTATGGGCTTCAATATGCTCAGAAATGTCTCTTCGTAGATCCTACAAAAAAGTTTTCAAACTGGCGAATCGAAACACAGGTTGCATTCTCTAAGATCAATCCATGCATCACAAAGCATTTTCACATATACCTTGTTTCTAGTTTTTATCAAAGCATATTCCTTTTTTCTCACATTAGGCATCAATGGGCTCAGAAATTGTTAGTATGTAGATTGTACAAAAAGAGTGTTTCTAACCTGCTGAATCAAAACACAGTTTCCATTCTGTGAGATGAATCCACACGTTACAAAGCATTTTCACAGACAGCCTGTTTCTAGTTTTTATTCCAGAGTATTCATTTTTTCACTCTAGCCTTCAATGGGCTCAGAAATGTCCATTTGTACATTCTACAAAAGAGTGTTTTCAATATGTTGAATCAAAACACCGGTTCCATTCTGTGAGATAAATGCACACATCCCATAGGATTTTCACAGATAACATGTTTCTAGGTTTTTTTTCGCGGAGTATTTGGTTTCTCACTACAGTTCCCAATAAGCTCAGGAATCTCTCTTTGTAGATTATACAAAAAGAGTATATCCAACCTGGTGAATCAAAACACAGTTTTCATTCTGTGAGGCGAACGCACACATCACCAAGCTTTTCAACAGATAGCTTATTTTTAGTATTTACCACCAAATATTCAGTTTTTGACTATAGGTTACAATGGGCTCAGAAATGTCTGTTACTACAAAAACATTGTTTCCAACCTGCTAAATCAAAGCACAGGTTCTATTCTGCAAGACGAATCCACCCATCACAAACCATTTTCACAGATAGCTTTTTTTCAAGTTTTTATCACTTGATATTCAATTTTTCACTATAAGCCTCAATGGGATCAGAAATGTCCCCTTTTAGGTTTTACAAAAAGAACATTTCCAACCTAGTGAGTCAAAATGCAGGCTTCATTCTGTGAGATGATCCAACACATCTCAAAGCATTTTCACAGTTAGCTTATTTCAATTTTTTTTAAGGCAGGATATTTGGTTTTGCACTTAGGTCTCAATGGGTTCAGAAATCTCCCTTCATAGATTCCACAAAGATAGTGTTTCCAACTTGGTGAATCAGAACACAGATTTTAATCTATGAGATGAATCCACACATCACAAAAGCATGGCTTTACACAGATAGCTTGTTCCCAGTTTTTATCATGAGATATTCCATTTCTCACTATAGTTGTCAAAGGGCTTAAAAATGTCCCTTTGTAGATTCTTAAAAAAAAATTGTCTCCAACCTGGTGAATCAAAATACAGGTTCCATTTTGTGAGATGAACCCACACATCACAATGGATTTTCTCAGATGGCTTGTTTCTAGTTTTTATTGCAGGATATCCGGTTTTCCCCCATAGGCATCAGTGGGCTCAGAAATGTCTGTCCATAGATTCTACAAAAATACTACTTCTAACCTGCTGAATCAAAACACAGGTTTTATTCTATGAGATGAATATACACAGCACAAAGCATTTTCACACTAGCATTTCTAGTTTTTATTGCAGCATATTTGGTTTTTTAAAATAGGGATAAATTGACTCAGAAATTTCTGTTCGTATATTCTAAAAAAAAGAGTGTTTTCATCCTGCTGAATCAAAACACAGGTTGCCTCCTTTGAGATTAATCCACGCATCACAAAGGATTTTCACAGATAGCTGGTTTCTTGTTTTTGTTGAGGGATATTCGGTTTTTTATTATAGTCCTCAATGGGCTCATAAGTCTCCATTCATAGATTCCAAAAAAAGAGTTTCCAAACGGGTGAATCATAACCCAGGTTACATATTGGGAGATGAATCCACATGTTACAAAGCATTTTCACAGATATGTTGTTTCTAGTATTTATTGAGGGATATTCAGTTTTCACTATAGGTATCAAGGGGCTCAGAAATGTCCTTTGGTAGATTCTACAAGAAGAGTATTTCCAACGTGGTCAATCAAAACACAGGTTCCATTCTGTGAGATGAACCTGCTTATGAAAAATCATTTTCACAGACAGCTTGTTTCTAGTATTTATCCTGGAATATTTGAATATATGAATTCACACATAACAAAGCATTTTCACAGGTAGCTTGTTTCTACTTTTTATAGTGGATATTGTTTTTTTTTTACTATAGCCCACAATGGGTTCAGAAAGGTACTTTTCTGTATTTTACAAAAAGAACATTTTTAACCTGTTGAATCAAAACACAGGTTCTATACTGTGAGATGAATCCATGCACTACAAAGCTTTTTCACAAGTAGCTTGTTTTTCATATTGATAGTGGATATTTGATTGTTCACTACAGCCCTCAATAGGCTCACAAATACTGTTTTGTGAATTCTACAAAAATAGTGTTTGCGAATGGATGAATTGAAACACAGGTTCCATTCTGTTAGATAAATCCACACATCACAAAGCATTTTCACAGATAGTTTGTTTTTAGTTTACATAGTGATGTATTCCGTTTTTCACTAGAGACCTGAATGGGCTCAGAAGTATCTCTTCATAGATTCTACAAAAAGTGTTTCCAACCTGTTGAATCAAAACACAGGTTCCATACTGTGACATGAATCTACACGTTACAAAGCATTTTCACAGATAGCTTTTTTCTCGTAGCTATTCAAGATATTCTGTTTTTCACTATAGGCGCCAGTGGGCTCAGAAATTTCCCTTTGTAGATTTTGCAAAAAGAGTATTTCCAACCTAGTGAATGAAAACGCAGGTGCCATTCTTTGAGATGAACCCTCACATTACAAATAATTTTCACAGATATCTTTTTATAGTTATAGTCATGGGAAATTTGGTTTCTCAATATAAGCGTTAATGGGCTCATAAATGTCCATTTGTACAGTCTAAGAGAAAAGTGTTTCCAACCTGGTGAAACAAAACACAGGTTACATTTTGTGAGATGAAACTATGCATCACAATGGATTTTCCCAGATAGATTGTTTCTAGTTTTTCTCACTCAGTATTTGGTTTTCCACTCTAGGGGTCAATGGGTTCAGAAATGTTTCTTTGTAGATTGTAGGAAAGTAGTGTTTCTAACCTGCTGAATAAAAATACAAGTTCCATTTTGTGAGATGAATCCATACATCACAAAGCATTTTTACAGATACCTGGAATCTAGTTTTTATCCTGGGATATTCAGTTTCTCAATATAGGCATCAGTGGGCTCAGAAATATCCGTTAGTAGATTCAAAAAAAATAGTGTTTCCAACTTGGTGAATCAAGACAGGTTCCATTGTTTGATATAAATCAAAACATCACAAAGCATTTTCACAGATAGTTTATTTTTAGTTTCTATTGCAGGATATTTGGGATAATCACTATATGTGTGAATAAGCTCAGAAATGTTCTTTTGTAAATTCCAAAAAAAAGTGTTTTCAACCTATGGAATCAAAACACAGGTAACATTTTGTGAGATGAATGCACACGTCCCAAAGGATCTTCACAGATAGCTTGTTTCTAGTTTTTATTGTGGGATATTTTGTTTTCCACTATAGGCACCAAAGTACTCAGAAATGTCCATTTGCAGATTCTACAAAGAGAGTATGTCTAGCCTGCTAAATCAAAACCCAGTGTCCATTCTGTGAGATGAACATACAAATCCAAAGGCACTTGCTTGTTTCTAGTATTTATCGTGGTATATTCTGTTTTTCACCATAGGCTTCAATGGGCTCAAAAATATCCGTTAGGAGATTCTACAAAAAGAGGGTTTACAACCCAAGGAATCAAAACACAAGTTCCATTTTTTCAGATGTATCCACACATCACAAAGCATTTTTACAGATAGCTTGTATACAGATCTTTTGTCATGGGATATTTGGTTTTTCACTATAGTCCTAAATGGGCTCAGAAATGTTTTTTCATGAATTCTACAAAAAGAGTGTTTTCAAACTGGTGAATTGTAACACTTGTTCCATTCTGTTAGATGAATCCATGCATCACAATGTATTTTCATAGATAGCTTGTTTTTAGGTTTTATTGTGGGATATTCTGTTTTTAATAGATATCAATGGGCTCAGGAATGTCCCTTCTTAGATTCTGCAAAAAGAGTGTTTCTAACCTGGCGAATAAAAACACAGGGTGTATACTGTGAGAAGAATCCACACATTACAATGTATTTTTATGGATAGCTTGCTTCTAGCAGCTATTCAAGTTATTCTGTTTTTCACTATAGGCCTCAGTGGGCTCCGAAATGTTCCTTCATAGATTTTACAAAAGGAGTGTTTCCAACCTGGTGAATCAAACACAGGTTCCATTCTGTGAGATGAACCCACACATCAGAAAGCATTTTCACAGATACCTTGTTTCTAGCTTTTATCGCAGGATATTCAGTTTTTCACTGTAGATGTCAATGGGCTCAGAAACATCTCTTCATAGATTCTTTAAAAAAGTGTTTTTAACCTGGGGAATCAAAACACAGGTTTCATTTTGTGAATTGAAACCACACATCACAAAGGATTTTCACAAATAGCTTATTTCTAGTTTTCCTCAGGAAATATTCCGTTTTCCACTCCAGAGATCAATGGACTCGGGAATGTTTGTTCATAGATTCTACAAAAAGACTGTTTCTAACCTGCAGAATCGAAACACAGGTTCCATTCTGTGAGATGAATCCACACATCACAAAGCATTTTAACAGATAGCTTGTTTCTAATTTTCATCATGGGATACTCCATTTTCCACTATAGGCCTCGATGGGTTTAGAAATATTTTATTTGTAGATTCCACAAAAAGAGTGTTTCCAAACTGGTATTTTAAAATGCAGGTTTCATCCTGGGAGGTGAATTCACACATCACAAATAATTTTCGCAGGTAGCTCATTTCCAGTTTTTATTGCAAATATTTTGTTATTCACTAGAGCCCTCTATGGGCTAAGAAATGTTCTTTTGTGTATTCTAAAAAAGAGAGTGTACCCAATCTGGTAAAAGAACACAGGTTCCATTCTATTAGATGAATCGACCCATCACAATGCATTTTCACAGATAGCTTGTTTCTAGGTTTTATCATGGTATATTCAGTTTCTCAGTACAGGCATCAGAGGGCTCAGAAATGTTCATTTGTAGATTCTTTAAAAAAGGCTTTCCAATCTGAACTAAAACACATGTTTCATTTTGTGAGAATAACCAACACATCTCAAAGGATTCTCACAGAGAGCTTGTTTCTAGTTTGTTTCACAGGATATACCATTTTTTTTACTACAGGTGTCAATAACCACAGAAATGTCCATTTGTAGATTTTACATAAAGAGTGTTTCTAATCTGCTGAATCAAAACACAGGTTCGATTTTGTGAGATGAATCCACACGTCACACAGCATTTTATCCAATAGCTTGTGTCCAGTTTTTAACACAGGATATTCGGTTTTTCACTATAGCATCAAACAGGCTAAGAAATGTCTGTTCATAGATTCTACCAAAAAAAAGTGCTTCCAACCTGGTAAATTAAAACACAGGTTTCTTTCTGTTAGACGAATCCACACTTCACAAAGCATTTTCACTGACAGCTTGTTTCTAGTTTTTATCAAGGGATGTTCTATTTTCCACTATAGGCCTAAATAAGCTCAGATTTGTTTCTTCATAGGTTCTAAAAAAAGCTTTTCCAACCTGCTGAATCAAAACACATTTTCCATTCTGTGAGATGAATCCACACATCAGAAAGCATTTTTACTGATAGCTTGTTTCTAGATTTTATCTCAGAATATTCAGTTTTTCACTATAGACTTCTATGGGCTCAGAAATGTTCTTTCATTGATTCTGCAATACAAGCATTTCCAATCTGGGGGAATCAAAACACATGTTCCATTACATGAGATGAATCCACACATCACAAAGCATTTTCACAGATAGCTTGTTTTTAGTTTTTATCATGGGATATTCTGGTTTTCACTATAGGCATCCATGGGATCAGAAATATCCCTTTGTTGATTCTACAAAAAGAGTGTTTCCAACATGCTGAGTCAAAACAGAGGTTAAACTCTGTTTGTTGAATCCATACATCACAAAGTATTTTAACATACATCTTGTTTCTAGTTTTTAATCACGTAATAGTCAAGTTTTCACTATTGGCCACCGTAGACACAGAATTGTCGATTCATGGATTCTACAAAAAGAGTGTTTCCAACCTGATGAATTAAAACACAGGTTGCGTTCTGTGAGATGAATCCACACACCCCAAAGCATTTTCACAGACACCTTGTTTCTATTTTTTATTGCAAAATATTCAGTCTTTCACCACAGTCGTCAATGGAATCAGAAATGTCTCATTGTAGATTCTACAAAAAGAATGTTGCCATCCCGGTGGGTCAAAACTCAGGTTCAACTCTGTTAGATAAATCCACACATTACAAAACATTTCCACATTTCCACAGATAGCTTGTTTCTGGATTTTATCACCAGATAGTCTGTGTTTCAGTGCAGGCCTCAATGGGATCAGTAATGTCCCTTCATAGATTCTACAAAAAGAGTGTTTCCCACCTGGTGAATTCAAGCACAGGTTACATTCTGTGAGATGAATCCCCACATCACCAAACATTTAAACTGATAGCTTGTACCTAATTTTTATTGTGGGATGTTTTGTTTTTCAGTATAGGCTGCAAAAGGCTCAGAAATGTCTCTTTGTTGATTCTACAAAAAAAAAAAAAACAAAACAAAAAAAACGTGATCCAAACACAGGATCTGTCCTGTGAGATCAATCCACACTTCACCAAGCATTTTCACAAATAGTTTGTTTATAGTTTTTACTGCTGTATGTTCAGTTTTTCACTACAGGCTTCAGTGGGCTCAGAAACATCCCTTCATAGATTTTACAAAAATAGTGCTTCCAACCTGCTGTATCAAAACACAGGTTCCATTCTGAGAGATGATTCCACACATCACAAAGCATTTTACAGATGGCTTATTTCTAGTTTTTATCATGGGATATTTGTTTTTTTACTGTAGGCTTCAATGTAATCAGAAATGTCACTAGGTAGATTGTATTAAAAAAGTTTCCAAACTAGTCCATTGAAACACAGGTTTTTTTCTATCAGATCAATCCACACATCATGAAGCATTTTCACAGACAACTTGTTTCTTGTTTTTTTATAGTGGGATATTTGGTTTTTCACTGTGAGCTTCAATGGGCTCAGAATACCCTTCGTAAAGTTTACAAAATAAGTGTTTCAAATCTGGTGAATCAAAACACAGGTTTAACTCTGTGATACGAATCCACACATCACAATGAGTTGTCACAGATAGCTTGTTTCTAGAGTTATTGCAAGATATTCGGTTTATTACTATATCCTCAATGAACTCAGAAATGTCCCTTTGTAGATTCTATAAAATAGTTTTTACAACCTGATGAATCAAAAAACAGGTTTCTTTCTCTGAGATATATCAACACATTAGAAATCATTTTCACAGATAGGTTGTGTCTACTTTTTATCACTGCATGTACATTTTTCACTATAGACTTCAGTGGGCTCAGAAATGTCCTTATGTAGGTTCTACAAAAAGAGTGTTTCCACCTTGTGGATGAAGACACAAGTTTATCACTGTGAGATGAATCCACATATTACAAAGCATTTTCACATATAGCTTGATTCTAGTTTTATCATGGGATAATATGTTTTTCACTATAGGCTTCAATGGGCTCAGAAATGTCCCTTCATAGATTCTACAGAAAAGCTGTTTCCAGCTGGTGAATGAAAATGTATTTTTAACTCTGTGAGACGAATCCACATATCACAACGCATTTTCACAGAGAGCTTGTTTCTAGTTTTTGTTGCTGGATATTCAGTTTTTCACTACCTTTCTCAATGGGCTCAGAAATATCCCTTCATAATTTCTACAAAAAAAGTGTTTCCAACCTGATGAATCAAAACAGAGGTTCCTTGCTGTGAGATGAATCCATACATCACAAACGATTTTCACATATAGCTTGTTTCTAGTTGTTATCAGAGGTATTCAATTTCATCTTATGGGCCACATGAGCTCAAAAATGTCCTTTCCTAGATTCTACAAAAAGAGAGTTTTCAACCTGGTGAATCAAAACACACATTGCATTCTGCGAGATGTATCCACATATTTAAAGCATTTTCACAGAAAATTTCTTTGCACTTTTCATCGTGGTATATTTGCTTTTTCACTACCATCCTCAGTGGGCTCAGAAAAGACCCTTTGTAGATTCTACCAAAGTGGGTTTCCAACCTGGTGTATCAAGACGTAGGTTCCATTCTGTGAGATGAATACATACATCACAAAGCATTTTAACAGTTTGCTTGTTTGGTTTTTCACTCTAGGCTTCAATGGGTTCAGAAATATCCCTTTCTAAATTCTACAAAGACTGTTTCCAACGTGGTGAATCAAAATGCAGGTTCCACTCTGTGAGATAAATCCACACATCACAATGCATTTTCACAGATGTCTTGTTTCTAGTTGATATCAGTAGACATTCAATTTCGTCTTATGGTTCTCAAAGGGCTCAGATTCTACAAAAAGACTGTTTACAACCTGGTGAATGAAAACACATATTTAACTATGTCAGGTGAATCCACACATCACAAAACATTTTCACGTGTAGTTTGCATCTAGTTTTTCATGTGGAGTGTTCCATTTTTCACCAAAGGCTTAAATGGGCTTAGATATGTCACTTTGTAGATTGGACAAAAAGAGTGTTTTCAACATGGTGAATCAAAACACAGGTTTAACTCTGTGAGATGAATTCACATATCACAAAGCCTTTTCACATGGAACAGGTTTCTAGATTTTATTGCAGGACACTTGGTTTCTCAATACAAACCTTAATGGGCTCAGAAATGTCCCTTTGGTAATTCTACAAAAAAAGTGTTTCCAACCTGGTGAATCAAAACACAGGTTCCATTCTGTGAGATGAATAGACACATCCAAAGCATTTTCACAGGTAGCTGCTTTCTAGTTTTTTTGGTGGTATGATCGGTTTTTAACTGCATTCCTCAATGGTCTCAGAAAAAAACTTTTTATAGGTTCTACAAAAGGAGTGATTCCAACATGGTCAATCAAAATACAGCTGTCATTCTTTGAGATGAATCCACACATCACAAATCATTTTAACAGATAGTTTATTTCTAGTCTTTATAGTGGTATATTTTGTATTTCACAGTGAAAAATCAAATATCCCACAATAGAAACAGGCTTCATAAAGCCAGGAAATGTCCCTTTGTAGGTTCTACAATAACAGTGTTCCCAACCTGGTGAATCCAAACACAGGTTCCTTTCTGTGAGGTGAATGCACACATCACAAAGCATTTTTGCAGATACCTCTCTCTAGTTTTTATCATGGTATATTCGGTTTTTCATGGCGCATAAAGATTTCTGTGTAGATTTTACAAAGACAGGGTTTTCCACCTCGTGAATGAAAACACATGTTCATCTCTGTGAGGTGAATCCACACATCATAAATCATTTTCATTTATAGTGTCTTTATACTTTATATCGTGGGATATTTTGTTTATCACTATAGGCATCCATGGGCTCAGAAATGTCCTTTCATAGTTTCTACAAAAAGAGTATTTCCAACCTGGTGAATAAAAACACAAGTTAACTCTGTGAGATGAATCCACATATCATAAAGCATTTTCACATATACCTTGTTTATAGTTTATATTGTGGCATTTTCCATTTCTCACTACGTTTCTCAATGGGCTCAAAATGACCTTTCATAGATTCTACAAAAAGAGTGATTACAAAGTAGTAAATCAAAGAACAGGTTCCATTCTGTGCTATGAATCCACACATCTCAAAGCGTTTTTGCAGATAGCTTGTAACTGGTTTTTAATCATGGGACACTTCGTTTTTCATTACAGGAATCAATGGATTCAGAAATGTACCTTCGTAGATTCTACAAAAAGCCTGTTTGCAACCTGGTGAATCCAAATACAGGTTCCATTCTGTGAGTTGAATCTACACATCACAAAGAATTTTCACAGATACCTTGTTTTTGGTTTTTATCGGGTTTTATTAGATTTTTCACAATAGGCTTTGATGGGCTCAGAAATGTTTTCACGTGGATTCTACAAAAAGAGTTTTCCAACCTGGTGTATAAAACAAAAGTTCCATTATATGAGCTGCATCCACACATCACAAAGCATTTTCACACATAGCTTGTTTCTACTTTTTATAACAGGATATTCAATTGTTCACTATAGGTTTAAATGGATGCAAAAAAGGAGATTCTACAAAAATACATTTTTTACCTGTTGAATCAAAACACAGGTTCCATTCCATGAGATGAATCCACACATCACAAATCATTTTCACAGAAAGCTTCTTTTTAGTTTTTATTGTGGGATATTCAATTTTTCATTATAGGCTTCAATGGGCTGAGAAATGTTCCTGCATAGATTCTAAAAAGAGAGTGTTTCAAAATGCTGAATCAAAACACAGGTTCCATTCTGTGAGAGGAATGCATATGCCACAAAGCTTTTTGACAGATAGCTTCTTTCTAGTTTTATCATGAGATATTGGGTTTTTCACATTATACCTGAATGGGCTCAGAAATGTCCTGTTGCAGATTCTACAAAAAGAGTGTTTCCAACCTGGTGAATCAAAACACAAGTTAATTTCTGTGAAATAAATACACAATTCGCAAAGGATTTTCACATATACATGGTTTGTAGTTTTTATCATGGGGCATTTGGTTTTTCACTATAGGTTTCAAAGTGCTCAGGGAGGTTTCTTCTTGGAATCTGCAAAACAGTGTTCCAACCTGGTGAACCAAAACACAGGTTCCATCCTGAGATGAATCCACACATCACAGAGCATTTTCACATACAGCTCCTTTCAAGTTTTTATCATGAGATATTCAGTTTTTCACTATAGGCTACAATTGGTTAAGAAATGTCCCTTCGTAGATTCTACAAAAACAGTGTTTAAAACCTGGTGAATCAAAACACAGGTGTAACTCTATAGGACTGATAACATGATATTCTGTTTTCCACTATAGGCCTCAATGGGTTCAGGAATTTCCCTGAGTAGATTTTAGAAAAAGTGTGTTTCCAACCCGGTTAATCAAAACACAGGTTTTATTCTGTGAGATGAACCCCTTCATCCAGAAGCATTTTCACAGATACCTTGTTTCATTATTTAACATGTGATATTTTGTTTTTCACTATAGGCTTCAATGGGCTGAGAAATTTCTCTTCATAGATTGTACAAAAAGTGATTCCAACCTAGTAAATTAAAACACAGGTTCCATTCTGTGAGATGAACCCACACATCACAAGTAATTTTCACAGATAGCTAGTTTCATTTCTATTATGGATTATTTGGTTTCTCACTATAGACATCAATGGGCTCAGAAATGTCCTTTTGTAGATTCTACAAAAAGACTGGTATCAACCTGGTGAATTAAAACACAGGTTCCATTCTGTAAGATGAATCCACACATAACAAAGCATTTTCACAGACAGCTTCTAGTTTTTATTGCAAGATATTCTGTTTTCCACTATATGTGTCAATGGGATAAGAAATTTACATCCTTAGATTCTACAAAGAGTGTTTCCAACCTGGTGAATCAAAACGCAGCTTCCATTGTGTGAGGTAAAACAACACATCATGAAGCATTTTCACAGATAGAATGCTTTTTGTATTTACTGAAAGATATTCAGTGTTTCAACATAGGCTTCAATGGGCTCAGAAATTTCCCTTCATAAAATCTGCAAAAACAGTGTTTCCAACCAGGTGAATCAAAACGCAGTTTCATTTTCTGTTAGGTAAATCCAGACATCACATAACATATTTACAGATAGCTTGTTTCTAGTCTTATCGCAAGGTATTTTGTTTTCCACTGTAGTCCACAGTGGGCTCAAAATGTCCTTTCATAGATTCTTCAGAAAGAGTGTTTTTTAGCTATCTGAATCAAAACTCAGTTATATTCTGTTACATGAATCCACACATCACAAAGCATTTTTACAGATAGCTTGTTTCTAGTTTTTATCATGTGATATTCATTTTTCCACTATAGGTCTGAATAGGCTAAGAAATGTCACTTCATAGATACTACAGGGAGAATGATTCCAACCTGGTTAATCAAAACATAGGATCCATTCTGTGAGATAAACTCAATTCTCATAAAGCATTTTCACAGATAACTTGTTTCTAGTTTTTAATCACCTGATATTCTGGTTTTCACTACAGGGGTCAAAGGGTTCAGTAAAGTCCCTTCACAGATTCTACAAAGAGAGTTTTTCCAACCTGGTTAATCAAATCACCGATTCCAATTTTTGAGATGAATCCCGAAATTACAAATTATTTTCAGAGAGCTTGTTTCCAGTTTTTATCGAGGGATAATTGGTTTTTCAGTATTGGATTCAATGAGCTCAGAAATGCCTGTGTGAAGGTTCTATAAAAATAGTGTTTCCAACCTGATGAAACAAAACACAGGTTCCACTCTGTGAGCTGAAAGCCCACATCACAGAGCATTTTCACATATAGCTTGTTTCTCATAGTTATCGTGGGATATTTTGTTTTTAACTACCTAACTCATTGGGCTTCAAAATGTCCCTTCACTGATTCATTAAAAAGAGTGTTACCAACCTGGTGAAAAAAAAACAAAACACCAAAGAAAAAAACCAGGTTCCATTCTGTGAGATAAGCCCACTACTCACAAAATATTTTCACAGATAACTTGTTTCTTGTTTTTATCATGGTATATATGGTTTTCCACTACAGGTAGAAAAAAGCTCAGAAATATCCCTTGGTAAATTTTACAAAAAAAACCTTTTCAACGTGGTGAATCAAAACAGAGGTTCCATTCTGTAAGATGAATCTACACATCAGAAAGTATTTTCAGAAGTAGCTTGTTTCTAGTTTATATTACCTGATATTTGGTTTTTCACTGTAGTGGTCAATGTGCTCAAAAATGTTGGTTTGTAGATTCTACAAAGAGTGTTTCTAACCTGATGAATCAAAACATATGTTCCATTCTGTGAGATGAATCCACAAACACAAAGCATTTTCACAGATAGCTTGTTTCTACTTTTTGGCACAGGATACTCAATATCTCACTATAGGTGTCAAAGGGCTCAGAAATGTTGGTTTGTAGATTCTACAGAGACAGTGTTTCCAAACTGCGGAATCAAAACACAATTTCCTTTCTGGGAGGTGAAGCCACACATCACAAGATTTTTTACAAATAGCTTGTTTCTAGTTTTTATCACCGGATATGTGGTATCTCACCATAGGCATCAATGGGCTCAGAAATGTCCTAGAAGACTGTTTCAACCTGGTGAATCAAAACTGAGGTTCAATTCTGTTAGATGCATTCAAACATCACAAAGCCTTTTCAGGGATAGGTTGTTTCTAGTTTTTATAATAGGATATTCAGATTTACACTCTAGGAATCCATGGACTCATACATTTCCCATTGTAGATTCCTCAAAAAGAGTGTTTCCAACATGGTAAATCAAAACAAACATTCCATTCTGTGAGATGAAACCACACAGCACAAAGCATTTTCACAGATAGCTTGTTTCTACTATTAATTGCATGCTATTTTGTTTTTCACTGTAGGAGTCAGTGGGCTCAGAAATGTCCCTTCATAGATTCTACAAGAAGAGTGTTTCTAACCTGTTGAATCAAAACACAATTTTAATTCTGTGAGATGAATCCACACACAACAAAGCATTTTGAAGACAGCTTGTTCCTAGTTTTTATTGCATGATATTCGGTTTTTCACTTTAGGCGTCAATAGGCTCAGGAATGTTCGTTCGTAGAGTCTACAAAAAAAAAGGGTTCTTAACCTGCTGATTCAAAACACAGGATTTTTTCTGTGAGATAAATCCACACATCAAAAACATTTTCACAGGTTATTTGTTATTTTTATCAAGGGATATTTGGTTTTTCACTACAGCTTTTAAAGGGCTCAGAAATGTCCCTTTGTAGATACTACAAAATGAGTGTTCCCTACCTGGTGAATCAAAACACAGGTTCCATTCTTTGAGACAAAACCACACATCACAAAGCATTTTCACAGATAGCTTGTTTCTAGTGTTTATCTTGGGATATTTGGTTTTTCACAATAGGTGTCAATGGGCTCTGGAATATCCTTTCATAGATTCTACAAAAAAATTGTTTTCAGCCTTCTGAATCAAAACACAATTTCCATTCTGTTAAATTAATCCACATGTCACAAAGCATTTTCACATATAGCTTTTTTGGTCATTTTTACCACAATATATTAGTTTTTTATTCCTATAGGCCTCAATGGGCTCAGAAATATCCCATTGTAGATTCAACAAAAACAGTGTTTCCAACCTGCTGAATCAAAACACAGTTTCTATTTTGTGAGATAAATGCACACATCACAATGCATTTTACAAATAGCTTGTTTCTAGCACTTATTGTGGGATATTCAGTTTTTTACTATAAGCTTGAATGGACCCAGAAATGCCCCTTTGTATATTCTACAAAAAAAGTATTTCCAACCTGGTGAATAGAAACTCATGTTCCATTCTGTGAGATTAACCCACAGATCACAAAGCATTTTCACAGATAGCTTGTTTCTATTTATTATTGCAGGATATTCTGTTTTTCACTATAGGCATCAATGAGCTCAGAATTATATATATATATATATATATTCTACATAAAGAGTGTTTCCAACTTGGTTAATTAAAACACATGCTCCATTCTCTTTGATGAATCCACATATCCAAAGTGTTTTCACGGATAGTGTGATTGTAGTATTTATTGTGGGATATTCTTTTATTCACTATAGGTGTCAAAAGACTCAGAAATGTTCTTTTGTAGATTCTACATAAAGTGCTTCTAATCTGGTGGAACAAACCACAGTTTTCATTTTGTGAGATGAATCGACAAATCACAAAGCATATTCAGAGACAGCATTTTTCTAGTTTTTATCATGGAATATTTGCTTTTTCATTACAGGCCTCAATTAGCTCAGAAATTTCTCTTCGTAGATACTACAAGAAGACTGTTTCTAACCTCTTGAATCAAAACACACACTCCATTCTGTGAGATGAATCCATACATCACAAAGCATCTTCACAGATTCTTGTTTATAGTATATATAACAGGATATTGTTTTTCACTATAGGCATCTTTGTGATCAGAAATGTCCCATAGTAGAGTCAACAAATAGAGTGGTTCCAGACTGGTGAATCAAAACACAGGTTCCTTTCTGTGAGATGAATCCACAAATAACAAAGCATTTTCACAAATAGCTTGTTTCTAGTATTTATCACAAGATATTTGGTTTTTCACAGTAGGCATCAATGGGCCCAGGAATGTCTGTTAGTAGATTCTACAAAAATAAGGGTTTCCAACCTGCAAAATCAAAACATAAAGTTCCAATTTGTGAAATTAATCCACACATCACAAAGCATTTTCACATATAGCTTGTTTGTATTTCTTATCGTAGAATATTCAGCTTTTCTCTATAGGCCTCAATGAGCTCAGAAATTTTCTTTTGTAGATTCTACAAAAACAGTGTTTCCAACCTGCTGAATCAAAACACAAGTTCAATTCTGTGAGATAAACCCACACATCACAAAGCATTTTCACAGATAGCTTGTTTCTATTTCTTATCAAAAGATATTTGGTTTTTCACTGTAGGAGTCAATTAGCTCAGAAATTTCCCTTCGTAGATTCAACATAAAGAGTGTTTTCAACCTGGTGAATAAAAACACAGATTCCATTCTGTTACATAAACCCATATGTCACAAAGCATTTTTCACAGATAGCTTTTTTCTAGTATTTATCACAAGATATTCTTTTTTTCACTATAAGTGTCAAATAACTCAGAAATGTCCATCCATTGATTTTACAAAAAGAGTGATTCCAACCTGGTAAGTCAATTCACAGGTTCCATTCTCTGAGATGAATTGACACATCGCAAAGCATTTTCAGAAATAGCTTGTTTCTAGTTTTTAAGGTGGGATATTCAGTTTTTCACTACAGGTGTCAAATAGGTCTGAAATTTCTCTTTATATTTACTACAAAAAGTGTTTCCATCCTTGTGAATCAAAACACAGGTTTCGTTCTGTGAGATGAATCCACACATCACAAATCATTTTCGTGGATTCTTGTTTCTAATATTTATTATGAGATATGCTGTTTTTCACTGTAGGCATCATTGGGATCAGAAATATCCCTTAGTAATGTCTACAAAAAGTGTTTACAGACTGGTGAATCACAACACACGTTTCATTCTGTGAAGTAATTCCACACATCACAAAGCATTTTCACAGATCACGTGTTTCTAGTATTTATTGTGGTATACTCCGTTTTTCACCATATGCATCCATGGGCACAGAAATGTCCTTTCACAGATTCTACAAAAAGAGTGTTTCCAACCTGGTGAATGAAAAAAACGGTTCTTTTCTGTGAGATGAATCCACACATCATGAAGCATTTTCACAGATAGATTATTTCTAGTTTTTATAAGGGGATTTTTTTTCATTGTAGGACTTAATGGGCTCAAGAATGTCCCTTCGTAGATTCTACAATAAGAGGGTTGCCAAACCTGTTCAGTTAAAATGCAAGTTGCATTCTGTGAGATGAACCCACCCATCACAAAGCATTTTCACAGAAAGCTTGTTTCTAGTATTTATTGTAAAATATTTGGTTTTTCAGTATTGGCTTCAATGAGCTCAGAAATATTTCTTCATATATTCTACAAAAAGACTGTTTCCAACCTGGTGAATCAAAACAAAGTTTTTATTCTTTGAGATGAATCTAAGCATCACAAAGCATTTTCACATTTAGCTTGTTTCCACTTTTTGTTCTCAGGATATTCTGTTTTTCACTATAGTTTTCAATAGGCCCAGAAATGTTCATTCATTCATTTTACAAAAAAGTGGCTGGGCATGTTGTCTTATGCCTGCAATCTCAGTACTTTGGGAGGCCGACATGGGTGGATCACGTGAGGTCAGGAGTTTGAGATCAGCCTGGCCAACATAGTGAAACCCCATATCTATTAAAATACAAAAGTTAGCGGGGCATGGTCATGGGCACCTGTAATCTCAGCTACTCATTAGGCTGAGACAGGAGAATTGGATGAACCTTGGAGATATAGGTTGCAGTGAGCAGAGATCACTCCGCTGAACTTCAGCCCGAACAATAAAGAGCACAACCCCATTTCAAAAAAAAAAGACAAAAAATAATTTGGTGAATCAAAACGCAATTTCCATTCTGTGAGAAAAATCCACACATCACAAAGCATTTTCAGATAGCTAGTTTCTAGTTTTTCTTGCAGGATATTCAGTTTTTCACTGTAGGCATCAATAGGCTCAGAAATGTCCCTTTTGTAGATTCTACAAAAAGAGGGTTTCCAACCTTGTGAGTCAAAACGCAGGTTTCATTCTGTGAGATGAACCCATACATCACAAAGAATTTTCACAGAAATCTTGTTCTCGGTATTTATTGCAAAGTATTTGGTTTTTCATTATTGGGTTCAATGAGCTCAGACATAACCCTTCGTATATTCTACAAGAACAGTGTTTCCAACCTGGTGAATCACAACACTGGTTACATTCTGTGACATGAAACCAACCATGACAAAGCATTTTCACAGAGAGCTTGCTTCTAGTATTTATTGTGGGATATTCAGATTTATAGTATAGACCTCAATGAGCTCAGAAATATCTTTTTGTGGATTCTACAATACTAACCTGGTGAATCAAAACACAGTTTTCATTCCATGAGATGAATTCACACATTACAAAGCACTTTCAGAAATAGCTTATTTCTACATTTTATCATGGAATATCTGGTTTTTCACTGCAGGAGTCAATGGGCTTAAAAATGTACATTTATAGATTCTACACAGAGGCTGTTTCTACCTCCAGAATGGAAACACTTGTTCCATTCTGTGAGATAAATCCGCACTTTGCAATGCATTTTCACATTAGCTTCGTTCTAGTGTTTAACCACGGGATATCCAGTTTCTCACTATAAGCTTCAATGGGTTCAGAAATGTCCGTTTGCGAATTCCACAAAATGATTGTTTCCAACCTGCGGAATCAAATCACAGGTTCTATGCTGTGAGATGAATCCACAAATCACAAATCATTTTCACAGATAGCTTGTTTCTAGTTTTTATCACTTGATATTCAGTTTTTCACTATAATACTCAATGGGCTCAGAGGTGTCCCTTTGTAGATTTTACAAAAAGTGCATTTTCAACCTGATGAGTTAAAATGTAGTTTCCATTCTGTGAGATGAACCAACATATCACAAAGCATTTTCACAGTTAGCTTGTTTCTTGATTTTATCATAGGATATTCGTTTTTACACTGTAGGCCTTAATGGGCTCAGAAATGTCCCTTCATAGCTTCTACAAGAAAAGTTTTTCCAACCTGGTGAATCAAAACTCAGGTTCCATTCTGTGACAAGAATCGATGCATCACAAAGCATTTTTACAGATAGCTTTTTTCTAGTTTTTATCATGGGATATTCAGTTTTTCACTATAGGCATAAATGGGCTCAGGTACGTTCCTTCATACATTCTTCCAAAAAAGTGCTTCTCACTTGGTGAATGAAAACACAGGTTCAATTCTGTGAGATGAACCCACACATCACAAAGTATTTTCACAGGTTCTTGTTTTAGTATTTATGGTGGGATATTCTGGTTTTCACTAGGCATCAATGGGCTCACCAATGTTTCTCTTTAGAGCCTACAAAAAGAGTGTTTCCAGGCTGGTGAATCAAAACACAGGTTCAATTCTGTTAGATGAATCCACACATCACAAATCATTTTCACAGATTGCTTGTTTCTAGTATTTATCCGGGGATATCCAGTTTTTCACTATAGGTGTCAATGGGCTCAGAAATGTCCACTCGTAGATTCTACATAAAGATTACCTCCAACCAGATGAATAAAAACAGGTTTTATTCAGATAGATGAATTCACTAATAGCAGAGTGTTGTCATAGTGAGCTTGTTTTAAATTTATATCACGGAATATTATGTTTTCCAATGTAGAGCTCAATGGGCTCAGAAATTTTCGTTGGTAGACTCTACAAAAAGAGTGTTTCCAACCTGCTGATTCAAAACACAGGTGCCTTTCTGTGAGATGAATTCACACATCAAAAAGCATTTTCACAGATAGCTTGTTTCTACTTTTTATCCTGGGATATTTTGTTTTCAAATATAGGACTCAATGGGCTCAGAAATATCTGTTTGTAGGTTATACAAACAGAGTGTTTTTCCAACCTGGTGAATCAAAATGTAGTTTCCATTTTTGTGATGAATCAACACATCACAAAGCATTTTCACACACAACTTCTTTCTAGTGTTTATCAAGCATTAAGTGGCTCAGAAATGTTCGTTCGTAGATTCTACAAAAGAAAGTTTTTAACCTGGAGAATCAAAAAACAGCTTCCATTCTGTGACATGTATCCACACATCACAAAGCATTTTCTCAAATAGCTTCTTTCTATTTTTTACTGGGAGATATTTGGTTTTCCACTATACTTCTAAATGGGTTCAGAATTGTCCCTTCATAGGTTCTACAAAAAGAGTGTTTTCAACCTGGTGTAGCAAAACACAGTTTCTGTTCTGTGACTTGAATCCATATATCACTAAGCAGTTTCAAAGATAGCTTGTTTCTAGTTTTTATCATGGGATATTCCATTTCCAATTATAGGCTTAAATGGGCTCCAAAGTGTCCCTTTGTACATCCTACAAAGAAAGTGTTTTCCACCTGGTGAATAAAAACAGATTACATTCTGTGAGAAGATCCCACACATCACAAAGCATTTCCACAGATAATTGTTTTACTATTTATGGCAGGATATTTTGGTTTTCAGTATGGGAGTCAATGGGCTCAGAAATGTCATATTTTAGAGTCTACAAAAAGAGTATTTCCAGACTGGTGCACATAAACTCAAGTTCCATTCTGTGAGATGACCTGACACATCACAAAACATTTTTAGAGATACCCTGTTTCTAGTGTTTATCTCAGTATATTCAGTTTATCACTATAGGCCTCACTGGGCTCAGAAATGTCCATGTGTAGATTCTACAAAAAGAGTGTTTCCAACCTTGTGACTCAAAACATAGTTTCCATTCAGTGAGATGAATCCACACATTATAAAGCATTTTCACAAATAGCATGCTTTTAGTTTTTATCATGGGATATATGGTTTTTCACTGAAGTCTTCAATAAGCTCAGAAATTTGCCTTCATAGATACTACAAAAAGACAGGTTCTTTACTGGTGAATCAAAACTCAGGTTTTATTTTGGGAGATGAACCCAAATATCACAAAGTATTTTCACAGGTAGCTTCTTTCCAGTATTTAGTGTGGGCCATTTATTTTAACACCTTAGGCATCAATGGGCTCAAGAATGTCCTTTTGTAGATACTACAAGAAGAGTATTTCCAATCTGTTTAATCAAAACACAAGTTCCATTCTGAGAAATGAATCCACACATAACAAGGTATTTTCACTTAAAGACTGTTTCTCATTTTTACCATAGGATATTCAGTTTTCCTTTATAGGCTTCAATGGGTTCAGAACTGTCTCTTTATAGATTTTATAAAAAGAGGCTTTCCAACCTAGTGAATCAAAATGCAGATTTTGTTCTGTGAGATGAACCCACACATCACAACGCATTTTCACACATAGCTAGTTTCTAGTATTTATCGTGGGATATTTTGTTTTTCACTATGAACCTCAACGGGCTCTGAAATGTCCCTTCATAGATTCTACAAAAAAATGTGTTTCAAACCTGGTGAAGGAAAATTCAAGTTAATCTCTCTCACATGAATTGACTCAGCACAAAGAATTTTCACATTTATCTTGTTCCTAGATAATATTCGTGAGATATTTGGTTTTTCACTACAAACCTCAGTGAGCTCAGTAATGTCCATTAATAGATTCCAAAAAAGTGTGTTTCCCACCCAGTGAGTCAAAACACAGGTTTCATTCTGTCAGATAAATAAACACATATCAAAAACCATTTTCACAGATTACATATTTTTAGTTTTTGTCACAGGATATTCAGTTTTTCACTATAAGTGTGAATGGGCACAGAAATGTCCTTTTGTAGATTTTACCAAAAGAGTGTTTGCAACCTGCAGAATTAAAACACAGGTTCCATTCTGTGAGTGAAATAAATATCACAAAACATATTCATAGATAGCTGTTTTCTGGATTTTATCTCAGGATATTTGGTTTTCCACTATAGGTCTCAATGGGCTTAGAAATGTCCCTTCTTAGATTCTACAGAAAGAATGTTTCTAACCTGGTGAGGAAAAACACAGGCTCCATTTAGTGAGATGATTCCACACACCACAAATCATTTTCACATACAGGTTGTTTTGAGTTTTCATTGTGGGATATTCTGTTTGTCACTGTAGGCTTCAAAGGGCTCAGAAATATGTTTTTGTAAATTCTACATAAATAGTGCTTCCAACCTAGTGAATAAAACAGAGGTTTAATTCTGTGAGACAAATCCACACTTCAGAGAGCAATTTCACAGATAGCTTGTTTCTAGTTTTTATCTCGGGATACTCAAGTTTTTTTTATGGACAAAATGGCTCAGAAATATTCCTACATAGATTCTACAAGAAGAGGGTTTCCAAGCTGTTTAATCAAAACACAGATTCCTTTCTGTTATATGAATCACTAAGCATTTTTAAAGATAGCCTGCTTCTACTTTTCATCATGGGATATTTGGTTTTCATTGTAGGTTTCAATGGTCTCAGAATTGTCACTTTGCAGAGCTACAAAAAGAGTGATTCCAAACTGGTGAATAAAACCTCAGGTCACTTTCTGTGAGATGAATCCACACGTCACACAACATTTTCACGGATAGATTGTTGGTAGTTTTTATTGCAAGGTATTCAATATTCAATTTTTTCTTATTGGCCTCAATGGACACAGAAATGGCCCATCATATATACTACAAAAAGATTGTTTCCAACGTGGTTGATCAAAACACAGGTTCCATTCTGTAAGATGAATCCAGGCATCACAAAGCATTTTCACAGATCCCTCATTTCTAGTTTTTATTATGGGATATTCAGTTTTTCACTATAGGCTTCAAAGGGCTCAGAAATGTCCCTTTGTAGATTCTACAAAAGAAGTTTTTCCAAGCTGTAAGTCAAAACACAGTTTCCATTCAGTCAGATGAATCCACATATCACAGAGCACTTTCACAGATAGCTTGTTTCTAGTTTTCATTGCAGGATATTCGATTTTTCATTATTTGGCTCAATGGGCTCAGAAATGTCCCTTCGAGATTCTACCAAAAACTATGTCCAACCTGATGAATCAAAACACATGTTCTGTGTAATGAATGCACATGTCACAAAGCATTTTCAGTCAGCTTGCTTATTTTTTATCATGGGATATTTGATTCTTCCTTACTGGCTGCAAAGGGCTCAGAAATGTCCCTTCAGATATTCTAGAAAAAGAGTGTTTCCAACCTGAGAAGTCAAAACGCAGGTTGCATTCTGTGAGATGAATCCACACATTTCAAATCATTTTCTCAAATATCATGCTTCTAATTTTTATCACGGGAAATTCAATTTTTTTCATGGGCCTCAGTGGGCTCAGAAATTTCCCTTCATATATTTTACGAAAAAAGTGTTTCCAACCTGGTGAATCAAAACACATGGTCCATTCGGTGAAATGAATCCACACATCATAAAGCATTCTCACACATAGCTTGTTTCCAGTTTTTGTCATGGAATATTTGGGTTTTTGCTGTAGACTACAGTGGGCTAAAAAAGGGACCTATGTAGATTCCTCAAAAAAAGTGCTTCCAACAGGGTGAATCAAAATAGTGGTTTCATTCTAAGAGCTGAATCGACACATCCAAACTATTTTCAAGGACCACTTGTTTCCGTTTTTTTATTTCAAGATATTTGGTTTTTCATGATAAACTTCAATGGGCTCAGGAATGTCCCCTTTTAGATTTACAACAAGAGTGTTTCCAACATGTTGAATCAAAACACAGGTTTTATTCTGTGAGCTGAATCCACACATCACATAGCATCTCATAAATAGCTTGTTTCTAGTTTTTATCAAGGATATTCAAGTTTTTCTTATGGGCCAAATAGCTAAGAAATATCTTTTCTTACATTCTACAAAAAAGTGTTTCTTAGCTGGCAAATCAAAATACAGGTTCCATTCTGTGAGATGAATCCACACATAGCAAAGCATTTTTACAGATACCTTGTTTTTAGTTTTTGTCGTAGGATATTCAATTTTCGTTATTGATCACAATGTGTTAAGAAATGTCCCTTCATAGATCTACAAAAAGAGTGTTTTCAACATGATACATCAATATTCAAGTTCCATTTTTTGAGATGAATCCAGACAACACAATGCGTTTTCACAGATAGCTTTTTTTTTTTTTTTTTATCACGGGATATTATGTTTTTTACTGTGGGATTCAAGTATTCAATAGGCTAAGAAATGGCCCTTCATTGTTTATAACAAAACAATGTTTTCAAGTCAAGTTGGTTAATCAAAACAAAGCTTCCGTTTTATGAGATGAATCCACATATCTCAAACAATTTTCAGATATCTTGTTTCTCCGTTTTTATCACGGGATATTTGGTATTTCAATTTAGACTTCAGTGGGCTCAAAATTGTTCCCTTATAGATTCTACAAAAAGAGTATTTCCAGCCTGATGAAACATAACACAAGTTCCATTCTGTGAGACAAATCCACAAATCACAAACCATTCTACCAGATAGCTTGTTTCTATTTATTTCTGGGATATACTTTTTTCTTTTTAGGCTTCAGTGGACTCAGAAATGTACCTTTGTAGATTCTACAATAAAAGTATGTCCAACTTGGTGAATCAAAACACAGGTTCCCTTCTTTGAGATGAATCCACAAAGCACTAAGCATTTTCACAGATATCTTCTTTGTAGTTTTTAATGCAGAAGATTCTGTTTTTCAATATTGGCTTTAAAGGGGCCAAAAATGTCCCTTCATAGATTCTAAAAGAGACTGTTTTCCATCTGGTGACTATAAACACAGGTTCCATTCTGTGAGATGCATCCACACATCACAAAGTATTTTTATAGACAGCTTGTTTCTATTTTTTTTAATTGTTATATTTTAGGTTCTTGGTTACATGTGCAGAACATGCAGTTTTGTTACATAAATATATGTGTGCCATGGTGGTGTGCTACATCCCTCAACCCATCATCTACATTAGGTATTTCTCCTAATGTTATTCCTCCCCTACTGCCCCACCCTTTGATAGGCCCCAGTGTTTGATGTTTCCCTCCCTGTGTCCATGTGTTCCCATTGCTCAACTCCCAATTTTCAGTGAGAACATGCAGTGTTTGGTTTTCTGATCTAGTGATAGTTTGCTGAGATTGATGGTTTCCAGCTTCATCCATGTTCCTGCAAAAGACATGAACTCATCCTTTTTTATAGCTGCATAGTATTATAAACATATGTGTGCATTGTCTTTATCATAGAATAATTTATAATATTTTGGGTATATGCCCATTAATGGGATTACTGGGTTAAATGGTATTTCTAGTTTTATATCCTTGAGAAATCACCACACTGTTTTCCACAATGGTTGAGCTAATTTACACTCCTACCAACAGTGTAAAAGCATTACTATTTTCCCCAACCTCTCCAGCCTCTGTTGTTTCCTGACTTTTTAATAATCGCCATTCTAATGGGCATGAGATGGTATCTCTGTGGTTTTGATTTGCGTTTCTCTAATGACCGGTGATGGTGTGCATTTTTTCATGTCTGTTGGCTGCATAAATGTCTTCTTTTGAGAAGTGTCTGTTTATATCCTTTGCCCATTTTTTGATGGGGTTGTTTGTTTTTTTCTTGTAAATTTGTTTAAGTTCTTTGTAGATTCTAGATATTAGCCCTTTGTCAGATGGATAGGTTGCAAAATTTTCTCCCATTCTGTAGGTTGCCGGTTCACTCTGGTAATAGTTTCTTTTGCTGTGCGGAAGCTCTTTAGTTTACTTAGATCACATTTGTCAATTTTGGCTTTCATTGCCATTGCTTTTGGTGTTTTAGTCATGAAGTTTTTACCCATGCCTGTATCCTGAATGGTATTGCCTAGGTTTTCTTCTAGAATTTTTATGGTCCTAGGTCTTACTTTTAAGTCTTTGATCCATCTTGAGTTGATTTTTGTATAAGGTGTAAGGAAGGAGTCCAGTTTCATTTTTCTGCACATGGCTAGCCAGTTTTCCCAACACCATTTATTAAGTAGAGAGCCTTTTTCCTATTGTTGTGAACGTCAGGTTTGTCAAATTCAGATGGTTGTAGATGTGTGGTGTTATTTCTGAGGCCTCTGTTCTGTTCTATTGGTCTTCTTTTTTGGTTTCATATGAAGTTTAAAGTAGTTTTTTCCAATTATGTGAAGAAAGTCAGTGGTAGTTTGATGGGGATAACATTGAATCTATAAATTACTTTGGCAGTATGGCCATTTTCATGATATTGATTCTTCCTATCCATGAGCATGGAATGTTCTTTCATTTCTTTGTGTCCTCTCTTATTTCCTTGAGTGTATTGTAGTTCTCCTTGAAGAGGTCCTTCACATCCCTCGTAAGTTGTATTTCTAAGCATTTTATTCCCTTAGTAGCAACTGTGAGTGGGAGTTGACACATGATTTGGCTCTCTGTTTCTCTGTTATTGGTGTATAGTAATGCTTGTGATTTTTGCACATTGATTTTGTATTCTGAGACTTTGCTGAAGTTGCTTATCAGCTTAAGGAGTTTTTGGGCTGAGATGATGGGGTTTTCTAAATATACAATCATGTCATCTGCAAATAGAGACAATTTGACTTCCTCTCTTCCTATTTGAATACCCTTATTTCTTTCTCTTGCCTGATTGCCCTGGCCAGAACTTCCAACACTATGTTGAATAGGAATGGTGAGAGGAGAGAAGGCATCCTCGTCTTGTGCCGATTTTCAAAGGGAATGCTTCCAGTTTTTGCCCATTCAGTATGATGTTGGCTGTGGGTTTGTCATAAATAGCTCTTATTACTTTGAGATACGTTCCATTGATACTTCGTTTATTGAGAGTTTTTAGCATGAAGGGATGTTGAATTTTATTGAAGGCCTTTTCTGCATCTGTTGAGATAATCATGTGGTTTTTGTCATTGGTTCTGTTTATGTGATGGATTACATTTATTGATTTGCCTTTGTTGAACCAGCCTTGTTTGTAGTTTTTATTACTGGATATTTGATTTTTTATAGGCCTCTATGGGATCAGAACTGTACCTTTGTAGATTCTACAAAAAGGTGTGTTTCCAAGCTGATGAAAAAAAACATACATCCCAATCTGTGAGATTAATCCACACATCACAAAGCTTTTTCACAAATAGCTTGTTTCTAGTTTTCATCACGGGATATTTGATTTTTTTTGTTATTGTGTTAAACGTGGTCAGGAAATGTCCCTTTGTAGATGTATGAAGAGAGTGTTTCAAACTTTGTGAACCAAAACACACATTCCAATCTGTGAGATGAATCCACACATCATACCACATTTTCAGAGATATGTTGTTTCTAGTTTTTTCTTGAGATACTCAATTTTCTCATATTGGTCTCAATGGCCTCAGAAATGTCCCATCATTTATACCAGAAAAAGAGAGTTTCCAACCTGATGAATGAAAACAGATGTTCCATTCTATGAGATTAGACCATGCACCTGAAACCATTTTTGCAGGTATCTTGTTTCTACTTTTTATTGTGGGTTATTCATTTTTTCACTTTAAATTTCAATGGACTCAGAAATATCCCGCTATAGATCCTACAAAAAGAACACTTCCAACCTGGTGAATCAAAACACAATTTTCATACTGTGAGATAAATCCACACATCACAAAACATTTTCACAGATAAATTGTTTCTAGTTTTTATCATGACATATTCAGTTTTTCCTTATGTGTCTCAATGGGCTCAAAATTTTCCATTCCTGGATTCTACAAAAGGTGTGTTTCCAAACTGGTGAATTAAAACACAAGTTATGGGCCAGGCGTGGTGGCTCACACCTGTAATCCCAGCACTTTGGAAGGCTGAGGTGGGCATATCACAAGGTCAGGAGATTGAGACCATCCTGGCTAATGGAGAGAAACTCCGTCTCTACTACAAATACAAAAAAATTAGCCAGGCGTGGTGGCAGGTGCCTGTAGTCCCAGCTACGCAGGAGGCTGAGGCAGGAAGATGGCATGAACCCAGGAGGTGGAGCTTGCAGATTGCACCACTGCACTCCAGCCTGGGCGACAGAGAGAGACTCCCTCAAAAAAAAAATCATTTCCATTCTGTGAAATGAATCTACACATCACAAAGCAGCATTTTCACAGATAGCTTGTGTCTAGTTTTTGTCATGGAATATTCGATTTTTTCAGGGACCCCTATGGTCTAAGAACTGTCCCTTAATAGATTCTACCAAAGAAGAGTTTCTAACCTCCTGAATCAAAACACAGGATCCATTTTGTGGGATGAATCCACACGTCACAAACCATTTTCATAAGTAGCTTGTTTCTAGTTTTTATTGGGATAATCGATTTTTTATGAGCCTCGAAGCCCTTAGAAATGTTCCTTCGTTTATTCTACTAAAATAGTGGTCCCAAACTGGAGAATCAAAAAACAAATTACGCTCTTTGAGTTGATTCCACATATAACTAAGCATTTTCACAGATAGCTTGGTTCTAGTTTTCATCACAGGATATTCAGTTTTTTACCCTAGACTTCAATGGGCTCAGAAATGTCCATTTGTAGATTCTACAAAAAGAGGGTTTTCAACCTGGTAAATCAAAGCACAGATTCCATTCTGTGAGATGAATCCACATATCACACAGAGTTTTTTTAAAATCATATCTTGTTTCTAGTTTTTATCAGCAGATACTCAGGTTTTATTATAGTATTATTATTATTTTTTTTTTTTTTGCCAAATGACTCAGAAATAACCCATCGTAGACTCTACAAAAAGAGGGTTTCCAAGCTGGTGAATATAAACACAAGTTCATTTCTGTGAGATGAATCCACACATCACAAAGCATTTTCACGGATAACTTGTTTATTTATTTTTTTATCGTGGGATATTTGATTTTCCTTATTGATTACAATGGGCTGTGAAATGCCTCTTTGTACATTCTACAAAAAGAGTGTAACCACCTTGGTGAATCAAAGCACAGATTGCATTTCATAAAATGAATCCAAATATCACAAAGCATTTTCACAGATAGCTTGTTTATAGGTTTTAATGAGGAATATTTGGATTTTCACTCTAGGCTTCAATGGGTTCAGGAATGTCTTTTTGTATACGCTACAAAAAAAATGTTTCCAATCCGGTGAATCAAAACACATGTTCCATTCTGTGAGATGAATCCACACACCACAAACAGTTGTTTTCACAGATAGCTTGTTTTTAGTTTTCATCATAAGATATTGGATTTTTACTGATTGGCTTCAGTGGGCTCAGTAATATCCCTTCTTAGTTTGTTTCTAGTTTTTATTGCAAGATACTCTTTTTATTTTTATTTTATTTTATTTTATTTTTGCCAAATGACTCAGCAATATCCCATCATAGATACCACAAAAAGTGTGTTTCCAAGCTGGTGAATCAAAACACAGGCTTTATACTGTGAGATGTATCCACACATCACAGTGCATTTCCACAGATACTTTGTTTCTAGCTCTTATTGCAGTCATCAATTTTTTTCCTAACGGGCCTCAATGATCTCAGAACTGTCCTTTCTTAGATTATACAAAAAGTGTATTTTCAGCCTGGTGAATGAAAATATGTTTTATTTTGTGAGATAAAGCCATACTCCACAAAGCGTTTTTACAAATAGCTTGTTTCTTTTTTCTTTTCTTTTCTTTTCTCTTTCTTTCTTTCTTCTTTCTTTCTTTCTTTTTTCTTTCCTTTCCTTTCTTTTTTCTTATCATGGGTTACTCGATTTTTCCTTATTTGCTTCAAAGGGCTCAGAAATGTCCCTTCGTAAATTCTACAATAAGAATGTTTTGAACATGGTGAATCAAAACGCAAGTTCCATCCTGTTAAATAAATTCAAACATCAAACAGCATTTTCACAGTTAGCATGTTTCTAATATTTATCATGAAATGTTTAATTTTTTCTTATAGGCCACAATGGACTCAATAATGTCCCTCTGTACATTCTACCAAAATGGTGTCTCAACCTGGTAAATAAAAAAAAAGTTCCATTCTGTGAGATGAATCCACACATCACACAGCATTTTCACAGATAGCTTGTTTCTAGTTTTTATTGAGGAATCTTCTATTCTTCCTTTATTGGATGCAATGGGCTCAGAAATGTCTCTTTGTAGATTATAAAAAAAAGAGTGTTTACAGCCTGGTGAATCAAAACACAAGTTTCATTCTGTTAGACGAATCGACACATCATGAAGCATTTTCACAGATAGCTTGTTTTTATTTTTTAACGTGAGATATTCGGTTTCTTCCTGTACGCTTCAATGGACTCATAAATGTCCCCTTTCTGATTCTACAAAAAAGTGTTTCAAACCTGGTGAATAAACCACAGGTTCCATTCTCTTGGATGAATCCACACATCACAAAGCATTTTCACAAAGGCTTTCTTTCTAGTTTTTATTGAGGAATATACTTTTTTCACACTAGGATTTAAAGGGCTCAGAATTGTACCCCTGCACATTCTCCAAAAAGAGTGTTTCCAACTTGGTTAATCAACACACAGGTTCCATTCAGTGAGGTGAATCCATACATCATAAAATATTTTCACAGATAGCTAGTTTCTAGTTTTTATCAAGGGATATTTGAATTTCCTTTTTGGCCACAATGGACCCAGAAATGTCCTTTCATAGAGTCTACAAAAACAGTGTTTCCAACTTGGTGAAAAAAAACCTGCAGATTTTATCCTATGAGATTAATCCACATATCACAAAGCATTTTTGCAGATAGAGTGTTTCTAGTTTTTATTGTGAGATATTCAATTTTATCTATTAGGTGCAGTGGGCTCACAAATATTCCTTCGTAGATTCTACAAAAAGAGTGTTTTCAACCTGGTGAATCAAAAGACAGGTTCCATTCTGTGAGATGAATCCACACATCACAAAGAATTTTCACAAATAGCTTTCTTCTACTTTTTATTACCAGATATTCAGTTTTACATTTTAGGCTTCAGTGGGCTCACAAATGTCCCTTTGTAGATTCTACAAAAAGAGTGTTTCCAATCTGGTGAATCAAAACAAAGCTTTAACTCTGTGAGCTGAAACCACACCTCACAAAGTATTTTGATGAATAGATTTTTTCTAGGTTTTAATGCAGGGTATTTTGTTTGTCACTCTAGACTTCTATGGGCTCAGAAATGTTCTCTCATAGATTTTACTGAAAGAGTGTTCCTAACTGGTGAATCCAAAAGCAAGTTTCATTTTGTTAGATGAATTCACACATCACAGAGCGTTTTCACAGACAACTTCCTTCTAGTTTTTATCGCAGTATATTTGCTTTTTCCTTATTGGCATCAATGAGCTCAGAAATATCCCTTCTTAGATTGAACAAAAAGAGTGTTTCCAACCTACTGAATCAAAATATATGTTCCATTCTGCGAGTAAATCTACTCTTCACAAAGGATTTTTACAGATATTTTGTTTCTAGTTTTCGTCGGAAGTAATCAATTTTTTCTTAAGGCCCTCAATGGTCTAAAAAATGCGTCCTTGTAGATTTTACAAAAAGTGTATTTCCAACCTGTCAAATCAAAACAGAAGTTCCATTCTGTGAGATGAACCCACACACGACAAAGCATTGTCACAGATAGCTTGTTTCTAGTTTTTATCGTGGAACATTCAATTTTTCATTATTTGCCCCAATGGGCTCAGAAATATCCCTTCATACATTCTACAAAAAAACAGTGTTCTTTGAGATGAATCCAAACATCACAAAGCATTTTTCACAGATAGCTTGTATCTTAGTTTTATCATGTAGTATTTGATTTTTTCTTTTTGGCCTCTATGGACTCAGAAATGTTCCTTTTTATATTCTACAAAAATAGTGCTTCCAACCTGGTGAATCAAAACAAAGGTTTCATTTTGTGCGATGAATTCACAAATCACAAAGCATTTTCACAGACACCTTACTCCTAGTTTTTATCACCAGATATTCGATCTTTTCTTATTGGCCTCAGTGGGCTCAGAAATGCCCTTTTATATATTTTAAAAACAGAGTTTCCAAATTGACGAATCAGAGCACAAGTTCCATTCTGTAAGATGAATCCAGACATCACAATGCATATTCACAAATAGCTTGTTTCTACTTTTTAACACGGGATATTTGATTTCCCTTATTGGCTACAATGGGCTCAGAAATATCTCTTCCCAGTTTCTACAAAAAGAATGTTTCCAACCTGTCTAATCAAAGCACAGGTTCCATTCTGTGAGACACATCCACACATCAAAAAGCATTTTTATGTTATCTTGTTTCTACTTTTTATCTGAAGATGTTCAGTTTTTCACTACAGGCTATATATATATATCTGAAATACATGTGCAGAACGTGCAGGCTTGTTACATAGTTACACAAGTGAAAATGTGGTATCCTGCACCCATAAACCGGTCATCTACATTAGGTATTTCTCCTAATTCTCTCCCTCCCCTAGGCCCCCACCCCCCAACAGGCCCCAGTATGTGTTGCTTTCCTTCCTGTGTCCATGTGTTCTCATTTGTCAACTCCCACTTGTAAATGAGAACATGCGGTGTTTGGTTTTCTGTTCTTGTGTTAGTTTGCTGAGAATTATGGTTTTCAGCTTTTTCCATATCCCTGCAAAGAACATGAACTCATCTTTTTTTATGGCTGCATAGTATTCTATGGTGTATATGTGCCACATTTTATTTATCCAGCCTATTATTGACGGACATTTGGGATGGTTGCAAATCCTTGCTATTGTGAACAGTGCTGCAATAAACATATGTGTGCATGTGTCTTTATAGTAGAATAATTTATACTCTATACATTTTCTCATTCATAAGTGGGAGTTGAACAATAAGAACACATGGACACAGGGACAGGAATGTCACACACTGGGGCTTGTCAGGGGTTGTGGGGCTAGGGGAGCAGTAGAATTAGGAGAAATATCTAATGTAGATGACCCGTTGATGGGTACAGCATACCACCATCACACGTGCATTCCTATGAAACAAACCTGTACATTCCGCACATGTACCCCAGAACATAAAGTATAATATCAAAAAAGAGAAAAAAATAAATTACGTCACCAGTGCACCTGAAAAAAAAAAGAAAATTCTTCTTTTTAAGAATATTAAATATTGGTCCCAAGTCTCTTCTAGCTTGTAGGGTTTCTGCAGAAATATCCGTTGTTAGTCTGATGGCCTTCCCTTTGTGGGTAACCCGACATTTCTCTCTGGATGCCCTTAACATTTTTTCCTTTATTCCAATTTTGGTGAATCTGATATCACTTGTCTTGGTGTTGCACTTCTAGAGAAGTATCTTTGTGGTGTTATCTGTATTTCCTGAATTTGAATGTTAGCTTGTCTTACTAGGTTGGGGAAATTCTCCTGGATAATATCCTGAAGAATGTTTTCCAACTTGAATTCCATTGTCCCCATCAATTTCAGGTACAGTGTAGAGAGACCCCCTGAAACTATTGCTATGGAATAAAAGATGAAATGCTTCTGATTATTGTAAATACAAAATTTCATGCAGGATTGTGTAAAGACAATGCCAGGTTGGACGGCCAGAACGAGCCAACAGCACGTGATGTGCCTCCCCCTGCAGAGAGCCTATGAATGGACGTGCAGTCAGGGAGGTTTCACATCACCAAGACTCCTATCCCAGAAAAGCAGATGTTCGTAGCTCTGGGAATGGAATGCGACCCTTGTGGAAAGCCTATAAATGGATGCATGGGGTGCGCCTGTCCATATGGATAAGATAGGGCTATAAACGCCTTCATCTTGCTGTGACTCTTCTAGGCCTCTTTAGGATTAAAGCATACTCCCTTCTGAGAATTTCTGGTCTAACCAGTTGTCTAGCTTCACGACCTGTTTCCATGGATTGTTTGTAACCAGCTTTTGTTGCAATTGTTACTGCTGATTAATATCTTGCTAATCATAGGTTATGGAAAGATTGTGTTTCTGTTCTAAGGCTCTGTTAGAAATTACTGACGCACACACTAAATTGTAAATTCTTATCTCTGTATACTGTACTTCTACATACAAATGTACTGTACTTATTCTACATACAAATGTTATCTTAAAGAATCACTTCATCCCTATGTGACCATCTCACCTCATAATCAAATGACCCTAAATCCCTCATTAACCTACCCCCACCCTCGCTAAACTTAATAATAAATGGAGGTATATCCTGTGCATTGTTGACACCACGGGACCAGAAGGCGGTGGCCCCCTGGACCCAGCTTTCACTATCTTGTGTGTGTCCATTATTTCTCAACTTGCCGATCCACCTAGGAGCAGAGAGAGAGCCCCGTTGCATTGCAGACTGCCGGCCAGATCCCGCAATAGTACAATAATCCAACATAGGTTTTGTCTTTCCACATAATCCCATATTTATTTGAGGTTTTGTTTGTTTCTTTTCATTCTTCTTTCTCTAATCTTGTATTCAGGCTTTATTTCATTAAGTTGATCTTCAATCTCTGATATCCTTTCTTCCGCTAGATCGATTCAGCTATTGATACTTCTATATGATTCACAAAGTTCTCATGCTGTGTTTTTCAGCTCCATCAGGTCATTTATGTTCTTCTCTAAACTGGTTATTCTACTTAGCAATTCGTTTAACCTTTTTCAAGGTTCTTAGCTTCTTTGTATTGCGTTAAAACATGCTCCTTTAGCTTGGAAGAGTTTGTTTTTACCCACCTTCTGAAGCCTACTTCTTTCAATTTGTCAAACTGATTCTCTGTCCACTTTTGTTTCCTTGTTAGTCAGGATTCGTGATCCTTTGGGGGAGAAAAGGCATTCTGGTTTTTGGAATTTTTTAGACTTTTTGCACCTTTTTTCCTCATCTTCGTGGATTTATCTACTTTTGGTCTTTATGTTGGTAACCTTCCAATGAGGTTTCTGTGTGGACCTCCTTTGGTTGATGTTGATGCTATTTCTTTCCATTTGTTAGCTTTCCTTCTAACAGTCAAGCCCCTCTGTTGCAGGTCAGCTGGAGTTTACTGGAGATCCACTGCAGACACTCTTTGCCTGGGTATCACCAGTGGAGGCTGCAGTACAGCAAAGATTGCTGCCTGCTCCTTTCTCTGGAAGATTTGCCCCAGAGGGGCACCTGCCAGAAGCCATCCAGAGCTCTTTTTTATGAGGGCGTTTGTCAACCCCTGCTGGGAGGTGTCTTTCAGTCAGGAGGCATGGGGGTCAGGGTCCCACTCTGCTGGGAAATCAGCTGCTCTCTTCAGAGCTGGCAGGCAGGAACGTTAAGTCTGCTGAAGCTGCACCCACAGCCACCCCTTTCCCAAGGTGCTTTGTCTTAGGGATATGGGAGTTTTATCTCTAAGACCCTGACAGGGGCTGCTGCCTTACTTTCAGAGATACCTTGCCCAGAGAAGAGGAGTCTAGAGAGGCAGTCTGGCAACAGTGGCTTTGCTGAGCTGTGATGGGCTCTACCCAGTTCAAACTTCCTGGGGTCTTTAATTACACTATGAGGGGAAAACCGCCTGCTCAAGTCTTAGTAATGGCCCATGCACCTACCCTCACCAAGCTCCAGCATCCCAGGTCGACTTCAGACTGCTGTGCTGGCAGCAAGAATTTCAATCCAGTGAATCTTAGCTTGCTAGGCTTCATGGATGTGGGATCCACTGAGCTAGGCCACTTGGCTCCCTGGCTTCAGACCCTTTTCCAAGGAAGTGAATGGGTCTGTCTCACTGGAATTCCAGGTGCCACTGGCATATGGGAAGAAAAACTCCTGCAGCCAGCTCAGTGTCTGCCTAAAAAGCTTCCCAGTTTTGTGCTTGAAACCCCGGGCCCTGGTGGGACAAGCATCAAAGGGAATCTCCTTGTCTGTGGGTTGCAAAGACCATGGGAAAAGCATAGTATCGGTGCTGAAGTGCACTATTCCTCACAGCACAGTCCCTCTTGGCTTCCCTTGGCTAGGGGAGGGAGTTCTTCAACCCCTTGCACTTCCCAGGTGAGGCAATGCCCCACCCTGCTTCAGCTCACTCTCTATGGCCTGCACCTGCTGTTTAACCAGTCCAAATGTGATGAGCCTGGCACGTCAGTTGGAAGTGCAAAAATCACCCACCTTCTGCATTGACCTCACTGGGAACTGCAGACCGGAGCTGTTTCTGTTCGGCCATCTTGCCAGCCACACCCACTGTAGACTTTAATGGGGTCCAAAATGTCCCTTCCTAGATTATAGCAAAAGAGTGTTTTCATCCCAGTGAGTTAAAATACAAGTTCCATCATCTGAGATGAATTCACTCATCTTGAAACAATTTCACAGATATCCTGCTTCTACTTTTTATTGCTAAATATTTAGTTTTTTATTTTAGGCTTCAATAGCTCACAAATGTCCCTTTATAGATTCTACAAAAAGAGTATATCCAGAGTTAAACGGAGGTTTATCTCTGTTAGCTGAATCCACAAATCACAAAGCATTTTCACAGATAGCTTGTTTGTAGGTTTTCATGTGGGATATTTCGTTTTTCACTCTAGGCTTCATTAAGCTCAGAAATATCCTTTCGTAGATTCTAAAAAAGAATTTTCCATTCTGGTAAATCAAAACATGGGTACCATTCTGTGAGATGAACTCACACATTACAAAGAATTTTCAGACAGATTCTTTTTAGTTTTTATCATGGAATATTTGATTTTATTTATGGTCCATAGTGGGCTCAGAAGTTTCTCTTTGTAGATTCTGCAAGAAAAGTCTTTCCTACCTGTTGAATCAAAACACATGTTCCATTATGTAAGATGAATGCACACATCCAAAAGCATTTTCACAGACAGCTTGTTTCCAGTTTTTATCATGGGATATTTTGTTTTTCCCTATAGGCTTCAATGGGCTCAAAATCGTACCTATGTAGATTCCACAAAAAAGAGTGTTGCCAACCGGGTGAATCAAAACAGAGGTGCCATTCTGGGAGAAAAATCCACACATCACAAAGCATTTTTATAAACAGCTTGTTTCCAGTTTTTAATTGAGGAATATTCGGTTTTTCACTATAGACTTCAATGGGCATAGAAATGTCCCTTTGTAGATACTGCAAAAAGAGTGTTTCCAACCTTTTAAATCAGAGCACAGGTCTTATTTTGTGAGATGAGTCCACACATCACACAGCATTTTCACAAATAACTTCTTTCTGGATTTGAATGTGGGATATTCGGTTTTTCACTATTGGCTTCACTAAGCTCAGTAACGTCTTTTCGTAAAATCTACAAAAAGAGTGTTTCCAACCAGGTGAATCAAAAAACAGATTCCATTCTGTGAGATGAATACTCCTCACAAAGCATTTTCACAGATAGCTTGCTTCCACTTTTTATGGCAGGATATTTCATTTTTAACCTTAGGCTTAAAAGGGCTAAGAAATTTCCCTTTGTAGAGTCTACAGAAAGTGTGCTTCCAACCTGGTAAAACAAAACACATGTTCCATTCTGTAAGATGAATCCACGCATCCCAAAGCATTTTCACAGATAGCTTTTTTCTAGTTCTTAACACACGATATTTAGTTTTTCCTTATAGGATTCAATGGGCTCAGAGATGTTTGGCTATAAATTCTACCAAAAGAGAGTTTCCAAAATGAAGAATCAAAACATACTTTCCATTCTGAAAGATGAATTCACACATTACAAAATATTTTTACAGATTGCTTGTTTCTTATTTTTATCATGTGATATTCAGTTATTCATTACAGGCTTCAAAAGGCTCAGAAATGTCCCCTCGTAGATACTACATAAAGAGTGTTTCCAACTTGGTGAAGCAAAACACAGGTTTCATTCTGTGAGACAAATTTAGACATCACAAAGCATTTTCAAAAGTTGCTTGTGTTTTTTATCGCATGATATTTGATTTTTTATGGGCCTAAAGGTCTCAGAATTGTCCCTCTGAAGATGTACAAAGAGAGTCTTTCCAACCTGGTTAATGAAAACACATGTTCCATTCCGTGATATGAATTCACACATCACAAAGCATTTTCACAAACGGCTTGTTCCTAGTATTTATCATGGGATATTTGAATTTCCTCATTGGCCACAATGGGCTCAAAAATGCCCCTTCATAGACTGTAACAAAACAATGTTTCCAACCTGGTGAATCAAAAAACAAGATTTATTTTGTGCAATGAAGTTACGAGTCACAAAAAACTTTCACAGATAAGTTGTTTCTAGTTTTTATCGTGGGATATTCTATTTTTTTTCCTCAGTGGGCTCAGAAATGTCCCTTCATAGGTTCTAAAAGAAAATGTTTTCAATCTGGTGAATCAAAATACAGACTCCATTCTGTGAGATGAATCCAGGCATTACAGAGCATTTCTATAGACAGACTGTTTCCAGTTTTTACCGTGGGATATTCTATTTTCCTAACTGGCCTCAATGGATTCAGAAGTGTCCCTCAATAGATTCTACCGAAAGAGTGTTTTCAAGCTCATGTATCAAAAACACAGGTTCAATTCCTTGAGATGAATCCACAGGTTGTAAAGCATTTTTACCAGTAGCTTGTTTCTAGTTTTTTCACAAGATATTCGATTGTCCTTATTGGCATCAATGTGCTAAAAAATGTCCCTTTGTAGATTCTACAAATGAGCGCTTCCAATCTGGTGAATTACAACACAGTTTCCATTCTGTGAGATAAATTTACAAATCAAGAAGCATTTTCACAGATAGTGTGTTTCAAGTTCTTATCAAAAGATATTTAATTTTTTTTGTAAGCCTTAGTGGGCTCAAAAAAATGTCCTTTGCAGATCTTAGAAAAAGCTTGTTTCCAACCTGGTAAATCAAAAACAGGTTCCATTCTGTGAGATGAATCCACACATCAAAAACTATGTTCACAGATAGCTTGTTTATAGTTTTTATTGAGGGATATCTGATGTTTCCTAATTGGTCTCAATGAGCACACAAATGTCCCTAAGTAGCTTCTACAAAAAGAGTGTTTGCAAACTGATGCATTTTCAGGTTGCATTCTGTGAGTTGAATCTACACATCAAAAAGCACTTTCACAGATAGCTTGTTTCTAGTTTTTCTCCTAGGATTTTCTATTTTTGTTATTGCATGTAATGGGCTCAGTAATGTCCCTTTGTAGATTCTACAAAAAACATTTTTACCCTGGTGAATCAAAACACAAGTTCCATTCTGGGAGATAAATCCACACATCACAAGGAGTTTTCACACATAGTTTTTTATCTAGTTTTTTTCATGGGATATTTAATTTTTTATGGACCTCAATGGACACAGAAATGTCCTTAAGAAGATTTTACAAAAAGTGTGTTTTCAACTTGGTGAGTGAAAACACAGGTTTTATTCTGTGAGATGAATCCACACAACACAAAGCATTTTCACAGATAGATTTTTTTCTAGTTTTTATTGTGGGATATTCATTTTTCACTATACACTTCAATTGGCTCAGAATAGTAGCCCTGTAGACTCTAGAGAAGAGTGTTTTTAACCTGTGAATCAATACACAGTTTCCATTCTGTGGGATGAATCCACACTTCACAAAGCATTTTCACAGACAGCTTGTTTTTAGTTTTAATCATGGTATACTCAACATTTTTTATGGGATTCGACGGGCTCAGAAATGTCCGTTTATAGGTTCTACAAAAAGAGTGTTTTGAGCCTGGTGCATGAAAACACATGTTACATTCTGTGAGATGAATCCATGCATCACATAGCATTTTCATAGATGGCTTGTTTTTATTTTTTTTTCACGGAATATTCAGTTTTCCATATTGGCCACAATGGCCTCTGAATTGTTTCTTCAAATTTCTACAAATAAAGTGTTTCCAGCCTGGTGAATCAAAACATAGGTTTCATTCTCTGCCGTGAATCTGCACATAAGAAAGGATTTTCACATATAGCTTTTTTCTAGTTTCTATCATGGGATATTCTGTTTTACACTATAGCCTTCAATGGGCTCCGAAATACCAATTCATAGATTCTACAAAAAGAGTGTCTAGAACCTGATGAATTAAAATGCGAATCCAAACATCAGAAAGGATTTTTACAGATAACATGTTTCCAGTTTTTATGGTGGGATATTTAATTTTTTTCTCGTGGCCACAATAGTCTCAAATGTGTCTCTTTGTAGGATCTACCAAAAGTGTGTTTCCGACCTGGTGAATCAAAAATCAGGTTCCATTCTGTGCGATAAATCCTCACATCACAAAGCATTTTCACAGCTTGTTTCTAGTTTTTATCCTGGGATATTCAATTTTCACTATAGGCTTCAATGGGTTCAGAATTGTACACCCGAAGATTCTACAAAAAGGCTATAATTTACCTGGTGAATCAATACACAGTTTCCATTCTGTGAAATGAAACCACACATCAGAAATATTTTCACTGATAGCTTCTTTCTAGTTTTTATTGTGGGATATTCGATTTTCCTTTTTGGTTACAATGGGCTCAGAATCTTTGCTCCATAGATTCTTCAAAAAGAGCATTTCCAACCTGGAAACACTTCATTCTCTGAGATGGTTCTATTCCGTGAGATGGTCCCATTCTTGAGATGAAGCCACAGTTAACAAAGCATTTTCAAAGATAGCTTGTTTCTAGTTTTTAATCGCAGAATATTCTATTTTTATGCGATTCAATGGGCTCAGAAATTTCCCCTCGTATAATAAACAAAAAGAGTGTTTTCAACCTGGTGAATGAAAATATATATTCCAGATGTCTCTATCCTTAGAATGCTAGAGGTGGCCCAGATGTCTCTATTATTAGAATCCCTAAGGTCATTCAGTTGTCTATCATTAGATCATCTGGGGTTGGCCAAGAGACTCTATTCTTAGAATGCTTGAGTTCGCCCAGGTGACTCTGGTAATTAGAATACCTGGGCTCAGCCAAGAGAGTCTCCCATTAGAATGCCTGAGGTCGGCCAGAAGTCTATCCTTGGAATGCCAGAGGTCACCCAGTTGTCTCTATCATTAGAATGCCTGAGGTTGGCTAGGACTCTCAAGTTTTAGAATGCCCAAGGTCGCCAAGGTGTCTGTCATCAGGATGCCTTGGGTCAGCCAGGAGTCTTTATCCTTAAAATGCCTGAGGTCACCCAGGTGTCTCTATCATTAGAAGGCCTGTGTTCAGCCAGATGTCTTTATCCTTAGAATGCTGGATGTAGCCCAGATGTCTCTATTATTAGAATACCTGGGATCATCCAGGAGTCTCTATTCTCAGAATGTTTGAGATTGACCAGATGTCTCTATCATTAGAATGCCTGTGGTAGGCCAGGAGCCTCTCCTAGTAGAATGCCTCATGTGGGCCAGAGGTCTCTGTCATTAGAATGCCTGAGGTCACGCATGTGTCTATCATTACAATGACTGGGGTTGGGCAGGGTCTGTATCCTTAGAATGACTGAGGTCACCCAGGTATCTTTATCATTGGAACCCCTGGGGTCAGCTAGGAGACTCTTCAGTTAAAATTATGGAGTTCGGCAAGATGTCTGTATTCTTAGAATACTGGAGTTTGGGCTCCGTTCTCTGGCTCATGCCTGTAATCTCAGTACTTTGGGAGGCCGAGGTGGGTGGCTCATGATGTCAGGAGTTCGAGACCAGCCTGATGAACATGGTGAAACCCTGTCTCTACTAAAAATACAAAAATTTGCTGGGTATTGTGGCGTATGCCTGTAATCCCAGCTGTTTGGGAGGCTGACACAGGAGTATTGATTGAACTTGGGGGGTGGAGGTTGCAGTGAGCCAAGATCACGCCATGCACTCCAGCCTGGGTGACAGAATGACACTTCAAAAAAGAAAAAAAAAGAATGTTGGAGGTAGGCCAAGTGTCTCTAACATTAGAATGTCTGGGGCAGGCCAGAAGTTTCTATCCTGAGAATACCTGAGGTTGTCCAGGTGTCTCTGTCATTAGAATTCCTGGGTTTGTCCAGGAGTCTCTTCCATTAGAATCCCTGGGGTTGGCCAGAAGTCTCTATTGGTAGAATGCCTGAGTGTGGCCAAGTGTCTCTATCATTAGAAAACCTTGGGTCAGTCAGGAGTCTCTATCCTTAGAATGCCTGTGTTTACCCAGATTTCTATCAATAGAAAGCCTACTGTCAGCCAGGAGCCTCTATCTTTAGAATGGCTGAGGTGGCTCAGGTTTCTCTGTCATTAGAATGTCAGAGGTCGACAAGAACACTCTACCATTAGAATGCCTGAAGATGGCCAGATATCTCTATTCTTACAATGCTGGAGGCCTCCCAGGTTTCTCTTTCATTAGAATGCCTGGGTTTGGACAGGAGTCTCTGCCCTTGGAATGCTTGTGTTCACTCAGCTGTGTCTATTATTAGTATGCCAGGAGTCAGCCTGGATACTCTCCCGTTAGAATGCCTCAGGTCTGTCAGATGTCTCTGTTCTTAGAATGTCTGAGGTAGGCCAGGATTGTCTCCCATTAAAATGCCACAGGTCGACCAGGGGTCTCTATCCTTAGAATGCCAAATGTTGCCCAGGTGTCTCTGTCATTAGAATGTCTGGGCTTCGTCAGGAATCTCTCTCATTAGAATTCCTGGGATTGGCTAACTTTTCCATTTGTAGAATGCCTGAGGTCCACAAGGGGTCTCTATTGTTGCAGTGCCTGGGGTCGACAAGGAGTTTCTATCCTTAGAATGCTGGAGGTTGCCCAAGTCTCTCCATCATCAGATTGCTTGGGATCGGCCAGGATACTCTACTATTAGGATGCCTGTGGTTGGCCAGAAGTCTCTATCCTTAGAATGCCAGAGGTCACCAATGTGTCTCTAACATTAGAATGCCTAGGGTCGGCCAGGAGTCTCTATCCTTAGAAGGCATGCAGTCGCCCAGTTGTCTATCATTAGAATGTCTGGGGTTGGCCAGGAGTCTTTATCCTTAGAATGACAGAGGTCACCCTGTTCTCTCTATCATTAGAATGCCTGGCTTTGGCCAGGAGGCTCTCCCATTAAAATGCCTGAGATCAGCCAGAAGTCTCTATTCTTAGCATGCCTGAGGTCACCCAGGTGTCTATGATTATAATGCCTAGGGTAGGCTAGGAGATTCAATTCTTAAAAGGCCTGAGGTTGCCCAGGTGTCTCAATCATAGAATGCCTGGGGTGGGCCAGGACACTTTCCATACAAATGCTTGGGGACGGCCAGATTTCTGTAGCCTTAGAATGCCTGGGTCAGCTAGAAATATTTTCTGATAGAATGCCTGTGTTTGCCCAGGTTATTCTATCATTAGAATGCCTGGGGTCGTCCAGTAGTCTCACCCATTCGAATGCCTAATGTTGGCCGCATGTTTCCATCCTTAGAATGTGTGATATTGGCCATGTGCCTCTATCATAAGAATTTCTGTGTCAGCCAGGAGTCTCTATCCTTAGAAAGACTGAGGCCACCAAGGTCTATAATTAGAATGCCTATGATTGGTCAGGAGTCTCTATTCTTAGAATGCCTGGGGTCAGCCAGGTGTCTATTATTAGAATGCTTGGGGTCGGGCAGGAATCTCTATTTTCATAATTCCTGAGTTTGTCCAGGTGTCTCTGTAATTAGAATGCCTGGGGTTGGCCAAGATACTCTAAAATTTCAATGCCTGAGGTCGGTCAGATGTCCCTATTCTTAGAATGCCTGGACTCAACCAGGAGTCTCTCCCATTAGATGTCTGAGGTCAGCAAGGTGTCTCTCTCCTTAGAATGCCAAAGGTCGCTGAAATGTCGGCATCATTAGAATGTCTGGTGTTTGTCAGGAGTTTCAACCATTAAAATGCCTGGTGTTGACCACGAGTCTCTATTTTTAGAATGCCAGAGGCCAGCCAGATGTGTCTATCATTAGAATGCCTGGAGTTGACCAAGAGTCTCTGTACTTATAATGCCTGAGATTGCGTAGATGTCGATCATTAGAATGCCTGGGCTCAGCCAGGAGTCTCTGTTCTTAGTATGCCTGAGGTAGCCCAGGTGTCTTTATCATTAGAACGACTGTTGTCAGCCAGGTGACTCTGCCTTTAGAGTGCCTGAGGTCAGATGGTACTCTCTATCTTTAGAATGCCAAAAGTCGCCCAGGTGTCTCTATCATTAGAATACCTGTAGTCGGCCAGGAAACTCTACCATTAGAATGTCTGTAGTTGGCCAGGAATCTCTATCCTGAAAATGCCTGAGGTCAGCCTGAAGTCTCTATCCTTAGAATGCCTGAGTTTGGCCAGGTGTCTTTATCATTGCAATGCTTGGGAATGGCCAGAAGTCTCTACCATTAAAATGCCAGAGGTCTCACAGGTGTCTCTCATCAGAATGCTTGGGGAGGGCCTGGAGCTTCTTTTTTTAGGATGTCTGATTTTGCCTAGGTGTCTCTATCATTAAATTGCCTGAAGTCGCCCAGTTGTCTCCATTATTAGAATGTCAGGGATCAGCCAGTAGTCTCTCCCATTAGAACGCCTAAAATCGGCCATGAGTCTCTATCCTTAGAATGCCTGAGTTCGGCCAGGTGACCGTATCATTAGAATGCCTGCTGTTGGCCAGGAGACTCTACTGTTAGAATGCCTGAGGTCGGCCAGATATCTCTATCCTTAGAATGCCTGTGGTCGGCAGGAGTCTCCACTGTTAGAAAGACTGAGGTCAGCCAGTTGTCTCTACCCTTGGAATGCTGGAGGTTGCCCAGGTGTCTCTGTTATTGGAACAACTGAGGTCGACCAGGAGTCTATCCAAATAGAATGCCCGGGGTTGCCCAGGAATCTCTGTCCTTAGAATGCCTGTGGTCGGCCAGCTGTCTCTATCATTAGAATGTGGGAGGTCAGTCAGGAGTCTCTCCAGTTAGAATGTCTTGGGTCAGCCAGGAGCCTCTCTCTTTAAAATGCCTGGTGTCGGCCAGGAGTCTCTCCCTTTAGAATACCAGAGGTCAGACAAGTGACTTTATTCTTAGAGTGCTGGATGTTGCCCAGGTGTCCCTATCATTAGAATGCCTGGGCTCAGCCAGGAGTCTTTATACTGTGAATGCCTGATGTTGGCCTGATCTCTCTATCCTCAGAATTCCTGGGGTCAGATAGGACGCTCTCTCATATGAATGCCTGAGGTTGGACAGATGTCTCTATCCTTAGAATGCCAGAAGTCGGCCAGGTGTCTCTATCAGTAAAATGTCTGGGACTGACCAGCAGTCTCTATCCTTAGAATGCCTGAGGTTGCCCAGGTGTCTCTATCATTAGAATGCCTGCAGTCGGCCAGGAGTCTCTCCCATTAGAATGCCTGTGTTTGGTCAGGAGATTCTATCTTTAGAATGTCTGATGTTGGCCAGGTGTCTCTATCGTTACAATACCTGGAGTTGGCCAGAAGTCTCTATTTTTAGAATGCCTGAGGTCCCCTACGTGTCTATCATTAAAATGCCTCGTGTCAGCCAGGATTCCCTATCCTTAGAATGCCTTTGGGTACCCAGGTGTCTCTATCATTAGAATGCCTGGGGCCGGCCAGAATATTCTACTGTTAAAATGCCTGAGATCCACTAAGTGCTTCTATCCTTAGAATGTGAAAAGTTGCCCAGGTGTGTCTATTATTAGAAGGCCTTGGGTTAACCAGGAGTATATATCATTTGAATGCCTGAGGTTGCCCAGTTTTCTCCATTATTAAATGCCTGCAGTCTGCCTGAAGACTCTCTTGCTAGAATTCCTCAGGTCGGCCAGATGTTCCTGTCCTTAGGATGCTTGGGGCTGGCCAGAATTCTCTCCTGTAGAAAGCCTGGAGTAGGACAAGTGTCTGTATTCTTAGAATGCCAGAGGTCGCCCAGGTGTCTCTAACGTTAGAAGGCCTGGGGTGGTCCAGAATACCCTCTCATTAGAATGTCTGAGGTTGGCCTGATGTCTCTATTATTAGAATGCCTGGGTTCAGCCAGGAAGCTCTCCAATTGAAATTCCTGAGTTTGCCAAGATGTGTCTATCCTCAGAATGCCTGAGGTCGTCCATGGATCTCTATCATTAGAATGCCTGGGCTATGCCAGGACTTTATGATTAGAATTCCTGGGGTCTTCCAGGAGTTTCTCCTATTAGAATGGCTGGTGTCATGAAAGTTTTTCTGTCCTTATACTGGTGAGGTTGCCCAGGCGTCTCTATCAGTATAATTATTGGGTTCGGCAGGAGTCTCCATCATTAGAATGCCTGGGGTCAACCAAGAGTCTTTCCCATTAGAGTGCCTGGTGTCGGCTAGGTGACTTTATCCTTAGAATACCTGAGGTTGCAAAGGTGTCTCCATCATTAGAATATCTTGGGTAGGCCAAGAGTCTCCATTATTAGAATCTTTGTGGTCAGCCAGGAGTCTCACCTCTTAGAATGCCTTTGGTCAGCCAGATGTCTCTATCCTTAGAATGCCTGAGGTCGTCCAGATGTCTCTATCTATCCTTAGAATGTCCGAGGTTGCACAAATGTCTCTATCATTAGAATGCCTGGGGTAGGCCAGGCATCTCTATCATTGTAATGTTGTGGTTGACCAGAAGTCTTTCCTGTTAGAATCCCTGAGGTCAGTCAGGTGTCTCTATTCTTAGAATGCCCGAGGTTGCCCAGGCGTCTGTATCATTACAGTGCCTGTGGTCAACAAGGAGTCTCTATCATTAGAATGCCATGGGTCAACCATTAGTCTCCCCCATTAGAAAACCTGGTTTGGCCAGGTGTCTCTATGTTAGAATGACTGAGGTTGCATATGGTCTCTATCATTAGAATGCCTGGGGTAGGTAGGTAGTCTCTATCATTGGAATGCCTGGGGTTGGCCAGGAATCTCTCCCGTTAGAATGCCTGGGTCAGCCAGGTGTCTCTATCCTTAAAATGCCTGAGATCGTCCAGTTGTCACTATAATTAAATTCCTGGGGTCTGCCAGAAGTCTACATCATTAGAATAAATGGGGTAAGCGAAAAGTCTCTCCCATTAGAATGCTTGGGAGGGCCAGTTGTCTTTTGCTTTAGAATGCCTGCAGTCACACATGTGTCTCTATCATTAGAATTCCTTGGGAAGGCCTGGAGTCTCTATCATTAAAATTACAGGGTGTGCAAGAAGTCTCTTTCATTAGATTGTCTTTGGTAGGCCATATGTCTCTATTTCTAGAATGCCTGAGGCTGCCCAAATGTCTATCATTAGAATGCCAAGAGAATACCATTAGAAAGAGCCAAGAGCCTCTTTCCTTAGAATGCGTGGGGTCAGCCAGGTGTCTCTATCCTTAGCATGCCTGAGGCCGCCCAGGTATCTATATCATTAGAATGCTTGGGGTCGGCCAATAGTCGGCCAGTCTACCATAGGACTGCCTGGGGTTGGCCAGGACTCTCTTCCATTGAAATACCTGGGCTCAGCCACCTATCTCTCCAGTTAGAATGCCTGGCGTCAGCCAGGTTTCTCTATCCTTACAATGCCTGAGGTCTCACGGGTGTCTCTAACATTAGAATGCCTTCAGTTGGCCAAGAGTCTCTATCATTAGAATCCCTGGGTTCGGCCAGGTATATCTATTCTTAGAATGACTGATGTCACCCACTTGTCTCTATCATTAGATTGCCTGGGGTCAATGAGGAGTTTCACCCATTACAATGCCTTGGTTTGGCCAGGGGTCTCTCCTGTTAGAATGCCTGGGGTTGGCCTGGTGTCTCTATCCTTAAAATGACTGAGGTCACACAGGGTTCTCTAGCATTAGAATACCTGTGGTAAGCCAGAAGTTTCTATCATTAGAATGTCTATGGTCGGCCAGGAGTCCCTCCTTTTAGAATGCCTGGATTCGGCCATGTGTCCCTACCCTTAGAATGCCTGAGGTCTCCCAGGTGTCTCTAATATTAGAATGCCTGGGGTCAGCTAAAAGTCTTAATTATTATAATGAATGGGGTCCGCCAGGAATCTCACCCAGTAGAATGCCTGGAGTCAGCCAGCAGTCTCTCTGGGTAGAATACCTGGAGTCGGCCAGGTATCTCTATCCTTAGGATGTCTGAGGTCAAACAGGAGTCTCTAAAATTAGAATGCCTGTGACAGGCCATGAGTCTTTATCCTTAGAATGTGTGGGGAAGGTGAAGAGTCTCTCTCGTGTGCATGCCTTTTGTCAGCAAGGTGTCTCTGTCCTTAGAATGCCTGATGTCACCCAAAATTCTCTCTCATGAGAATACCTTGGGTTGGCCAGGAGTCTCTCCCATTAGAATGCCTAAGGGTGGCCACGAGATTCTCTCATTAGAATGCCTAAGGTCTGTCAAGTGTCTCTACCCTTATAATGTCTGAGGTCTCCCTTGTGTCTCTATCATTAGAATGCCTGGGGTAGGCCAGGAGTATCTTTTGTTAGAATGGCTGTTTTTGGCCAGGTGTCTCTATCCTTAGAATGCCTAATGTCACCCAGGTGTCTGTATTATTAGAATGCCTGAGGTGTGCCAGGAGTCTTTCCATTTAGAATGCCTAAGGTCAGCCAGGAGTCTCCCCCATTAGAATGCCTGGGGTCAGCCAGCTGTCTCTATCCTCAGAATGCCTAAGGTTGCAGAGGTGTCTCTATCAGTAGAATATCCAGGGTAGACCAGGAGTGTCTATTATTAGAATACCTGGGCTTGGCAAGGAGTATCTTCCATTAGAATGCCTGGGGTAGGCCAGGTGTCTCTATTCTTAGAAAGCGTGATGTCACCAAAGCTTCTCTATCATTACAATGTCTGGGGTGGGCCAGGAGTCTCTCCTGTTAGAATGCCTGAGGTTGCATAGGTGTCTCTATCATTAGAATGTGTGTGGTAAGACAGTGGTCTCTATCATTGGAATGCCTTGGGTTGGCAAGGAGTCCATCTCATTAGAATGCCCAGGTTCGTCCAGGAGTCTCTCCCATAAAAAATTCTGGGGTTGCCCAGGTTTCTCTATCCTTTGAACGTCTGCAGTCGCCCAAGTATCTCTAACATTAGAATGCAAGGTGTCAGGCAGGAGTCTCTATCATTAGAATACCTGTATTTGGCCACTAGTCTCTCTCGTTAGTATGCCTATGATCAACCACGTGTCTCTACCCTTAGAAAGCCTGAGGTCGCCCAGGATGTCTCTATCATTACAATGCATGAGGTCAGCAAGGAGTCTCTACCATTATAATGTCTGGAGTCAGAAAGGAGTGCCTCCCATTAAAATGCCGAATGTGCACCAGGAGTCTCTCCCATTAGAATGCCGGGGGTAGGGCAGGTATCTCTATCCTTAGGATGCCTGGAGTTGCCCAGGTTTCTCTACCGCTAGAATGACTGGGGTCTGCCAAACCACTGTATCATTAGAATGCCTGGGATCGGCCAGGAGTCTCTCCCATTAGAATGCCTGGGGTTGACAAGGTGTCTCTATCCTTTGAATGCCTGAGGTCGCACAGGTGTCTCTATCATTAGAATGCTTCGGGTAGGCCTGCAGTCTTTATCATTAAAAAGCCTGTGGTCTGCCAGGAGTCTCTTCCGTTAGAATGCCTTAGGTTAGTCAGGTGTCTCAATCATTAGAATGCCTGCAGTCGCCCAGGTGCCTTTATCATTAGAATGCCTGGAGTCTGCCAGGAATCTCTCCCATTAAAGTGCATGGAATTGGCGAGATGTCTCTATCCTTAGTATGTCTAAAGTCACCAAGTTGTCTCTACCTTTAGAATGCCAAAAGTCGGCCAGGAGTCTCTATCCATTAGAATGGCTGTGGTCAGACAGGAGTCTATCATTAGAATGCTTGGGGTCAGCCAGAATTCATTCCTGTTAGAATGCCTGAAGCCAGTCATTTGACTCTATCCTTAGAATGCCTGAGGTGGCACAGGTGTCTCTATCAGTTGAATGTCTGGGGTAGGCCAGGAGTCCAAGTAATTAAAATTCCTGGGGTCAGCCCTGAGTCTCTCCGGTGAGAATGCCTGGGGTTGGCCAGGAGTCTCTATTTTTAGAATGCCTGAAATAGCACAGGTGTCCCTATTATTAAAATGCCTGGGGTAGGCCTGGAGTCTCTATCATTAAAAAAGTCTGAGGTCTGACAGGAGTCTCTCTTGTTCGAATGCCTTGCGTAGGCCAGGTGTCTCTATTACTAGAATGTCTGGTGTAGGCCAGTAGTCTCCAACATTAGAATGACTGGGGCAGGCCAGGTGTCTCTCCCATTAGAATGCCTCGGGTCTGCAAGGTGTCTCTATCCTTAGAATGCCTGAGTTTGCCCATGTGTCTCTATAATTAGAATGCCTGTGGTTGGCCAGGAGTCTCAATTATTAGAATGCCTGGGGTATGCAGGTGTATCTACCCTTAGAATGCTTGATATCGCCCAGATGTTTCTATCATTAGAATGCCTGTAGTTGGTCAGGAGTGTCTCCGTTGAGAATGCCTGGGGGCAGCCATTAGTTTCTCCCATTAGAATGTGTGCAGTCTGCCAGGTGTCTCTATCTTTAGAATGCCTGAGGCCACCCAGTTGTTTCCATCATTAGAATGCTTGGGATTGCCCAGGAGTCTCTATCATTGGAAAGCCTGTTTTCAACAAAGAGCCTCTCTCATTAGAATATCTAGGATTGCCCAGAAGTCTTTCCTGTTAGAAATCCTGTGGTCAACCAGGTGTCTTTATCCTTAAAATTCCTGAGGTCGCTCAGTTGTCTCTATTATTAGAATGCCTGGACTTGACCAGGAGTCTCTCCCGTTAGAATACCTGGTGTGTCCAGGAGTCTCTATCCTTAGAATGCCTGAGGTCACCCAGGTGTCTCTATCTTTAGAATGCTTGGTCTCCCATTAAAATGGATGGGGTCGTCCAGAAGTCTCTCCTGTTAGAATGCCTGGGGTCAGCCAGGTGTCTATCCTTAGAATGTCTGAGGTCCCCAAAGTGTCTCTATCATTAACTCATTTTATGAGGCCAGCATCATTCTGATACCAAAGCCTGGCAGAGACACAACAAAAAAAAGAGAATTTTAGACCAATATCCTTGATGAACATTGATGCAAAAATCCTCAATAAAATACTGGCAAACCGAATCCAGCAGCACATCAAAAAGCTTATCCACCATGATCAAGTGGGCTTCATCCCTGGGATGCAAGGCTGGTTCAATATATGCAAATCAATAAATGTAATCCAGCATATAAACAGAGCCAAAGACAAAAACCACATGATTATCTCAATAGATGCAGAAAAAGCCTTTGACAAAATTCAACAACCCTTCATGCTAAAAACTCTCATTAAATTAGGTATTGATGGGACGTATTTCAAAATAATAAGAGCTATCTATGACAAACCCACAGCCAATATCATACTGAATGGGCAAAAACTGGAAGCATTCCCTTTGAAAACTGGCACGAGACAGGGATGCCCTCTCTCACCACTCCTATTCAACATAGTGTTGGAAGTTCTGGCCAGGGCAATCAGGCAGGAGAAGGAAATAAAGGGTATTCAATTAGGAAAAGAGGAAGTCAAATTGTCCCTGTTTGCAGACGACATGATTGTTTATCTAGAAAACCCCATCATCTCAGCCCAAAATCTCCTTAAGCTGATAAGCAACTTCAGGAAAGTCTCAGGATACAAAATCAATGTACAAAAATCACAAGCATTCTTATACACCAACAACAGACAAACAGAGAGCCAAATCATGAGTGAACTCCCATTCACAATTGCTTCAAAGAGAATAAAATACCTAGGAATCCAACTTACAAGGGATGTGAAGGACCTCTTCAAGGAGAACTACAAACCACTGCTCAAGGAAATAAAAGAGGACACAAACAAATGGAAGAACATTCCATGCTCATGGGTAGGAAGAATCAATATCGTGAAAATGGCCATACTGCCCAAGGTAATTTACAGATTCAATGCCATCCCCATCAAGCTACCAATGACTTTCTTCACAGAATTGGAAAAAACTACTTTAAAGTTCATATGGAACCAAAAAAGAGCCCGCATCGCCAAGTCAATCCTAAGCCAAAAGAACAAAGCTGGAGGCATCACACTACCTGACTTCAAACTATACTACAAGGCTACAGTAACCAAAACAGCATGGTACTGGTACCAAAACAGAGATATAGATCAATGGAACAGAACAGAGCCCTCAGAAATAATGCCACATATCTACAACTATCTGATCTTTGACAAACCTGAGAAAAACAAGCAATGGGGAAAGGGTTCCCTATTTAATAAATGGTGCTGGGAAAACTGGCTAGCCATATGTAGAAAGCTGAAACTGGATCCCTTCCTTACACCTTATACAAAAATCAATTCAAGATGGATTAAAGATTTAAACGTTAGACCTAAAACCATAAAAACCCTAGAAGAAAACCTAGGCATTACCATTCAGGACATAGGCGTGGGCAAGGACTTCATGTCCAAAACACCAAAAGCAATGGCAACAAAAGCCAAAATTGACAAATGGGATCTAATTAAACTAAAGAGCTTCTGCACAGCAAAAGAAACTACCATCAGAGTGAACAGGCAACCTACAACATGGGAGAAAATTTTCGCAACCTACTCATCTGACAAAGGGCTAATATCCAGAATCTACAATGAACTCAAACAAATTTACAAGAAAAAAACAAACAACCCCATCAAAAAGTGGGCGAAGGACATGAACAGACACTTCTCAAAAGAAGACATTTATGCAGCCAAAAAACACATGAAAAAATGCTCATCATCACTGGCCATCAGAGAAATGCAAATCAAAACCACTATGAGATATCATCTCACACCAGTTAGAATGGCAATCATTAAAAAGTCAGGAAACAACAGGTGCTGGAGAGGATGTGGAGAAATAGGAACACTTTTACACTGTTGGTGGGACTGTAAACTAGTTCAACCATTGTGGAAGTCAGTGTGGCGATTCCTCAGGGATCTAGAACTAGAAATACCATTTGACCCAGCCATCCCATTACTGGGTATATACCCAAAGGACTATAAATCATGCTGCTATAAAGACACATGCACACGTATGTTTATTGCGGCATTATTCACAATAGCAAAGACTTGGAACCAACCCAAATGTCCAACAATGATAGACTGGATTAAGAAAATGTGGCACATATACACCATGGAATACTATGCAGCCATAAAAAATGATGAGTTCATGTCCTTTGTAGGGACATGGATGAAATTGGAAACCATCATTCTCAGTAAACTATCGCAAGAACAAAAAACCAAACACCGCATATTCTCACTCATAGGTGGGAATTGAACAATGAGATCACATGGACACAGGAAGGAGAATATCACACTCTGGGGACTGTGGTGGGGTCGGGGGAGGGGGGAGGGATAGCATTGGGAGATATACCTAATGCTAGATGACACGTTAGTGGGTGCAGCGCACCAGCATGGCACATGTATACATATGTAACTAACCTGCACAATGTGCACATGTACCCTAAAACTTAAAGTATAATAATAATAATAATTAAAAAAGAAAAAAAAAAAAAAAAAAAAAAGAATGTCTGGGGTTGGCCAGCAGTATCTATTATTACAATGCCTGGGTTCGGCCAGGAGCCTGTTCCATTAGAATGCCTGGAGTCAAGCAGGAGTCTCTCCCGTTAGAATGCCTGGGGTCAGACAGGAGCCCCTCTTCTTGAAATGTCTGGGTTTCTGCCAGGAGTCTTTATCCTTAGAATGCCAGAGGTCGTCCAGGTGTCTCTATCATTAGAATGCCTGTGTTTGGCCAGGAGTCTCTATTATTAGAAAGCCTGCAATCGGCAAGAGTTCTCTCCCATTAGAATGCCTGGGTTTGACCAGTTGTCTCTATCCTTAGAATGGCTGACATCGCCCTGTTGTCTCTATTATTAGAATGCCTGGGGTATGCCAGGAGTCTCCATCATTAGAATGCCTAGGGTTGGACAGGAGTCTGTGCCGTTAGAATGCCTATTGTCAGCCAGGTGTCTCTATCTTTACAAAGCCTGCTGTCACCCAGGTGACCCTATAATTAAAATGCCTGGGTTCAGCATGTAGTCTCTGTCATTAGAATGCATGGTGTTGGCTGGAGGTTTCTCCTATCAGAATGCATGCGGTCAGCCAGGGGTCTCTATTTTTAGAATGCCTGAGGTCACACAGGTGTTTCTAACATTAGAATGCCTGCAGTCATCCAGGAGTCCCTCCCTTTAAAATGCCTGGGTTTGGCCAGGTGTCTCTATTCTTAGAATGCCTGAGGTCGCACAGGTATCTCTATCATTACAATGCCTGAGATATGACAGGAGTCTCTATGATTAGCATGCCTGGGGTCGGCCAGGAGTCTTTATCATTAGAATGCCTGGAGTCTACCAGAACTTTCTCCTATTACAAGGCCTGCGGTCAGCCATGTGTCTCTATCCTTAGAATGCTTGTGGTTGCACCAATGTATTTATCATTAGATTGCCTTAGGTCGGCCACAGGTCTCTTCCATTAGAATTCCTGAGGTCCACCTTGTGTCTCTATCCTTAGAACCCCTGAGGTTGTTCAGGTGTTTCTATTGTTAGAATGCCCAGGTTCTGATCAGGGGTCTCTATCATTAGAATGCCTGTTTTTCACAATGAAAGTACCTTATTAGAATGCCTAGGGTTGGACAGGAGTCTCTCCTGTTAGAATACCTGGGGTCAGCCAGGTGTCTCTATACTTAGCATGCCTGAGGTTACCCAAGTGTCTGTATTATTAGAAAGCCTGGGGTCGGCAAAGTGTCTCTCTCATTAGAATGTCTGGGTTCGGCCAGGAGTCTCTCCCATTAGAAAGCCAGATGTTGGGCAGGAGTCTCTCTTATTAGAATGCCTGGGGTCGGTCAGGAGTCTGTCCTGTGAGAATGTCTGGGTTTCAGCCAGTTATCTTTATTTTTAGGATGTCTAAAGTTGCCCAGGTGTCTCTATTATTAGAATGCCTGCAGTCGGCCAGGAGCCTCTCCGGCTAGAACAACTGGGGTCAGCCATGTGTCTCTATCATTAGAATGCCTGAGGTCACCCAGGTGTCACTATTATTAGAATGCCTGGGTTATGCCAGAAGTCTCCATTATTAGGATGCCTGGGGTTGGACAGAATTCTCTGCTGTTAGAATGCCTAGTGATGGCCAGTTGTCTCTATTCTTACAATGCCAGATGTTGCTCAGGGGTTTCTATCATTAAAATGAATGGGTTTGGTTAGGAGTCTCTGTCTTTAGAATGCCTGGTGTCAGCCAGAAGTCTCTCCCATTAGAATGCCCAGGGTCGGCCAGGTGTCTCAATCTTTACAATGCTTAAGTTCGGCAAGTTGTCTCTATCAGTAGAATGCCTGGGGCCAGCAAACAGAATTTATTAATAGAATTTCTGGGGCCGGCCAGAAGTCTCTTTGGTTAGAATGTTTGGGGCCGGCCAGATGTTTCTATCCTTCGGATGCCTTAGGTGGCTGAGGTATCTCTATCTTTAGAATGCCTGGGGTCAAGCAGAAGTCTCTGTCCTGGGGTCGTCCAGGAGTGTCCCTCATTATAATGCCTAGGGTAAAACTGGGGTCTCTATCCTTAGAATGTGTGAGGTTTCCCAGGTGTCTCTCCCTTTTGAATGCCTGGGTTCTGCCAGCAGTCTTTCCATTTAGCATGCCTGAGTTTGGCCAGGTGTCTCTATCTTTATAATGCCTTAGGATGTGCAGGTGTCTCTAACATTAGAATGCCTGGTGTAAGCAAGGAGTCTCTATCCTAAGAATGCCTGTGGTCAACCAGAAGTCTCTCCCATTAGAATGCCTGGGGTCAGCCAGCTGTCTCTATCCTTAGAAGAACTGAGGTCGTGCATGTGCCTCTATCATTAGAATGCCTGGGGTCTGCAAGGAGTCTTTATCATTAGAATGCCTGGGTTTGGAAAGAAATCTCCCATGTTAGAATGCCAGAGATCTCCCAGGTGTTCCTATTTTTGGAATGCCTGAGGTCACCCAGGTGTCTCTATCATTAGAATGCTTAGGGTCGGCCAGGAGGAGTCTTCTTTGTTAGTATGCCTGAGGTCAGCCAGGAATCACTTCTGTTAAAATGCCTGGCTTCGGCCAGGTGTCTCTATCCTTAGAAGGCCTGACATCACCCACGTGTCTCTATCATTAGCATGCCTGATATCAGCTGAAGTCTCTCCCATTAGAATGCCTGAGGTCAAGCAGGAGTCTCTCCCATTAGAATGCCTGGGGTTAGACAGGAGTCTCTCTTGTTAGAATGCCCGTGTTTAGTCCAGGTGTCTTTATCTTCAGAATGACTGAGATCGCCCAGGTGTCTCTATCATTAGAATGCCTGGGGTCAACCAGGAGTATCTATTATTAACATGCCTGCTGTTGGTCAGGAGTTTCTCCTGTTAGAATGCCTGAAGTCTGTCAGGTGTCTCTATCCTTAGAATGCCTGAGGTTGCCCAGGTGTCACTAACATCAGAATGCCTGGGGTCGGCCAGGTGTCACTTTCGTTAGAATGCCTGGGGTTGGCTGGTGTCTCTATCCTTAGAATCTCTGAGATTGGACAGGTTTCTCTATCATTAGAATGCCTGTGGTAGGCCATGTGTCTCTCCCATTAGAATGCCTGGGGTCAGCCAGGGGTCTATCATGGTAGAATGCCTGGGGTTGACCCTGTGTCTCTATTTTTAAAATACCTGAGATCTCCCAGGTGTCTCTATCATTAGAATGTCTGGGGTCAGCCAGGAGTCTCTCCTTTTTGTTCGAATGCCTTGGGTCAGCCAGGTGTCTCTATCCTTAGAATGCCTGATGTTGCCCAGGTGTCTCTATCATTAGAATTCCTGAGGTCAGCCATGAGTCTTTCCTATTAGAATGCCTGTGGTCCACCTGGTGTCTCCATCCTTAGGATGCCTGAGGTCGCCCAGGTGTCTCTATCATTAAAATGCCTAAGATATGTGAGGAGTCTCTATCATTAGAATAATTGGGTTTGGCTAGGAATTTCTCCCGTTAGAATGCCTGGGGTCAGCCAAAGTCTCTCTCATTAGAGTGCCTGGGGTTGAGCAGCTAGCTCTATACTTGGACTGACTGAGGTTGCACAGGTGTCTCCATTACTAGAATGCGTGAGTTTGGCCAGGAATCTCTCTCATAGACAGAGTCTTCCAGGTGTTTGTATTCTTAAAATGACTGAGGTCATATATTTATCTATCATTAGAATACCTGGGGTAGGTCAAAAGTCTATGTTATTATAATGTCTGCAGTCGGCCGGAAGTCTCTCTCATTAGAATGCCTGGAATTGGGCAAGTGTCTCTATCCTTAAAAATAGCTGAGGTTGCACAGGTGTCTCATTCATTACAATGTCTGAGGTCGGCCTGAAGTCTCTCCCATTAGAAAGCCTTGGGTTAGGCACGTGTCTTTATCTTAGGAATGCCTGAGGTCACCCAGGTGCCTCTATCATTAGAATGGTGGGTGTCTGCCAGGAGTCTCTCCAGTTAGAAGGCATGGGGTCAGTCAGGGGCCTCTCCAGTTAGAATGCCTGGGTCAGCCAGGTACCTCTATCCTTAAACTACCTGAGGTTACACAGGTGTCTCTCTTATTAGAATGCCTGGGGTCAGTCAGGAGTCTCTACCATTAGAATGTCTGGGGTTGGCCAGGAGTCTCTAAGATTAGAATGCCTGAAGTCGGCCAGGTATCTGTATCCTTAGAATGCCTGAGGTCCTCCTGGTGTCTCTATTATTAGAATGCCTGGAGTCGGAGAGGAGTCTCTCTCATTAGAAGGCCTGGGATCAATTAGGACTCTCTCCTGTTAGAATGCCTGGGGTCAGCCAGGTGTCTCTAACCTTAGAATGCCTGAGGTCACACAGCCATCTCTATCATTAGAAAGCCTGGGGTCAAAAAGGAGTCTCTATCATTAGAATCCCTATGATTGGCCAGGAATCTCTCCAGTTAAAATGCCTGGGGTCAAACTGCTCTATCCTTAGAATGCCTGAGGTCGCCCAGGTGTCTCTATCATTAGAATGCCTAGGGTCGGCCAAAAGTCTCTCCAGGTAGAATGTCTGTGGTCCACCAGGTGTCTCTATCCTTAGCATGCCTGAGATTGCCCAGGTGTCTTTATCATTATAATGCCTGGGTTCATTTAGGAGTTTCTATCATTAGAATGCCTGCGTTTGGCTAGGAGTCTCTTCTGTAGAATGCCTGGGGTTGGCCAGGAGCCTCTCTCATTAGAATGCCTTGGGTTGGCCAGGTGTCTTTATCCTTACAATGACTGAGGTCACACGGGTGTCTCTATCATTAGAATGCCTGGAGTAGAACAGGAGTCTCTATCAATAGAAGACCTATCCTCATCCCGTTAGAATGCCAGGGGTCAGCCAAGAGTGTCTATCATTAGAATGCCTGGTGTTGGCCAGGAGTCTTCCTGTTTTAATGCCTGGGGTTGGCAAGGTGTCTCTATTCTTAGAATATGAGAGGTCGTCCAGGTGTCTCAATTATTAGAATTCCTGTGGTAGGCTAGGAGTTTCTCCAGTTAGAATGCCTATGGTTGTCCACGTGTCTCTATTTTTTAGAATGCAGGGTTTCAGCCTGGAATCTCTATTATAAGAATGGCTGGAGTCAGCCAGGAGTTTCTCCTATTAGATTGCCTGAGGTCCCCCAGGTGTTTCTATCACTAGATTGCCTAGAGTCAACCAGAAGTCTCTTCACTTAGAATGCCTGGGGACAGCCAGGAGTATCTCCCGTTAGAATGCTTGGGTTCTGCCAGGTGTTTCTGTCCTTAGAATGTTTGAGATTGCACAGGTATCTCTATCATTAGAGTGACTGGGTCGGCTACGAGTCTGTATCATTAGAATGCCTGGGGTCGGCCAGAAGCCTCTCCAGTTAGAATCCCTAGGGTCAGCCAGGTGTCTCTATCCTTAGAATGACTGAGGTCACACAGGTGTCTCTATCATTAGAGCGATTTGGGTCAACCAGGAGTCTTTATCATTAAAATGCCTGGGGTCAGCCAGGTATCTCTCACGTTAGAATGCCTGGGGTTGACTAGGTGTCTCTATCTTTAGAATGACTGAGGTTGCACAGGTGTCTTTAGTATTAAAATGCCTGTGGTTGGCCAAAAGTCTTTATCATTAGAATGCCTGGGGTTGGCTGGGACTCTCTCCTCTTGGAATGTCTGCAGTGTCCCAGAGGTTTTTATCCTTAGAAAGCATGAGGTCTTTCAGGTGTCTCTGTCATTAAAATACCTGTGGTAGGCCAGGAGTATCTATAATTAGAATGCCTTGGGTAGGCCCAGTGTCTTTCTCATTAGAAGGCCTGGGGTTGGCCAGGAGTCTTTTCTTCTGGAATTTCTTGGGTCTAGAATGTCTTGGCCCTGGGGGCTGTATCCTTAGAATGCATGAAGTCCTCCAGGTATCTCTATCATTAGAATGTCTAGGGTCTTCCAGGAGTCTCTATAATTAGAAAGCCTGGGGTCAGACAGGGGTCTCTTCAGTTAGAATGTTAGGGGTCCACCAGGAATCTCTCCCTTTGGAATGCCTGGGGTTGGCCAGGTGTCTCCTTCTATGGGATGCCTGATGTTGCCCAGGTGTCTCTTTCATTAGAATTCCTGTGGTCAGCCAGGAGTCTCTCCCATTGGAATGCCTGAGGTCGCCCAGGTGTTTCTATTATTAGAATGCTTGGGGTCATCCAGCAATCTTTATCATTGGAGTGCATGGGTTTGGCCAAGACTCTTTTTGATAGAATTTCTGGAATTGGTCAGGTGTCTCTATCCTTAGAATGCCAGAGGTCCCACAGGTGTCTCTATTATTAGAGTGCCTGGGATAAGCTAGGAGTGTCTATCATTTGAATGCCTGGTGTCGGCCAGGAGTCTCTCTCGTTAGAAAGACTAGTGTGGGGCAGGTGTCACTATTAGAATGCCGGAGATCGCCCATGTGTCTCTATCTTTAGAATGCCTGGGGTCACCCAGGAGTCTTTCCCTTTAGAATGCCTGTGTTTGGTCACGTGTCTCTATCCTTAGATTGCCTGAGGTCGCACAGGTTTTTCTGATTAGAACGAGTGGGATAGGAAAGGAGTCTCTCCCATTAGAATGCCTGGGGTCGGCCAGGAGTTTGTCCTGTTAGAGTGCCTGTGGTCGGCCAGGTGTCTCTATTTTTAGAATGGTGAGATCGCCCCGATGTCTCTATTATTAGAATGCCTGGGGTCGGCCAGGAGTTCCTATTATTAGAATGTCTGGAGTCTTTCCAGTTAGTATGCATTGGGTCAGCGAGATGTCTCCATCCTTAACATACCTGAGGTTGCACAGGTTTCTCTATCATTAGAATAATAGGGTAGGCCAGGAACCTCTATAATTAGAATGCCTGAAGTCAGCCAAAACTCCTGTTAAAATGCCTGGGGTCAGCCAGGTGTCTCTATCCTTAGAATCCCTGCAGTCACACAGGTGTCTGTTATTAGAAAGCTTTTTGGTAGGCCTGGAGTCTCTATTATTGGAAAGAGTACTGTCTGCCAGAAGTCTCTCATTAGAATGTTTCAGGTCTGCCAGGTGTTTTTATTCTTAGAATGCCTGAGTAAGCCCAGGTGTCTCTATCATTAGAATGCTTGGGGTTGGCCAGTAGTCTCTCCTGTTAGATTGCCTGGGGTCGGCCAGGAGTCTCTTCCATTAGAATGTTTGGGTCATACTGGTGTCTCTGTTTTTAGACTGTCTGAGGTCAAACAGGTGTCTATCATTAGACTGCTTGGGATACATCAGGATTTTATATCATTAGAATGTCTGGGGTCGACCTGGAGTCTCTCCTACTAGAATGCCTGGAGTCAGCCAGGTGTCTCTATACTTAAAATGTCTGAGGTTGCACAGGTGTCTCTATTATTAGAGTTCCTGGGCTAGTACAAGGGTCTCCATCAGTAGAATGCCAGGAGTTGGCCAGGAGTCTCTCCTGTTAGAATACCTGGGTCAGCCTGGTCTCCCTATATTTAGGAAGCCTGAGGTCACCCAGGTGTCTCTGTCATTAGAATGCCTGGGGTCAGCCAGGAGTCTCTATCATTAGAATGCCTGGGGTGGTCAAGGAGTCTCTCCCTTTAAAATGCCTGTGTTCAGTTAGGGATCTCTATCCTTAGAATGCCCGAGGTCCCACAGGTTTCTCTATCATTAGAATGAGTGAAATAGGCCAGGAGACTCTATCATTAGAATGCCTGTGGTCGGCCAAGAGTCTGTCCCATTAGAATGCCTTTGTTCGGCCAGGTGTCTCTACCCTTAGAATGCCTGAGGTCGCCCATGTGTCTTTATCATTAGAAAGCCTGCAGTCGTCCAAGAGTCTCTCTTGTTAAAATGCCTGGAGTCAGCCAAGTGTCTATATTTTTAGAATGCCTGAGTTCACTCTAGCATCTATATCATTAGAATGCCTGTGGTCTTCCAGTAGTCTCTCTCGTTAGAATGCCTGGGGTCAGCATGGAGTCTCTCACATAAGGTGTTTTGGTCTCCCAGGTGTATCTATTTTCAGAATGCCTAAGGTTGCACAGGTGTCTATCATTGGAATGCCTAGGACAGGCCAGGAATCTCTAACATTAGAATGCCTGCAGTCGCCCTGGAGTCTCTCAAGTTAGAATGCCTGGGGTCGGCCAGGTGTCTCTATTCATAAAAATGCCTGAGGTTTCACAGGTGTTTCTATCACTAGAGTGCCTGAGCTAGGCCAAGTGTCTCTATAATTAGAATGCCTGATGTCGCCTTGGTATCTCTATTATTAGAATGCCTGGAGTCAGAAAGGTGTCTCCCCTGTTATAATGTCTGCATTTCGGCCAGGTGTCTTTATCCTTAGAACTCCTGAGGTCATCCAGATGTCTCTATCATTAGAATGCCTGGGTCAGTGAAGAGTCTCTATTACTAGAATGCCTGTGGTTGACCAAAAACCTCTCCCGTTAAAGAGCCTTGGGTGGTCCAGGTGTCTCTTTCCTTAGAATGCCTGGTGTCACCCAGGTGTCTGTATTATGAAAATGCCTGCGCTATGACAGGAGCCTCCATCATTGAAATGCCTGGGGCTATAAAGCCTAGTGTCGGCCAGTTGTCTCTCTCCTTACAATGCCTGATGTCACCTGAGTGTCTGTATCATTAGAATGCCTGGGAAGAGCTAAGAGTCTCTGTCATTAGAATGCCTTGTGTTGGCCAGAAGTCTCTCTCATTAGAATGCCAGGGGTTGGCCAGGTGTCTCTATTGTTAAAATTCCTGAGGTCTCACAGGTGTCTCTATCATTAGAATGCCTGATGTAGTCCAGACGTCTCTGCCTTTAGAATGCCTTGATTTGCCCAGGTGTCTCTGTCATTAGAATGCCTGAGGTCACACAAGTGTCTCTATCATTAGAATGCTTGAAGTAAGCCAGGAGTCTCTATCTAAATTTAAATGTCTGGGGTCAGACAGGAGTCTCTTGTTAGAATATTTGGGGTCGGCCAGGTGTCTCTATTCATAGAATTCCTAAGGTCGCTGAGGTGTCATTAGCAGTAGAATGACTGGAGTTGGCAATGAGTCTTTATCATTAGAATACCTAGAGTTGGCCAGGAGTCTCTCTTGTTAGAATGCCTCAGATCAGCCAGGTGTCTCTATCCTTAGAATGCCTGAGGTCACACAGTTAGCTCTATTTTTAGAATGCCTGAAGTCGCCCACCTGTCTCTATCACAAAAATGCCTTGAGTTTGCCAGGAGTATCTCTTGTTAGAATGTCTGGGGTCAGCCAGGTGTCTACCCTTAGAATGTCTGAGGTCACACAGGTGTCTCTACCGTTAAAATGCCTTGGAGAGTCCAGGAGCGTTTACCTCACTTGTTAGAATGTCTGGAGTCGTCCAAGTGTCTCTATCCTTCGAATGACTGAGGTTACACAGGTGTCTATATTATTGGAATGCTTGGGGATGGCCAGGAGCCTCTATCGTTAGAATGCCAGAGGTCGACAAGTTGTCTATCTTGTTAAAATGGCTGGGTCAGCCTGGAACTCTCTATCTTTAGGAAGCCTGAGGTCACCCAGGTGTCTCTATTATTAGAATGCCTGGGGTCAGCCAGGAGTCTATCATTAGAATAACGTCCAATTGTCTCTATCCTTTGAATGACTGAGGTCAGACAGGTATCTCTCCTCTTAGAATGCCTGGGGTCAGACAGGTGCCTCTATCCTTAGAATGCCTGAAGTCACGCAAGTGTCTCTGTCATTACAATGCCTGGTGTCGGACTATTGTCTCTTTTAATAGAATGCCTGGGTTAGACCAGGAATCTTTCCCATTAGAATGCCTGTTGTTCTCTGGGTGTCTCTATCCTTAGAATACCTGAGGTTGCTAAGCTGTCTCTATCATTAGTATGCCTGGGGTTGGCCAGGTGTCTTTATCATTAGATTGCCAGGGGTCATCCAGGAGTCTCTCCCATTAGAAGGCCTGGGGTTGTTCAGGTGTCTATCCTTATAAAGCCTGAGATCGCCCAGGTGTCTGTAACATTAGAATTCCTATGGTGGCCAGGTGTCTTTATCCTTGGAATGCCTGAGGTCGCTCAGGTGTATCTATCATTTTAATGCCCATGATTGGCCTGGATTTTCTCCCATTAGAATGCCTGGGTCAGCCAGAAGTCTCTCACATTAGAATGCCTGTGATGGTCAGGTGTTTTTACCCTTAGAATGCTTGAGATTTCCCAGGTGACTCTGTCATTGTAATGCCTATTTTTCGCCAGGAGTCTCTATAATTAGAATGTCTGGGGGAGGCAAAGGATGTCTCCCATTAGGATGTGTGGGGTCGCTGACCTGTGTCTAATCTTAGAATGACTGAAATCACCTAGGTATCTCTCACATTAGACTGCGTGGTGTTGGCCAGGAGTCTCTATCATTAGAATGCTCGGGTCAGCAAGGAGTCTCTCCAGTTAGAATGCCTGGAGTTGGCCAGGTGTCTCCATCCTTAGAATGACTGAAGTTCCACACGGGTCTATCATTGGAATTCCTTGATAGGCCAGGAGTCTCTATCTTGTGCTATCTTGTGTCCACCAGTAGTCTCTCCTGTTAGAATGCCTGGGTTTGACCAGATGCCTCTATCCTATAATGAGTGAGGGGGCACAGGCATCTATCATTAGAATGCCTGAGATGAGCCAGGATTCTCTATCATTAGAATGCTTGTTTTTGGCCTGGATTGTCTCTGTCACAATGCTTGTTTCTCTATCCTTAAAATGTCTGAGGTCGTAAAGGTGACTGTATCATTAGAATGCCTGGGGTAGACCAGGAGTCTCTATCATGAGAATGCCTGGGGTTGGCCAGGAGTCTCTCCCAATAAAATGCCTGGGATTTGACCAGGTGTCTTTGTCGTTAGAAAGGTGAGGTCGCCAAAGTATCTCTATCATTAGAATGCCTGAGGTTGGCAAGAAGTCTCTATCATTAGAGTGCCTGGGGTCGTCCAAGAGTCTTTCCCCTTAGAATGCCTAGCGTGCACCATGTGTCTCTATCCTTAAATTGCCTGAAGTCGCACAAATGTCTCTATCATTAGAATGCCTGAGATCAGATAGCAGTCTCTATCATTAGAAGGCCTGGGGCCTGCCAGGAGTCTCTCCCATTAGAATGCCTGGAATCGGCCAGATGTCTCTAGGGTTAAAATGTCTGAGGTCACACCAGTGTCTCTATCATTAGAATTCTTGGTGTAGGCCAGGAATCTTTATCATTAATAAGCCTGGGGTCAGCCAGGAGTCTTTCCCATAGGAATGTATTGGGTCAGCCAGGTGTCTCTATCCTTATAATGCCTGAGGTCATCAAGCTGTTTCTATCACTTGAATGCCTGGGGTCAGCAAGGACTTTCTCCCATTAGTATACTTGGGGTCACTCAGGTGTCTCTATTATTAGAGTGCGTGTGGTCAGCCAGATGTCTCTATCATTAGAATGCCTGATGTTGGCAAGAAGTCTCTACCATTAAACAGCCTGAGGTCCCTCAGCTCTCTCTATCATTAGAATGCCTGAGGTCGGCCCAGAGTTTCTCTGGTTAAAAAGTCTGGGGTCGTCCAGAAGTCTCTCCCATTAGAATGCTTGGAGTCAGCCAGGTGTCTCTATCCATAGAATTCCAGTGGTGGCACAGGTGTCTCTATCATTAGAGTGCCTTGGTTAGGCCAGGTGTCTATCATTAGAATGCCTGGTGTCAACCAGGAGTCTCTCCCATTATAATTCCTGGGGTCGGCCAGGTGTCTCTATCCTTAGAATAAAGTTGCACAGGTGTCTAACATTAGAATGCTTGGGATACGCCAGGATTCTTTATCATTACAATACCTGTGGTCAGCCTGGAGTCTCGCCCATTAAAATGCTAGTGTTGGGCTGTTGTCTTAACCCTTAAAATGGCTGAGGTTGCAGAGGTGTCTCTATCATTAGAATGCCTGGGTTCGGCCAGGAGATTCTCACATTAGAATTCCTGGGATCAGTCAGGAGTTTCTCCGATGAGAATGCCTTAGGTTGACCAGAAGACTCTATCATTAGAATACCTGGAGTTGTCCAGGAGTGTCTACCATTAGAATGCCTTGGCTCAACCAGAACTCTCTCCCATTAGAATGCCTGGGATGGGCCAGAAGTCTATCCCATTAGAATGCTTGTGGTCATCCAGGTATTTCTATTCTTTAAAAGGCTGAGCCTGCACACTTGTCTTTATCATTAGAATACCTGGAGTCGGCCAAGAGTCTCCCCCGTTAGAATGCCTAAGCGAGGTGTCACTATGATTAAAATGTCTAAGGTTGCACAGGTGTCTCTATAATTAGAATGCCTGCAGTCAGCCTGGTCTGGTGTGTCTACACTTAGAATGCCTGAGGTCACCCGGGTGTCTCTCTCATTACAATGCCTGGGGTTGGCCAGGAGTCTCTCCTGTTAGAATGCCTAAGGTCAGCCAAACATCTCTGTCCTTAGACTGTCTGAGGTCGCCCAGGTTTGTCTATCATTAGAATGCCTGGAGTCATCCAGAAGTCTTTATCATTTGAATGTCTTGTGTCTTCCAGTAGTCTCTTTCATTAGAATGCCTGTGGTGAGCCAGGTGTCTCTATTCCTAGAATGCTCGAGTTCCCCCAGCTGTCTCTATCATTAGAACACCTGGTGTCAGCCAGGTGTCACTATCATTTGAAGTCCTGGGGTCGGCCAGGACTCTTTCTTATTGTAATGCCCGTGGCAGGTCAAAAGTCTTTCCAGTTAGAATGCCTGGAGTCGGCCAGGTGTCACTATCCTTAAAATGCCTTATATCACAAAGGTGTCTCTGTCATTAGAATGCCTGGTGTAGGCCAGGTGTCTGTATCAATAGAACACCTGAAGTTGGCAAGGAGTATTCCCATTAGAATGCCTGGGGTCAGCCAGGTGTCTCTATCCATTAAATGCCTGGGGTCAGTCATGAGGCTCTCCCCTCAGAATGCCTTGGGTCAGCCAGGAGTCTTTCCCGATAGAATGCCTGGGGTCAACCACGTGTTTCTATCTTTAGAATGCCTGAGGTTCCACAGGTGTCTCTATTATTAGAGCACCTGCAGTAGGCCAGGAATCCCTGTCATTCAAATGCCTGGAGTCAGCAATAAGTCTCTCCCTTTAAAATGCCTGGGATAGGCCAGGTGTCTTTATTCTTAGAATGCCTGAGGTCGTCCAGGTGTCTCTTTTATTAAATGCTTGAGGGCGGCCAGCAGTCCCTATCATAAAAATGCCTGGTGTTGGCCAGAAGTCTCTTCCATTCAAATGCCTGGGGTTGGCCACTTGTCTCTATAGTTAGAATGCTTGAGGCCACCCAGGTGTCTCTATCATTAGAATGCTTGTGGTCGGCCATAAGTCTCTACTGTAAAAACGCCTGGGATCAGCCCAGGTATCTCTAACCTTAGAATGCATGAGACCACACAGGTGTCTTTATTTTTAGAATGCCTGGGATTGGCCAGGAGTCTCTATCATTAGAATGACTGGGGTCTGCCAGGAGTCTCTCCCTTTAGAATGCCAAGGTTTTGCCAGGAGTCTCCCTGATAGAATGTCTCATTCAGCCAGGTGTCTTTGTACTTAGAATGTCTGAGGTTGCACATTTGCCTCTATCTTTAGAATGCCTAGGTTGGGCCAGGAGTCTCTCCAGTTAGAATGACTGGGTTTGCCCAGGAGCCTCTCCAGCTCGAATGCCTGGGGTTGGCCTTGTGTCTCTATCTTTAGGATGCCTGAGGTCACCCAGGTGTCTCTATCAAAAGAATGTCCTGGGTGGCCCAGGAGTCTCTATTATAAGAATGCCTGGTGTGGGCCAGGAGTCTCTCCCATTAGAATAACTGGGGTTGGCCAGATGTCTATACCCTTAAAATTTCTGTGGTCCCACAGGTGTGACCATCATTGGAATGCCTGGGTAGGTCAGGAGTCTCTGTCATTAGAATGTCTCAGGATGGCCAGAAGTCTCTATTGTTAGAATGTCTGAAATTGTCCAGGTGTTCCTACCCTTAGAATGCCATAGGTCACTCAGATGTCCCTATCATTGAAAAGCCTGTAGTTGTCCAGTAGTCTCTCCAATTAGAATGCCCAGGGTCACCCAGGTGTTATTTTTTGTTTGTTTGTTTGTTTGTTTTGACTAAATTTCACTCTCATTGCCCAGGCTGGAGTGCAGTGGTGTGATCTCAGCTCACCACAACTGCCGCCTCCCGGGTTGAAGTGATTCTCCTGCCTAACAGTCCAGAGAACCTGGGATTACAAGCATGTGCCACCAAGCCTGACTAATTTTGTATTTTTTGTATACAAGGGGTTTCTCCATGTTGGTCAGGCTGGTCTCAAACTCCCAACCTCAGGTGATCCACCCACCTTGTCTTCCCAAAGGGCTTGGATTGCAGAAGTGAGCCATCATGCCAGTCTGGCCAGGTATCTTTATCCTTTGAATGCCTGAGGTCTCCCAGGTGACCCTATCGTTAGAATGCCTGAGGTCAACGAGGAGTATTTCCCTTTAGAATGCCTGGGGTTGGCCAGGTGTCTCTATCCTTAAAATGCCTGAGGTCGCCCAGGTGTTTTTATCATTCCAATACTTGGAATCTGCCATGAATCCCTATCATTAGAATGCCTGGGGTCAGCAATGAGTCTCTCCTATTAGAATGCCTATGATAGCAATGTGTCTTTATCCTTGGAATGCCTGAAGTAACTAAGGTGTGCCTATCATTTGGATGCCTGTGGTCAGCCTGGATTCTCTCTTGTTAGAATGCCTGGGGTCAGCCAGGAGTCTCTATCCTTAGAATGCCTGAGGTCACATAGGTGTCTCTGTCATTAGAATGGCTGGGATAGTCTTTCCCGTTAGAATGACTGGGATCAGCCAGGAGTCTCTGTCATTAGAATGCCCGGGGTCAGCCAGGAATCTCTCCTGTTAGAATGCCTTGGTTTGGCCAGAATTTTCTCCCATTAGAATGCCTGGTGTCAGCTAGGTGTCTCTATCCTCAGAATGCCTGATGTCACACAGGTGTCTCTTTTATTGGAATGTCTGGGGTCAGCCAGTAGTCTCTATCATTAGAATGCCAGGGGATTGGCCTGGAGTGTCTTCCATTAGAATACCTGGCCCCAGCCAGGTGCCTCTATCCTTAGAATGCCTGAGGTCTCACAGTTGTCTCTATCATTAGAATGCCTGGGGTTGGCCAGGAATCTTCCTCATTAGAATGCCTTTTGTCTGCCAGATGTGTCTGTCCTTAAAATATCAGAGGATGCACAGGTGACATTATCATTGGAATGCCTGTAGTAAGCCAGGAGTTTCTATCGTTAAAATTTCTGGGGCTCACCAGGTGTCACTACCCTTAAAATGGCTGAGGTCATGCAAGTGTTTCTAACATTACAATGCTGGGGTAGGCCAGGAGTCTCTATCATCAGAATGCCTGGGGTAGGCCAGGAGTCTCTCCCATTAGAATGCCTTGTGCTGGCTATGTGTCTCTATCCTTAGAATGCCTGAGGTCAACCAGGTATCTCTATCATTAGAATACTTAAGGTCAGCCAGGAGTCTCTATCAGAATATCTGTGATGATCCAGGAGTCTCTTTCTGTAGAATGCCTGGGGCGGGCAAGGTGTCTATATCCTTTGAATGCCTGAGGTCTAACAGGTGTCTCTATCATTGGAATGCCTGGAGTGAGCCAGGACTCTCTGACATTAGAATGTCTCGGGATAGCCAGGAGTCTCTATTGTTAGAATGCCTGGGGTTGTTCAGGTGTTCCTACCTTTAGAATGCCATTGGCCTCCCAGGTGTCTCTGTCTTTAGAAATCCTGGGTTTGACCAGGAGTCTCTTCCGTTAGAATGCTCAAAGTCGATAAGGAGTTTCCATCCTTAGAATGCCTGAGTTCCCCCAGGTGTTCCTATAATTAAAATGCCAGGAGTTGGCCAGGAGTCTCTATCTTTAAAATGCCTGTTGGAAATAAGAGCTCAGAGTCACAAACGAAACGAGGACTCAAAGAATTTCTCAGCAAGGCAAATTTACTTCTGCAGAAGGGTGCTGCTCATTCTTCTGGTCACTGTGAGAGCACACCGAACAAAGGAGGGAAGGGGTTTTTATCCCTAATGCTGTCAGTCCCTACTATTTTGTCCGTCACCCATTGGCTGGGGTTGGACCACAAAATCTAAGTTCACTCTGATTGGCTACTTCAAAAGGGAGCAGGGGTGGGGTCTACAGCAGTAGGAAGAGCAGTTTCGGAACTAAGAGCACCAAGTAAGGAAGCAATGTGGTTTGTTACAGATAGAGAATGGATGTGGGTTACAGATTGGGAAAGGATGTGGGTTACAGATTGGGAATGGCTGGAATGTTTACTGTAACTAGGGGTAAGTAGGCAAGGAAGTTGTGCTTTGAAAATAGAGGACAAGTAGAACCTTTGAAGAGGAACTCACTGTTTCCAACAGCCAGGGCTCTCTCTTGTTAGAATTCCAGGGGTCTGCCAAAAGTCTCTCCTATTAGAATGCCTTGGATTGGCCAGATGTAAGTGTCTCTATCCTTAGAATGTCTGCGGTCACCCAGGTGTCACTATCATTAGAATGCCAAGGGTCAGCTAGGGATCTGTCATGTTAGAATGCCTGAGTTCTGCCAGTAGTGTCTCCCATGAGACTGCCTGGGGTCAGCCAGATATCTCTATCCTTAGAATGCCTCATGTCACACAGCTGTCTCTATCATCAGATTGCCTGAGTAGGGCAGGAGTCTCTATCATTAGAATGCCTTTTTTTGGCCAGGATTCTCTCCCTTTAGAATGCCTGGGATTGGCGAGGTGTCTTTTTCTTTAGAATGACTGAGGTCACACAGGTGTCTCTATCATTAGAATGTCTTGAATAGGCCAGGAATCTCTATTATTAGAATGCCTTGGGTAAGACAGGAGTCTCTATAATTGGAATGCCTGTGGTGACCCAGGTGTGTCTATCCTTAGAATGCTTGAGGTCCCACAGGCGTCTCTATAATTAGAATGCCAATGATAGGCCAAAAGTCTCTATCATTAAAATGCCTGGGATTGGCAAGAAGTTTCTCTCATTAAAATGCCTGTGGTTGGCCAGGTGTCTCTATCCTTAGAATGCCTGTTGTTGCCAAGGTGTCTATAACATTAAATTCCTGAGGTTGGCCATGAGTCTCTCCTGGTAGAATGCCTGGAGTCAGCCAGGGGTCTTTCTTGTTAAAATGACTGGGCTTGGCCTGGTGTATCTACCATTATAGCACCTGGGATAGTCGAATTGTCTCTATTAAGAGGAAGCCTGATTGTGACCAGAAGTCTCTCCCTGTTACAGAGTCTGGGGTTGCCCAAGTGTCTCTATCATTAGAATTTGTGGGGTTGGCCAAAAGTCTCTATCCTTAAAATGTCTGAGGTTGGCCAGTGGTCTCTCCCATTACAATGTCTTGGATCAGCAAGGTGCCTCTATTTTTAAAATTCCTGTGGTCTCACAGATTTCTCTAACCTTGGAATGCCTGGAGTAGGCCTGGAGTGTCTATCAATAGAAAGCCTGGTGTCAGTCAGGAGTCTCTCCCATTAGAATGTCTTGGGTCACACAGGTTTCTCTGTCTTTAGATTGCCTGAGGTCACAGAGGTGTCTCTATTATTAGAATGCCTGGAATGAGTCAGGAGTCTGTTCCCTTAAAAGGCCTGAGTTCGGCCACTTGTCTATCTTTAGATTTCTTGTGGTCACCCAGGTGTCTCTATAATCAAAATGCTGGGGGTTGGCCAGGAGCATCTATTATTAGAATGCCTGGGGTCTGTCAGGATTCTCTCCCATTAGAATGCCTGGGGTCTCCAAGGTGTCTCAATCCTTAGAAAGACTGAGGTAGCACAGGTTTCTTTATCATTAGAACCCCTAGGGTCTGCCAGAGGTCTCTATGATTAGATTGCTTATGGTAAGCAGGAGTCTTTTTTGATAGAATGACTGGGGTCGACCAGGTGTCTATCCGTAGAATGCCTTAGGTCCTTCACATATCTCTATAATTAGAATGGCTGAGACTGGCCAGGAATTTCTACATATAGAATGCCTGAGGTTGGCCAGTAGTAGCTACCTTTAGAATAGCTGGGGTGGCCAGGAGTCTCTCCCATTAGAATGCCAAAGGTAGGTCAGGTGTTTCTATCCTTAGAATGCCTCAGGTCACAATCATTATGATACTTGAGGCAGGACAGGTGTTTCTAACATTAGCATGTCTGGGGTGGGCCAGGAGTCTCTCCCATTAAAATTATTGTGGTAGGCCAGGTGTCGCTACCCTTAAAATGTCAGATGTTGTGTAAAAGTCTCTATGATTAGAATGCCTAGGGTTGGCCAGGAGTCTCTGCAGTTAGATTGCATGGAATCAGCCACGTGTCTCTATTTTTAGAATGCCTGATGTTGCACAGTGTTTCTCTCATTAGAATGCCTGCAGTCGGCCAGGAGTCTTTCCCATTAGAATGCCTGGGGTCAGCCAGGTGTCTCTCCTGCTAGAATGCCTGGGGTTGGCCAGGTGTATATTTCTTTAGAATGCCTGAGGTTTCAAAGGTGTGTCTTTCCCATTAGAATGCCTGGGGTCAGCCAGGTGTCTCTCCTGCTAGAATGCCTGGGGTTGGCCAGGTGTATATTCCTTTAGAATGCCTGAGGTTTCACAGGTGTTTCTTTCATTAGAATGTCTTTGATAGACCAGCAGTTTTTATCATTAGAATGCCTTCAGTCAGTAAGGAATCTCTACTGTTAGAATGCCTGGGATCATCCAGTTGTCTCTATCCTTAGAATGCCTAAGGTCCCACAGGTGTCTCATTAGAATGCAGGGGATAGGCCAGGAGTCTCTATCATTAGAAAGCCTGGGGTCAGCCAGGAGTCTATCCCATTTGAATGCTTGGGGTTAGCCAGGTGTCTCTATCTTTCGAATGATGAGGTCACCCAGGTGTCACTTTCATTAGAATGCGTGGGATTGGGCAGGAGTCTCTGTTCCTAGAATGCCTTGGGTAGGCCAGGGTTCTTTTCCATTACAATGACTGGGTTTGACCAGGTGCCTCTATGCTGAGAAGGCCTGAGGCCACACAAGTGTCTCTATCATTACAATGCCTAGGGTAGGACTGTAGTCTCTATCAACAGAAAGCCTTGTAGTCTGCCAAGAGACTCTCCAGATAAAATGCCTTGGGTCAAACAGGTTTCTCTATCCTTAGAATGCCTGAATTTGCAGAGGTGTCTTTTTTTTTTAATTGTACTTTAGGTTTTAGGGTACTTGTGCACAACGTGCGGGTTTATTACTTATATATACATGTACCATATTGGTGTGCTGCAACCATTAACTCGTCATTTAATATTAGGTATATCTCCTAGTGCTATCCCTCCCCCCTCCCTCCATCCCACAACAGGCCCTGGTGTGTGATGTTCCCCTTCCTGTGTCCATGTGTTCTCATTGTTCAATTCGCACCTATGAGTGAGAACATGGGGTGTTTGGTTTTTGGTCCTTGCAATAGTTTGCTGAGAATGATGGTTTCCAGCTTCATCCATGTCCCTACAAAGGACATGAACTCATCATTTTTTATGGCTGCATAGTATTCCATGGTGTATAAGTGCCACATTTTCTTAATCCAGACTAACATTGTTGGACACTTGGCTTGGTTCCAAGTCTTTGCTATTGTGAATAGTGCTGCAATAAACAGACGGATGCATGTGTCTTTATAGCAGCATGATTTATAATCCTTTGGGTATATACCCAGTAATGGGATGGCCGGGTCAAATCATATTTCTAGTTCCAGATCCCTGAGGAATCGCCACACTGACTTCCATAATAGTTGAACTAGTTTACAGTCCCACCAACAGTGTAAAAGTGTTCCCATTTCTCCACATCCTCTCCAGCACCTGTTGTTTCCTGACTTTTTAATGATTGCCATTCTAACTGGTGTGAGATGGTATCTCATTGTGGTTTTGATTTGTAATTCTCTGATGGCCAGTGATGATGGGCATTTTTTCATGTGTCTTTTGGCTGCATAAATGTCTTCTTTTGAGAAGTGTCTGTTCATATCCTTCGTCCACTTGTTGATGGGGTACTTTGTTTTTTTTTTGTAAATTTGTTTGAGTTCATTGTAGATTCTGGGTATTAGCCCTTTGTCAGATGAGTAGATTGCAAAAATTTTCTCCCATTCTATAGGTTGCCTGTTCACTCTGATGGTAGTTTCTTTTGCTGTGCAGAAGCTCTTTAATCTAATTAGATCCCACTTGTCAATTTTGGCTTTTGTTATCATTGCTTTTGGTGGTTTAGACATGAAGTCCTTGCCCATGCCTATGTCCTGAATGGTAATGCTTAGGTTTCTTCTAGGGTTTTTGTGGATTTTTGTCTAACATTTAAGTCTTTAATCCATCTTGAATCAATTTTTGTATAAGGTGTAAGGAAGAGATCCAATTTCAGCTTTCTACATATGGTTAGCCAGTTTTCCCAGCACCATTTATTAAATATGGAATCCTTTCCCCATTGCTTAATTTTGTCATGTTTGTCAAAGATCAGATAGTTGTAGATATGTGGCACTGTTTCTGAGGGCTCTGTTCTGTTCCATTGATCTATATCTCTGTTTTGGTACCAGTACCATGCTGTTTTGGTTACTGTAGCCTTGTAGTGTAGTTTGAAGTCAGGTAGCGTGATGCTTCCACCTTTGTTCTTTTGACTTAGGATTGACTTGGCAATGTGGGCTCTTTTTTGGTTCCATATGAACTTTAAAGTAGTTTTTTCCAATTCTGTGAAGAAAGTCATTGATAGCTTGATGGGGATCGCATTGAATGTATAAATTATCTTGGGTAGTATGGCCTTTTTCACGATATTGTTTCTTACTACCCATGAGCATGCAATGTTCTTCCATTTGTTAGTATCCTCTTTTATTTCCTTGAGCAGTGGTTTGTAGTTCTCCTTGAAGAGGTCCTTCACATCCATTGTAAGTTGGATTGCTAGGTATTTTATACTCTTTGGAGCAATTGTGAATGGGAGCTCACTCATGATTTGGCTCTCTGTCTGTTATTGCTGTATAAGAATGCTTGTGATTTTTGCACATTGATTTTGTATCCTGAGACTTTGCTGAAGTTGCTTATCAGCTTAAGGAGATTTTTGGCCTGAGGTGATGGGATTTTCTAGATATACAATCATGTCATCTGCAAACAGGGACAATTTGATGTCCTCGTTTCCTAATTGAATACCCTTTATTTCCTTCCCCTGCCTGATTTCCCTGGCCAGAACTTCCAACACTATGTTGAATAGGAGTGGTGAGAGACAACATCGCTGTCTTGTGCCAGTTTTCAAAGGGAATGCTTCCAGTTTTTGCCCATTCAGTATGATATTGGCTGTGGGTTTGTCATAGATAGCTCTTATTATTTTGAGATACATCCCATCAATACCTGATTTATTGAGAGTTTTTAGCATGAAGGGTTGTTGAATTTTCTCAAAGGTCTTTTCTGCATCTATTGAGATAATCATGTGGTTTTTATTGTTGATTCTGTTTATATGTTGGATAACATTTATTGATTTGTGTATGTTGAACCAGCCTTGCATCCCAGGGATGAAGCCCACTTGATCATGGTGAATAAGCTTTTTGATGTGCTGCTGGATTCGACTTGCCAGTATTTTATTGAGGATTTTTGCATTGATGTTCATCAGGGATATTTGTCTAAAATTCTCCTTTTTTGTTGTGTCTCTGCCAGGCTTTGGTAGCAGGATGATGCTGGCCTCATAAAATGAGTTAGGGAGGATTCCCTCTTTTTCTATTGATTGGAATAGTTTCAGAGGGAATGGTACCAATTCCTCCTTGAACTTCTGGTAGAATTCAGCTGTGAATCCATCTGGTTCTGGACTCTTTTTGGTTGATTAGCTATTAATTATTGCCTCAATTTCAGAACCTGTTATTGGTCTATTCAGAGATTCAACTTCTTCCTGGTTTAGTCTTGGAAGGGTGTATGTCTCAAGGAATTTATCCATTTCTTCTAGATTTTCTAGTTTATTTGGGTAGAGGTGTTTATAGTATTCTCTGATGGTAGTTTGTATTTCTGTGGGATCGGTGGTGATATCCCCTTTATCATTTTTTATTGTGTCTATTTGATTCTTCTCTCTTTTCTTCTTTATTAGTCTTGCTAGTGGTCTATCAATTTTGTTGATCCTTTCAAAAAACCAGTTCCTGGATTCATTAATTTTTTGAAGGGTTTTTTGTGTCTCTATTTCCTTCAGTTCTGCTCTGATTTTAGTTATTTCTTGCCTTCTGCTAGCTTTTGAATGTGTTTGCTCTTGCTTTTCTAGTTCTTTTAATTGTGATGTTAGGGTGTCATTTTTAGATCTTTCCTGGTTTCTCTTCTGGGCATTTAGTGCTATAAATTTCCCTCTACACACTGCTTTGAATGTGTCCCAGAGATACTGGTATGTTATGTTTTTGTTCTCACTGGTTTCAAACAACATCTTTATTTCTGCCTTCATTTCATTATGTACCCAGTAGTCATTCAGGAGCAGGTTGTTCAGTTTCCATGTAGCTGAGCGCTTTTGAGTGAGTTTCTTAATCTTGAGTTCTAGTTTGTTTGCACTGTGGTCTGAGAGACAGTTTGTTATAATTTCTGTTCTTTTACATTTGCTAAGGAGTGCTTTACTTCCAACTATGTGGTCAATTTTGGAATAAGTGTGGTGTGCTGAAAAGAATGTATATTCTGTTGGTTTGGGGTGGAGGGTTCTGTAGATGTCTAGTAGTTCCACTTGGTGCAGAGCTGAGTTCAACTCCTGGATATCCCTGTTAACTTTCTGTCTCGTTGATCTGTCTAATGTTGACAGTGGGGTGTTAAACTCTCCCATTATTATTGTGTTGGAGTCTGAGTGTCCTTCTAGGTCTCTAAGGACTTTTTTTCTGAATCTGGGTGCTCCTGTATAGGGTGCATATATATTTAGGATAGTTAGCTCTTCTTGTTGAATTGATCCCTTTACCATTATGGAATGGCCTTCTTTGTCTCTTTTGATCTTTGTTGGTTTAAATTCTGTTTTATCAGAGACTAGGATTTCAACCCCTGCCTTTTTTTGTTTTCCATTTGCTTGGTAGATCCTTCTCCATCCCTTTATTTTGAGCCTACCTGTGTCTCTGCACATGAGATGGGTTTCCTGAATACAGCACACTGATGTGTCTTGACGCATTATGCAATTAGCCAATCTGTGTCTTTTAGTTGGAGCATTTAGCCTCTTTACATTTAAGGTTAATATTGTTATGTGTGAATTTGATCCTGTCATTATGATTTTAGCTGGTTATTTTGCTCGTTAGTTGATGCAGTTTCTTCCTAACATTGATGGCCTTTACAATTTGGCCTGTTTTTGCAGTGGCTCGTACCGGTTGTTCCTTTCCGTGTTTAGTGCTTCCTTCAGGAGCTCTTTTAGGGCAGGCCTGGTGGTGACAAAATCTCTTAGCATATGCTTTTCTGTGTAGTATTTTATTTCTCCTTCACTTATGAAGCTTAGTTTGGCTGGATATGAAATTCTGGGTTGAAAGTTCTTTTCTTTAAGAATGTTGAATATTGGCCCCCACTCTCTTCTGGCTTGTAGAGTTTCTGCTGAGACACCAGCTGTTAGTCTGATGGGCTTTCCTTTGTGGGTAACCTGACCTTTCTCTCTGGCTGCCCTTAACATTTTTTCCTTCATTTCATCTTTGGTGATTCTGACAATTATTATATGTCTGGAAATTGTTCTTCCTGAGGAGTATCTTTGTGGCGTTCTCTGTATTTCCTGAATCTGAATGTTGGCGTGCCTTGCTAGATTGGGGAAGTTCTCCTGGATAATATCCTGCAGAGTGTTTTCCAACTTGATTCCATTCTCCCCGTCACTTGCAGGTACACCAGTCAGACGTAAATTTTTCTTTTCACATAGTCCCATATTTCTTCAAGGTTTTGTTTGTTTCTTTTTATTCTTTTTTCTCTAAACTTCTCTTCTCACCTCATTTCATTCATTTGATCTTCCATCACTGATACTCTTTCTTCCAGTTGTTCGAATCGGCTACTGGGGCTTGTGCATTCATCACGTAGTTCTTCTGTCATGGTTTTCAGCTGCATCAATCAGGTCCTTTAAGGACTTCTGTGCATTGGTTATTCTAGTTAGCCATTTGTCTAATGTTTTTCCAAAGTTTTAACTTCTTTGCCATGGGTTCGAATTTCCTCCTTTAGCTCAGATTAGTTTGATCATCTGAAGCCTTCTTCTCTCAACTCATCAAAGTCATTCTCTGTCCAGCTTTGTTCCATTGCTGCTGAGGAGTTGCATTCCTTTGGAGGAGAAGAGGCACTCTGACTTTTAGAGTTTCCAGTTTTTCTGCTGTGTATTTTCCCCATCTTTATGGTTTTATCTACCTTTGGTCTTTGATGATGGTGACGTACAGATGGGGTTTTGGTGTGGATGTCCTTTCTGTTTGTTAGTTTTCCTTCTAACTGTCAGGACCCTCAGCTGCAGGTCTGTTGGCATTTGCTGGAAGTCCACCCCAGACCCTGTTTGCCTGGGCATCAGCAGCAGAGGTTGCAGGACAGCGGATATTGGTGAACAGCGGATATTGGTGAACAGCCAATATTGCTACCTGATCGTTCCTCTGGAAGTTTTGTCTCAGAGTACTACGCTGTGTGTGAGGTGTCAGTCTGCTCCTACTGGGGGGTGCCTCCCAGTTAAGCTACTCGAGCGTCAGGGACCAACTTGAGCAGGCAGTCTGTCCATTCTCAGATCTCCAGCTGCATGCTGGGAGAACCACTGCTCTATTCAAAGCTGTCAGACAGGGACACTTAAGTCTGCAGAGGTTTCCGCTGCATTTTGTTTGGTTGTGCCCTGCACCCAGAGGTGGAGTCTACAGAGGCAGGCAGGCCTCCTTGAGCTGCGGTGGGCTCCACCCATTTCGAGCTTCCTGGCCACCTTGTTTACCTACTCAAATCTCAGCAATGGTGGGCGCCCTTCCCCCAGCCTTGCTGCCACCTTGCAGTTTTATCTCAGACTGCTGTGCTAGCAATGAGCAAGGCTCCGTGGGCGTAGGACCCTCCAAGTGAGGTGTGGGATACAATCTCCTGGTGTGCCGTTTGCTAGGACCTTTGGAAAAGCCCAGTTTTAGGGTGGGAGTGACCCGATTTTCCAGGTGACATCTGTCACCCCTTTTCTTTGGTAGGAAAGGGCATTCCCTGACTTCTTGTGCTTCCTGGGTGAGGCAACACCTCACCCTGCTTCAGCTCACGCTTGGTGCACTGAACCCACTGCCCTGCACGCACTTTCTGACAATCCCCAGTGAGATGAACCTAGTACCTCAGTTGGAAATGCAGAAATCATTCATCTTCTGAGTTGCTCATGCTGGGAGCTGTAGGCTGGAGCTGTTCCTGTTTGCCCATCTTTGTGGGGGTGTCTTTATCATTAGAATGTCTGTGGTCAGCCCGTGGTTTCTCCCATTAGAATTCCTGGGTCATTCAGGCACCTCTATCCTTAGAATGCCTTAAGTCTTCCAGTTGTTTCTTCCGTCAGAATGCCTGAGGTCACACAGGTTTCTGTATCATTAGCATGAATGGGTTAGGCCAGGGTTCACTATTATTAGAATGCCTGAGGTAGGCCAAGATTCTCTCCCATTACATTGCCTGAGATCACCAGCTGTCTCTATACTTAGAATGCCTGTGATCACACAGGTGTGTCTATTTTTGGAATTTCTGGTGTAGGCCTGATGTGGGCCTGGGTTCTCTATTGTTAGAATGCCTGGGTTTGGCAAGTAGTCTCTCCCATTAGAATGCCTGGGGTCAGCCAAAAATCTCTCCCATTTAATGCCTGGTGTTGGCCAGGTATCTCTATTTTTAGAATTCCTGATGCCTCCCAGCTGTTTCTGTCATTAGAAGGCTTGGAGTCTGCCAGGAATATCTCTTGTTAGAATTCCTGAGGTTGCCCAGGTGTCTCTATCATTAGAATGCCTGGGGTCAGCCAGAAACCTCTCACTTTAAAATGCCTGGGGCCAGCTATCTCTCTCAATCATTAGAATGACTGAGGTAGCACGGGTGTTTCTAACATTAGAATGCCTAAGGTTGGCCAGAAGTTTCTATCCTTACTATGCCTGTGTTTGGCCAGGAGTTTCTTCTATTAGAATGCCTTGGGTCACCAAGGTGTCTCTATCCTTAGAATGCCTAAGGTCCCGCAGGTGTCTCTATCATTAGAATGTCAGGGGTCTGCCAGGAGTATCTACCATTCAATTGCCTATTTTTGTGCAGGAGTCTCTCTCGTTAGAATGCCTGGGGTTTACAAGGTGTTTCTATCCTTAGAATGCTGGAGGTCACACAGACGTCTCTATCATTACTATGCCTCGGGTAGGCCAGTAGTGTCTACAGTTAGAATGTCTGGGGTCAGCCAGGAGTTTCTCCCATTAGAATTCCTGGGGTAGGCCAGGTGTCTTTATCTTTAGAATGTCTGATGTCACCCAGGTGTCTCTATGATTAGAATGCCTGGGGTCACCCAGTATTCTCTCTCTTTTGAATGCCTGGGGTTGGCCAGGAGTCGCTCCCATTAGAATACGTGGAGGTGGCCACGTGTCTTTATCGTTAGAATGCCTGGGAGAGGCCAAGAATCTCTATCATTAGATTGCCTTGGGTCGGCCATATGTCTCTATCATTAGAATGCCTGGGGTCGGTGAGGTGAATGTATCCTTAGAATGCTTGAAGTCCTACAGACGCCTCTATCATTGGAATGCCTTGGGTAGGCCAGGATTCGTTATTAGTAAAATTCTTGGGTTCAGCAAGGTGTCTCTTCCGTTACAATGCCTTGTATCAGCCACGTGTCTCTAACCTTAAGAAGCCTGATGTCACCCTGGTTTCTCTATCATTAGAATGCCTGGGTTGACCAGGTGTCTCTATTCTTAAAATGCCTGAGCTCTAACAGCTGTCTCTATCATTATAGTGACTGGGGTAGGCCGGGAGACTGTATTATTTAAATTCCTCGGTTTGGCCAGGAGTCTCTCCCATTAGAATGTCCAGGTTCAGCCAGTTGTCACTATTCTTAGAATGCCTGAGTTAACCCAGATGTTTATGATTAGAATGCCTGGGATATGACTGGAGTCTCTATCATTAGGAAGCCTGGTGTAGGCCAGGAGTCACTGCCATTAGAATGCCTTGGTTCAGCCAGGTTTTTCTAACTTCAGAATGCCTGAGGTCTCCCAGGTGTCTCTATCACTGGAATGCCTGGGATCAGTCAGGAGTCACTCCTGTTAGAATGCATGGGGTGGGCCTAAATTCTCTCAAGTTAGAATGCCTGGATTGGGGCAGGTGTCTCTATTCTTAGATTGCCTGTGGTTGCCAAGGTGTCTCTATCATTACAATGACTGAGGTCGCACAGTATTCTCTATCATTAGAATGAATGGGGTAGCCTGGGAGTCTCTATCATTGAAATGCCTGGGGTCTGCTAAAATTGTCTCCCATTACATTGCCTGGGGTCGTCAGGTGTCTCTAACCTTAGAATGAGTGAGGTTGCACAGCTGTCTCTATCACTGGAATGCCTGGGGTGGGCCTCTAATCTCTATTATTAGAAAGCATGGTGTTGGCCAGGAGTCTCTCCCATTAGACTGCCTTGGGTCACACAGGTGTCTCTATTATTAGAAATCCTGAGGTCGTTCAGGTATCTCAATTGCCCAGGTGTTTCTCAGGTGTATTTATCATTAATGCCTGGAGCCGGCAAGGAGTCTGTCCCGTTAGAATGCAAGAAGTTGGCCAGAAGTCTCTTCCGTTAGAATCCCTGGGGTCACCCGGGTGTCTCTATCCTTAGAATGCATTATGTCACTCAGGTGTCTCTTTCATTAGAATGCCTGTGTTGGCCAGTTGTCTCTCCTGTTAGAATGTTAGAAGGTTTGGGCTGAACCAGGATTTTCTGTTCTTAGAATGCTGGAGGTACCACAGGTTTCTCTGTCATTAGAGTGCCTGGGGTAGGCCAGGATTCTCTATCATTTGAATGTCTGGGGTTGGCCAGGAGTCTTTCCTGTTCGAATGCATTAGATTGGCCAGGTGTCACTGTCCTTAAAATGCCTGAGTTTGCCCAAATATTTCTATTATTAGAATGTCTGTAATCAGCGTGGAGTCTCCATTTTTAGAATGCCTGGTGTTGGCCAGAAATCTCTCCCATTAGAGTGACTGGCACCATCCAGGTGTCTCTATTTTTAGAATGACTCAGGTCGCACAGGTTTTTGTCATTAGAATTCTTAGTAGAGGCTAGGAGTCTATATCATTAGAATGCCTTCAATAGGCCTGGAGTCTCTCCCGTTAAAATGCCTAGGGTTGGCCAGGTATCTTTATCCTAAAAAAATGCCTGAAGTCACACAGGTGTCTTTATCATTAAAATGCCTGGGCTAGACCAGGAGTCTTTACCATTACAATGCCTTAGCTAAGCCGAAAGTCTCTCCAGTGAGAATGCCTGGGTCTGGCCAGGTGTGTGTATTCTTAGGTAGCTGAGGTGGTCCATTCGTCTCTATCATTAGAATGCCTATGGTCAGCAAGGAGTCTCAAGTCTCCCTTATTAAAATGTTTGGGGTCGACCAGCAGTCTCTCCCGTTAGACTGCATAAGATCAACCAGGTGCCTCTATTTTTAAAATGCCTTATGTTACACAGGTGTCTCTATCATTAGAATGCCTAAATTAGGCCAAGAGTGCCTGTCATTAGAGTGCCTGTGGTCGGTCAGGTGTCTCTTTCCTTAATGCCTGATGTCACCCATGAGCGTCTGTCATTAGAATGCCTGTGGTCAGTCAATGTTCTCTATCCTTAATGCCTGATGTTGCCCAGGTGTCTCTATCATTAGGATGCCTGTGGTCAGCCAGGACTCTCTATCATTAGAATGCCTAGAATCGGCCAAAAATCTCTCATGCTTGAATGCCTGGATTCAGCCAGGTGTCTCTATCCTTGGAACGGTGAAGTCCCCCAGTTGTCTCTATTATTAGAATGCCTGGGGTCAGCCAGGAGTCTCACTCTTTAGAATGCCTGGAGTTGAGCAATAGTCTCTCCCATTAGGATGTGTGGGGTCAGCCAGGTGTCTTTATTTTTAAAATGCCTTAGTTCACACAGGTGTCTCTATCCTTAGAATGAGTTCGGTCACACACGGGTCTTTATCATTTGAATGCCCGAGGTAGGCAAGGTCTCACTATCTTAGAATGCCTGAGGTCGCACAGGTGTCTTTATTATTAAAATGTCTAGGGAGCACCAGGAGTCTCTATTATTAGAATGCCTTGGGTCCACCAGGAGTCTCTCCCATAGAATACCTTGGCTTGGCCAGGTGTCTCTATCTTTAGAATGTCTGATGACACCCAGGATTCTCTATCACTGTAATGCATGGAGTTGGCCAAAGGTCTCTATCATTAGAATGTTTGGTTTTGGCCAGGAGTTTCTCCCATTAGATTTCCTGGGTTTGGCCAGGTGTCTCTATCCTTAGAATGTCTGAGGTCGCACTGGTGTCTTAATCATTGGCATGCCAGTGGAAGGCCAGGAGTCTCTATCTTTAGAATGCCTGGGGTTGGCCAGGACTCTCTTTCCTTAGAATGCCAGGGATTTGCCAGGAGTTTCTTCCATTAGAATGCCTTGGTTCGGTCAGGTGTCTGTAACTATAGAATCCAGGAGGTCGCCCAGTTTTCTCTATCATCATGGCCTAGGGTCAGCCAGTAGTCTCTCCGTTTAGAATGCCTGGGGTGAGCCAGGAGTCTCTCCCGTTGGAATACCTAGGCTTGGCCGAGGTGTCTGTATCCTTAGAATGCCTCACATCGCAGAGATGTCTCTATCATTTCAATGTCTAGGGTAGGTCAAGAGTCTCTGTTATTAGAATGCCTTAAGTTGTCCAGGAGTCTCTCCCATTAGAATGGCTGGGGTTAGCGACATGTCTCCATTTTCAGAATGAATGAGGTCGCTAAGCTGTCTATAAAATTAGAATGCCTGGAGATGGCCAGGAGTCTCTTTCATTAGAATGCCTGTTGTATGCCAAAAGTCTCTACCATTAGAATGCCTGGGCTATTCCAGGTGTCTGTGTCCTTAGAATGCCTGATGTCATATAGATGTCTTTCTCAATAGAATGCCTGGGTTCAACCAGGAGTCTCTCCTATTAGAGTGCCTGAGGTCCACCAGGAATTTCTCCCATTAGGATGACTTGTGTCGGTGAGGTGTCTCTATCCTTAGAATGCCTGAGGTCTAAGAGGTGTCTCTAACATAAGAGTTCCTGAGGCAGGCCAGGAGTCTCTCCTGCTAGAATGCCTGTGGTTGGCCAGAAGTTTGTTCCATTAGAATGGTTGGGGTTGGCCAGGGGTCTCTATCCTTAGAATGCCTGAGGTGGCACAGGTGTCTCTATCATTGCAACTCATGGGATAGGACATGAGTCTCTATCATTAGAATACCTGGGATCGGTCTGGAGTCATTCCAGTTAGAATGCCTGTGGTCAGCCAAGTGTCTTTATTTTAAAAATGCCTGAGGTCACACAGGTGTCTCTATCATTAGAATGCCTGGCTTAGGCTAGAAGTCTCTATCATAAGAATGCCTGGGGTCAGCCAGTAGTTTATTCCGTTAGAATGCTTTGGTTGGCCAGGTTTCTCTATTCTTATAAAGGTGAGGTAGCCCTGGTGTCTCTATCATTAGAATGCCTAGGGTCAAACAGGAGACTCTATCATTAGAGTGCCTCAGGTCGGCCAGGAGTCTCACATTCGAATGTCAGGGGTCAACCAGATGTCTCTACGTTTGGAATTTCTGAGGTTACACAAGTTTATCTATCATTAGAATGCCTGGAGTTGGCCAGGAGTCTCTCCCAATGGAATGCCTGGGATTGGCCAAGATTCTGTCCCGTTGGAAAGCCAGGGTCATGCAGGTGTTTCAGTCCTTAGAATGCCTGACATCACCCAGGTGTCTCTATCATTAGAATGCCTAGGGTAGGACAGAAGTCTCTATTATTAGAATGTCTGGATCTGCCAGGAGTCTCTTGTTAGGATGCCGGGGGTTGGCTATGTGTCTCTATCCTTAGATTGTCTGAGGTCGCCCAGGTGTCTTTATATTTAGAATGCCTGGGTTCGGCCAGTAGTCTATATCAAAAGAATGCCTGGGGTCAGCCAGGAGTCTCTGTCTTTAGAATGCCTGGCATTGGCCAGGAGTCTCTCCCATTAAAATACCTTTGATCTAACAGCTGTCTTTCTCATTAGAATGCCTGTGGTTGGCTAGGTGTCTCTGTCCTTAGAATGAATTAAGTCACACAGGTGTTTCTATCATTAGAACCCCTGGCTTTGGCCAGAAGCCTATCCCATTAAAATGCCTTAGGTTGACCAGGTGTCTCTGTCCTTAGAATGCATGAGATTGCACAGGGGTCTCTATCACTGGAATGCCTGCACTTGGCCAGGAGTCTCTAACATTGGAATGCCTAAGTTTGGCCAGGAGTCTCTCCCATTAGAATGCCTTGGGTCAGATAGGTGTCTGTCTTCTTAGAATGGCTGAGGTTGCACAGGTGTCTCTATTAGTAGAATGCCAGGGATCCATCAGGAGTCTCTATCATTAAAAGGCCTGGAGTAAACAGGGAGTCACTTCCATTAGAATACCTTGTTCAGGCAGGAATCTCTCTTGTTAGAATGCCTGGAATTGGTCAGGTGTCTTTATCTTTGAAATGCCCTAAGCCAGAAAGGTGTCTGTATCATTAGAATTCCTGAGGTAGGCCAGTAATCTCTATCATTAGAATGCCTGGGCTTGGCCAGGAGTCTCTGACTTCAGAAGGCCTGGGATCGACCAGGAGTCTTTTTTGTTAGAATGCCTCAAATCAGTCAAGTGTCACCATACTTAGAATGCTTGTGGTCGCCCAGGTGTCTATCATTAGAATGCCTGGGATAGGCCAGGAGTCTCTGTCATTAGAAAGCCTGTATTACACCAGGAGTCTCTCTTATTAGAATGCCTGGGGTTGGCCAGGTGTTTCTATCCACAGAATGCCTGGGGTCCCCCAGGAGTCTCTCTCATTAGAATGCCTGGGGTTGCCCATGAGTCTCTAACATTAGAAATGCTGGCATTGGCCAAGAGTCTTTTTGTTAGAATTCCTGGGGTTGGCCAAATGTCTCTATCCTTTGAATGTATGAGGTCACACAGGTGTCTCTAACATTAGAATGCCTGAAATAGGCCACATGTCTCTAATATTATGATGCCTGTTGTCGGCCAGGATTTTCTCCAGTTAGAAAGCCTTAGATCGTCCAGGTGTCTCTACTTTTAGAATGCCTGATATCACCCTGGTGTCTCTATAATTAGAATGCCTGGGCTCAGCGATTAGTCTCTCTTGTTACATTGCCTAGTTTTGGGCAGGAGTCTCTGCTCTTGGAATGCTTTGGGTCGACCAGGTATCTCTATCCTTAGACTGTCTGAGGTTGCCCAGGTGTCTGTATCATTAGAATGCCTGAGGTCAGCAGGAGTCTCTCCTGTTAGAATGCATGGTTCTTCCAGGTGTCTCTTTTTTTAGAATGCCTCAGGAGGCCCCAATGTTCATCATTAGAATGCCTGGGAAAGTCCCGGAGTCTCTATCATTAGGAATCCTGGGGTCGGCCAGGATTCTCTCCCATTAGAATGCCTGGGGTTAGTCAGGTGTCTTTATTTTTAGAATGGTGGGGTCGGCCATGAGCCTCTCCTGTTAGAACGCCTGGTGTCGGCCAGGTGTCTTTATCCTCAGAATGCCTGTGGTCACACAAGTTTCTCTATCATTAGAATGACTGTAGTTGTCCAGAAGACTCTCCTGCTAGAATGCCTGGGGTTGGCCAGATGTCTTTATCTTTTGAATGCCTGAACTTTTCCACGTGTGTCTTTCATTAGAATACCTGGGGTGATCCAGGAGCCCCTATCATTAGAATGCCTGAAGTCAGCCAGGAATTTCTCTGTTAGAATGCCTGGGCTCAGCTGTGTGTCTCTATCCTTAGAAATCCTGACGTCCCCCAGATGTCTCTATTATTAGAATGCCAAGGTTCAAGCAGGAGCCTCTCTTTTTAGAATGCCTAGGGTCAACCAAGAGTTTTTCCTGTTAGAATGCCTGCGGTTGGCCAGGAGTCTCTATTCTTAGAATGCCTTAATTCACACAGGTGTCTCTCACATTAGAATGCCTAGGGTAGGCCAGGAGTCACTCCCGTTAGAATGCTTGAACTTGGCCAGGTTTCCCTGTCTTTAGAATAATGACGTCACCCTGGTGTCTCTATGATTATAATGCCTCAGGTCAGCCAGCACTCTCTCCCATGACAATGTCAGGTGTCAGCTGGCCAGGTGTCTCTATTGTTAGAATGCCCACAGTCACACAGGTTTCTCTGTCATTAGAATGCCTGGTGTTGGCAAGGAGTCTCTCCTGCTAGATTGCCTGGGGTCAGCCAAGAGTCTCTCATGCTATAGAACCTGGGTTATGCAGGTGTCTCTATCCTTAAAATGCCTGAGCTCGCCCAGGTGTCTCCATCATTAGAATGCCTGGGATAGGCCACAAGTCTCTATCATCAGAATTTCTGGGTTGGCCAGATGTCTCTTGCTGGAGTGCTGCTGGTGGCCAGGTGTCTCTATCATTAGGTTTCCTGAGGTCGCCCAGGAGTCTCTATCATTAGAATGTTTTGGTTCAGCTAAGAGTTTTATCATTAGAATGCCTGGGCTTGACAAGGAGTCTCTTCTGTTAGAATGCCTGGGGTCGACCAGGAGTCTCTATTATTAGAATGCGTGGTGACAGCTAGGAGTCTCTCCCATTAGAAAGCCTGGGTTTGGCCAGGTGTCTTCATCCTTAGAATGGTGAGGTCACCCAGGTGTCTCTATCATTAGAATGCCTGGGGTTGGCCAGGAGTCTCTATCATTAGAATGCCTGAGGTTGGCCAGGAGTCTCTCCTGTTAGAATGCCTGTCATTGGTCTGATGTCTCTATCCGTAGAATGCCTGAGGTTGAAAAGGTTTCTTTATACTTAGAATGAATTGGGTAGGCCAAGTGTCTATATCATAAAACGAGTGACATTGGCCAGCTGTCTGTATTTTTAGAATGCCTGAGGTTGCACAGGTGTCTCTATCTTTGGAATGCCTGAGCTAGGCTTGAAGTCTCTATTAATAAAAAGCCTAGTGTCTGCCAGGGATTGCTCAGGTGTCTCTATCATTAGAATACCTGAAGTCAGCCAGGAGTCTCTACAATTATAATGTGTGGGGTCAGCCAGGAATCTCTCCCATTAGAATGCCTGTTTCGGTGAGGTGTCTCAATCCTTAGAATGCCTGAGGTTTCCCAGGTTTCTCTAACATTAGAATTCCTTTGGTAGGCCAGGAGACTCTATCATTATAATGCCTGGTGTCACACAGGAGTCTCTCTCTTTAGAATGCCTGGGGTCGGCCAGGTGACTCTATCCCTAGATTGCCTGAGGTTGCCCAGGGGTGTCTATCATTAGAATGCCTGGTTTCAGCCAGAAGTCTCTATCAATAGAATGCCTGGGGTCTGTCAGGAGTCTCTCCATTTGAATGCCTGGGGTTAGTCAGGTGTCTTTATTGTTAGAATGCCTGATTTAGCCTTAGTGATTTCATTATTAGAATGCATGAGTTCACCCAGGTGTATCTATTATTAGAATATCTGGGGTAGTCCAGGAATCTCTATCATTAGAATGCCTGGGTTAGGCCAGTAGTCTTTCCTGTTAAAAAGCCTGGGGTTGGCCAGGAGTCTCCCCTGTTAGAATGCCTGGGGTCAGCCAGGAGTCTCTTTTGTTAGAATGCCTGGGGTCAGCCACATACCTCTATCCTTAGAATGCCTGAAGTCCCCCAGTTGTCTCTATTATTAGAATGCCTGGTGACAGTCAGAAGTCTCTAACATTAGAATGCCTGGGGTCAGCTAGGTATCTCCTCCGTTAGAATGCCTGGGGTCAACCAGCTGTCTCTCCTTTTAGAATGATTGAAGTCACACCAGTGTCTTTGTCAGTAGAATGCCTGGGATAGGCCGGAAATCTCTATCATTAGATTGCCTTGTTTTGGCCAGGAGCCTCTATCATTAGAATGCCTGAGGTCAGCCAGATGTCTCTATTTTTAGAATGACTTATGTCCCACAGGTGTCTCTATCATTAGAATGCCTGGGATTGGCCAGGATTCTCTATGATTAGAAGGCCTTGGGTCAGCCAGTAGTCTCCTTTGTTAGATTACTTGAGGTCCTCCAGAAGTCTCTCCCATTAGAATGCCTGGGGTTGGCCAGGTGTCTCTGTCCTTAAAAATGCCTTAGGTCACACAGGTGTCTCTATCATTAGAATGCCTAAGGTAGGCCAGGAGTCCCTATCATTAGAATGCCTGGGCTTAACAAGGAGTCTCTGCCATTAGAATGCCTGGGATCACCCACCTGTCTTTATCCTTAGAATTCCTGATGTCTCCGTGGTTTCTCTATCTGTAGAATGCCTGGGGTCAGCCATTACTCTCTCTCATTAGAATGCCTAATTTTGTATAAGAGTCTCTCCTGTTAGAATGTTTTGGGTCAGCCAGGTGTCTCTATCCTTAAAAGGCCTGAAGTTTCCCAACTGTCCTTATCATTAGAACGCCTGGGGTGATCTAAGAGTCTCTCTTGTTAGAATACCTGGAGTTGGCGGCTGGGCACGGTGGCTCAAGCCTGTAATCCCAGCACTTTGGGAGGCCGAGGCGGTCGGATCACGAGATGAGGAGACCGAGACTATCCTGGCTAACACGGTGAAACCCTGTCTCTATTAAAAATACAAAAAAAAAAAAAAAATTAGGCAGGCGTGGTGGTGGGCACCTGTAGTCCCAGTTACTCAGGAGGCTGAGGTAGGAGAATGGCATGAACCCGGGAGGTGGAGCTTGCAGTAAGCCGAGATAGTGCCACTGCTGTGCAGCCTGGGCAAAAGAGAGACTCCGTCTGAAAAAAAAAAAAAAAGAATACCTGGAGTCAGCAAAGTGGATATATTTTTAGAATGACGAAGGTTGCACTGTTGTCTCTAAAATTAGAATGCCTGGCTTCAGCCAACAGACTCTCCATTAGAATGTCTGTGTCAGGCATTTGGTTTTTCACTATAAGCCTCAATGGGCTCAGAGACCTCTCTTCGTAGATTCTACAAAAGGAGGATTTCCATCCTAGTGAATAAAAACACAGGTTCCATTACGTGAGACGAATCCACACATTACAAAGCATTTTCACAGCTTGTTTCTAGTTTTTATTGTGGGATATTCGGTTTTTCACTATAGGCCTCAACGCGCTCAGAAATGTCCCTTAGTAGATTTCACAAAAAGAGTGTTTCCAACCTGGTGAATCCAAACACAGGTTCCATACTGTAAGATAAATCCACAAATTGCAAAGCATTTTCACAGATATTTTATTTCTAGTATTTATTCAAGTTAATTTGTCTTTCACTGTAGGAGTCAGTAGAGTCAGAAATTTCCCTTCATACATTTTAAAAAAAGAGTGCTTCCAACCTGGTGAATCAAAACACAGATTCCATACTGTGGGATGAATCCACAAACTGCAAAATATTTTCACAGATAGGTTGTTTCTAGTATATACCCAGGGATATTTGGTTTTCACTATAGACGTTAAAGAACTCAGAAGTGTCTCTTGGTAGATTCTACAAGAAGAATGTCTCCAACCTGGTAAATCAAAACAGAGTTTCCATTCTGTGAGATGAACCCACTCATCACTAAGCATTTTAAAGATACCTTGTTTCTAGTATTTATTGCAGGATTTTTGGTTTTTCACTATAGGCCTCAACTGACTCAGAAATATCATTTCTTAGATAATTCAAAAATAGTGTTTCCAACCAGGTGAATCAAAACATAGGTTCCATTCTGTGAGAAGAACATACACATTGAAAATCATTTTCACAGATAATTTGTTGCTAGTATTTATCACAGCATATTCGGTTTTTCACTATAGTCATCAATCAACTCAGAAATACCCTTTTTCATAGATTCTACAATAAAAGGGTTTCTGACCTGGTGGATCAAGACAAAGTTTTATTATGTGAGATAAATTCACTTATCACAAAGCGTTTTCACAGATATCTTGATTCTAGTTTTTATCACAGGATATTCAGTTTCTCACTGTAGAGGTCAATTGGCCGAGGAATGTCTGTTTGTAGATTCTGAAAAAAAAAAAAAAAAGTGTTTCCAAACTGGTTAGTCAAAACAAAGGTTCTATTTTGTGAGATGAACCACACATCACAAAGGATTTTCTCACATAGCTTATTTCTAGTTTTTATCACGAGATATTCTGTTTTCCACCCTAGGCATCAATGGGCTCAGAAATGTCCATTGATACATTCTACAAAAGGGTGTCTCTAATCGGCTGAATCAAAACACAGGTTCAATTGTTTTAGTAACTTTCAAGGAATATTCCGTGTTTCACTATAGGCTTTAATAGGCTCAGAAATGTTCATTCAATGAATCTAAAAAAAGAGTGTTTCCAACCTGGTGAATCACAACATAGGTTCTGTTCTCTGAGATGCATCCACAAATCACAAAGGATTTTCACACATAGTTTATTTCTAGTTTTTATCATGGGTTATTAGGTTTTTTACTATTGCCCTCAATGGGCTCTGGAATATCCCATCATACATGCTACTAAAAAGAGGTTTCCAACCTGGTGAATCAAAATACAGGTTTCATTCTGTGAAATGAATCCACACGTTATAAAGCATTTTCACAGACAGCATGTTTCTAGTATTTATTGTGGGATATTTGGTTTTTCAGTATTGGCACAAAGTCTCCATTCTTTGAGACGAATGCACACATCACAAAGCATTTTGACAGATAGCTTCTTTATACTTTTTATCACGGAGTATTTGTTTTTTAATATAGGCCTCAATGGGTTGAGAAATATTCCTTTATATATTCTATAAAAAGACAGTTTCTAATTTGGTGAATCAAAACACAGGTTTTATTCCCTGAGACGAATTTACACATCACAAACCATTTTCACAGATAGCTTGTTTCTAGTATTTACCGGGTGATATTCATTTTTCTACTATAGATATAGAAAGACTCAGAAATCTCCGTTTGTAGATTCTGCAAAAAGCGTGTTTCCAACCCGGTGAATATAAGCACAGGTTCCATTCTGTGAGATGAATCCACACTACCCAAAGCATTTTCCCGACCTTAGCTCATTTCCGGTTTTTATCATTTGATATTTGGTTTTCCACTATAGGCTTAAAAGGGCTCAGAAATGTTTTTCGTAAATTCTAGATAAACAGTATTTTCAACCAGGTGAATCAAAACTCTGGCTACATTTCATGAGAACACCCTCACATCACAAAGCTATTTCACAAATAGCTTGTTGCTAGTTTTTATCACAGGATATTCTGTTTTTCACTATAGGCCTCAATGCGCTCAAAAGTGTCCCTTCATAGTTTATACAAAAAGACTGTTTCCAATCTGCCGAATGAAAACATAAGTTCCATTCTTTAAGATTAATCCAAAATCCAAAAAGCATTTTCACAGATAGCTTGTTTCCACTTTTTATAGTGGAATATTCTGTTTTACACTACAGGGCACAATGGGTTTAGAAATATCCACTCAGAGATTCTGCAAAAATAGAGTTGAAACCTGGTAAATCAAAACGCAAGTTCCATTCTGTGAGATGAACGCGCACATTACAAAGCATTTACATGGATAGCTTGTAGTTTTTATTGCTTGATATTCCATTTTTCATTACAGGAGTCTATTGTCTCGAAAATGTCTATTTGTACATACTGCAATAAAAGTGTCTCCAACCTGGAGAATAAAAACACAGGTTCCATTCTGTGAGATGTATCACACACCACAAAGCATTTTAACAAATAGCTTGTTTCTATTTTTTTATTATGGGATATTTGGTTTTCCATTATAAGCTTAAATAATCTCAAAAATGTTTTTTCATAATCTCTACACGAAGAGTGTATCCAACCTGGTGAATGAAAATACAGGTTCCATTCTGTGATATAAAACCACATATCACAAAGTATTTTCACAGACTCTTGTATCTCGTTTTAATCATGGTATATTCATTTATTTCAATATTGGTTGCAATGAGCTCAGAAATGTCCATTCATATATATTCTACAAAAAGGGTGTTTCCAATATGGTGTATTTGGACACAGGCTCCACTCAAATTCAGAGACGAATCCACACATCACAAAATATTTTCACATATAGCTTCTTTCTAGTTCTTTATATATATATGTATATATATACGTTTGTTTTTTTGTCCTTGCAATAGTTTGCTGAGAATGATGGTTTCCAGCTTCATCCATGTCCCTACAAAGGACATGAACTCATCATTTTTTATGGCTGCATAGTATTCCATGATGTATATGTGCCACATTTTCTTAATCAAGTCTATCATTGATGGACATTTGGGTTGGTTCCAAGTCTTTGCTATTGTGAATAGGGCCACATTAAACATACCTGTGCATGTGTCTTTATAGCAGCAAGATTTACAATCCTTTGGGTATATACCCAGTAATGGGATGGCTGGATCAAATGGTATTTCTAGTTCTAGATCCCTGAGGATTCGCCACACTGACTTCCACAATGGTTGAACTAGTTTACAGTCCCACCAACAGTGTAAAAGTGTTCCCATGTCTCCACATCCTCTCCAGCACCTGTTGTTTCCTGACTCTTTAATGATTGCCATTCTAACTGGTGTGAGATGGTATCTCATTGTGGTTTTGATGTGCATTTCTCTGATGGCCAGTGATCACGAGCATTTTTTCATGTGTCTGTTGGCTTCATAAATGTCTTCTTTCGAGAAGTGTCTGTTCATATCCTTTGTCCACTTGTTGATGGGGTTGTTTGGTTTTTTATTGTAAATTTGTTTGAGTTCATTGTAGATTCTGGATGTTAGCTCTTTGTCAGATGAGTAGATTGCAAAAATCTTCTCCAATTCTATAGGTTGCCTGTTCACTCTGATGGTAGTTTCTTTTGCTGTGCAGAAGCTCTTTAGTTTAATTAGATCCCATTTGTCAATTTTGGCTTTTGTTACCATTGCTTTTGGTGTTTTAGACATGAAGTCCTTGCCCATGCATATGTCCTGAATGGTATTGTCTAGGTTTTCTTCTAGGGTTTTTATGGTTTTAAGTCTAACATTTAAGTCTTTAACCCATCTTGAATTAATTTTTGTAGAAGGTGTAAGGAAGGGATCCATTTCAGCTTTCTACATATGGCTAGCCAGTTTTCCCAGCACCATTTATTAAATAGGGAATCCTTTCCCCATTTCTTGTTTTTGTCAAGTTTGTCAAAAATCAGATGGTTGTAGATGTGTGGCATTATTTCTGAGGGCTCTGTTCTTTTCCATTTGCCTATATCTCTGTTTTGGTACCAGTATCATGCTCTTTTGGTTACTGTAGCCTTGTAGTATAGTTTGAAGTCAGGCAGCATGATGCCTCCAGCTTTGTTCTTTTGGCTTAGGATTGACTTGGCAATCTGGGCTCTTTTTTGACTCCATATGAACTTTAAAGTAGTTTATTCCAACTCTGTGAAGAAAGTCATTGGTAGCTTGATGGGGATGGCATTGAATCTATAAATTACCTTGGGGCGTATGGCCATTTTCATGATATTGATTCTTCCTACCCATGAACAAGGAATGTTCTTCCATTTGTTTGTATCCTCTTTTATTTCATTGAGCAGTGGTTTGTAGTTCTCCTTGAAGAGGTCCTTCACATGCCTTGTAAGTTGGATTCCTAGGTATTTTATTCTGTTTGAAGCAATTGTGAATGGCAGTTCACTCATGATTTGGCTCTCTGTTTGTCTGTTATTGGTGTATAAGAATGCTTGTAATTTTTACACATTGATTTTGTATCCTGAGACGTTGCTGAAGTTGCCTATCAGCTTAAGGAGATTTTGGGCTGAGATGACAGGGTTTTCTAGATATACAATCATGTCATCTGCAAACAGGGACAATTTGACTTCCTCTTTTCCTAATTGAATACCCTTTGTTTCCTTCTCCTGCCTGATTGCAGTGGCCAGACCTTCCAACACTATGTCGAGTAGGACTGGTGAGAGAGGGCATCCCTGTCTTGTGCCAGTTTTCAAAAGGAATGCTTCCAGTTTTTGCCCATTCAGTATGATATTGGCTGTGGGTTTGTCATAGATAGCTCTTAGAAGAAAAGAGAGAAGAATCAAATAGATGCAATAAGAAATGTAAAGGGGATATCACCACTGATCCCACAGAAATACAAACTACCATCAGAGAATACTATAAACACCTCTATGCAAATAAACTAGAAAATTTAGAAGAAATGGATAAATTCCTGGACACATACTCCCTCCCAAGACTAAACCAGGAAGAAGTTGAATCTCTGAATAGGCCAATAACAGGCACTGAAATTGAGGCAATAATTAATAGCTTACCAACCAAAAAAAGTCCAGAACCAGATGGATTCACAGCCGAATTCTACCAGACGTACAAGGAGGAACTGCTCCCATTCCTTCTGAAACTATTCCAATCAATAGAAAAAGAGGGAATCCTTCCTAACTTATTTTATGAGGCTAGCCTCATCCTGATATGAAAGCCTGGCAGAGACACCACAGAAAAAGAGAATTTGAGACCAATATCCCTGATGAACATCGATACAAAAATCCTTAATAAAATGCTGACAAACCGAATCCAGCAGCACATCAAAAAGCTTATCAACCATGATCAAGTGGGCTTCATCCCTGGGATGTAAGGCTGGTTCAACATACGCAAATCACTAAACATAATCCATCATATAAACAGAACCAATGAGAAAAACCATATGATTATCTCAATAGATGCAGAAAAGGCCTTTGACAAAATTCAACAACCTTCATGCTAAAAACTCTCAATAAATTAGATATTGATGGGACGTATCTCAAAATAATTAGGTGTGTCTATTTTTAGAATGTCTGATATCTCCCACGTCTCCCAAGTGTCTCTATCATTTTAATGCCTGGGTTCTATGAGGAGTTTCTTTCATTTGAATGCATGGGGTCCCCAGGAATCTCTCTTTTTAGAATGCCTATGGTCAGCCCGGAATCTCTTCCATTAGAAGGCCTGTGGTCGACCAGGTGTCTCTATCATTAGAATGCCTGGGATTGCCCATGTGTCTCTTTGTTAGAATGCCTGGGGTCATCGAGATGCCTCAGCCCTTAGAATGAGGTAGCACAGGTATTTCCATTATTAGAATGGATGTCTCTATCATTAGAATGCCTGAGGTCCAATAGGTGTCTCTTATCATTAGAATTCCAGAGGTCGCCCAGGAATCTCTCCTGTTAGAATGCCTAGGTTCGACCTGATGTCTCTACATTGCCTGTGGTCGTCCTGGAGTCTCTCCAGTTAGAATGCCTGGGGTTGGCCAGGAGTCTCTTTCATCAGAAAGCCTGGGTCAACCAGGTGTCTGTACAATTAGAATGTCTGAGGTTGCTCAGTTGCCTCTATCAGTAGAATGCCTGGGATAGGCCAGGAGTCTCTATCATTAGAATGCCTGAGGTTGACCAGGTGTCTCTCCCTTTAGAATGCCTGGCATCGGTCAGGTGTCTCCATCCTTAGATTGCCTGAGGTCGCCCAGGCATCTCTATCATTAGAAATCTTTGGGTTGATCAGGAGTCTCGCATTAAAATACCTGGGGACACCAGGTGTTGTCAATCCTTAGAATGTCTGATGTCATCGAGGTGACTCTATTATTAGAATGCCTGTGGGTGGCCAGGAGTCTCTCTAGTTAGAATGCCTGGAGTCCGCCAGGTGTCTCTATCATTAGAATGCCTTAGGTTGCCCAGGTGTCTTCATCATTAGAATGCCTAGGGTCGTCCAGAAGTCTTTATCCTTAGAATGCTTGGGTTCATCTTGGATTCTCTACCGCTACAATGTCTAGGTTCCGCCAGGAGTCTCTCCTGTTAGAATGCCTAAGGTAGGCCAGGTGTCTCTATTCTTAAAATGCCAGAGTTCTCACTGGTGTCTCTATCATTAGAATTCCTGGGTTAGGCCGGGGGTCTTTATCATTGGATTTCCTGGGGTTGTCCTGGAGTCTCTCTTGTTAGAATGCCTGGGGTCTAACAGGTGCCTCTATCCTTAGAATGATTGAGGTCACAAAGTTTAATCTATCATTAAAATTCCTGCGGTCCTCCAGGAGGCTCCATCAAAAGAATGCCTGGGTTCAGCCAGGAGTTTATTTTGTTAAAATGTCTGGTCGTCCAGGCGTCTCTATCCTTTTTATGCCTGAGTTCACCCAGGTGTCTCTATCATTAGAAAGCCTGGGGTCAGCCAGGAGTCTCTATCATTAGAATGCCTTTGTTTGGGCAGTTGTCTCTCCCGTTAGAATGCCTGGGGTGGTCCTGGAGTCTCTAACATTAGAATGCCTAGGGTTGGCCAGGAGTCTCTTCTCTTAGAATGCCTGTTTCAGCCATGTGTCTCTATTATTAGAAAGCCTGAAATAAGCCAGCAGTCTCTATCATTACGATGCCTGGGATCGACCAGTAGTCTCTATACTTAGAATGCCTTAGGTCACACAGGTGTCTCTATCATTACGATGCCTCGGAGAGACCAGGGGTCTCTATCATTAAAATGCCTGAATTTGGCCAGGAGTCTCCCATTAGAATGGCTCGGGTTGGCCAAATGTCTCTATTGTTAGAAGGCCTGATGTTACCCAGGTTTCTCTATCATTAGAATGCCTGAAGTCAGTCAGGAGTGTCTCCTGTTAGAATGCCTGGGGTCGGACAGCAGTCTCTCACATTAAAATGCCTAGAATCAGCCAGGTGTGTCTGTCTTTGCAATACCTATATTCCCACAGGTTTCTCTGTCATTTTAGTGTTCGAAATAGGCCAGGAGTCTATCATTCGAATATCTGAGTTCATCCAGGAATCTCTCCTGTTAGAATGCCTGGGGTTGGCCAGATATCACTATCCTTAAAATGCCTGAGGTCGCCCAGTTTTCTGTATCACTAGAATGCCTGGGGGAGTTAGAAGTCTCTACCACTAGAATGCCTAAAGTCAGTCAGGTGTCTTTATTCTTAGAATGATTGAGTTCACACAGGTGTCTATTATTAGAATGCCTGGGATAGGCCAGAAGTCGCTTGCATTAGAATGCTTGGGGTATGCCAGGAGTATCTACCATTAAAATGCCTAGCCTATACCAGGTGTCTCTACTTTTAGAATGCCTGATGTCACCCAGGTGTCTCTATCATTAGAATGCCTGGGTTAAACCTGGAATCTCTCCCATTAGAATGCCTGGGTTCCACAAAAATTTTCTACCTTTAGGATGTTTGGAGTGGGCGAGGTTTCCCTATCCTTAGAAAACCTGAGGTTTCAAAGGTTTCTCTCACATTAGAATGCCTGGGTAGGCCAGGAGTCTGTCCTGCTAAAATGCCTGGGGTCGACCAGGAGTCTCTTCAATTAGAATGCCTGAGGTCAGCCAGATGTCTCTGTTTTCTGAATGCCTATGGTCGCAGAAGTGTCCCTAACATTAGAATACCTGGGGTAGGCCAAGAGTCTCTTTCATTAAAATGCCTAGGGTAGGCAATGAGTATCTACCATTAGGATTTCTGGGGTCAGCCAGGTCTCTCTATCCTTAGAATGCCTGAAGTCGCCCAGGTGTCCCTATCATTGGAATGCCAGAGATCGGCCAGGAGTCTCTTTCGTTAGAATAGCTGTGATTTGCCAGGAATCTCTACTGTTAGAATGCTGGGGTAAGCCAGTTATCTCTATTCTTAGAATGCATTAAGTCACACAGGTGCCTTTTTACCTAGAATGCCTGAGGTCGTCCAGTTGTGCCCATCATTAGAATGCCTGGGGTTCTCCAGGAGACTCTCCCCTTAGAATGCCAAGTTCAGCCAGGAGTCTCTCCCATTAGAATGCCTGTGGTTGGCCAGTTGTCTCTATTCTTAGAATGTATCAGGTCACACAGCTGTCTCTGTCATAAGAATGCGTGGGGTCAGCCAGAAGTCTCTATCATCAGAATGCCTAGTTTCTGACAAAAGAATCTCCCATTAGAATGCCTGAAGTGGGCCTGGTGTCTCTATCCTTAGAATGCCTGACGTCCCCAAGGTATCTTTAACATTAGAATGCCAGGGTTGGCAAAAAGTTCCTCTCATTAGAATGCCTGCAATTGACCCATGGTCTCTCCCGTTATAATGTCTGGGTTGACCAGGTGTCTCTCTCCTTAGAATACCTGAGATCACACAGGTGTTTCTATCACTAGAATGCCTGGGGTAGGCCAAGAGTCTCTTTCATTAAAATGCCTGGGGTCGGCCAGGTGTGTCTCCTGTTAGAATGCCTCAGTTTGTCTCCACTGTTAGAATGCTTAATGTCGCCCACCTGTCTCTATCATTAGAAATGCCTGGGGTCGACCAGGAATCTCTCCCATTAGAATTCCTGGGGTCCCAGAAGTCTCCCCCTTTGGAATGTCTGGGGTTGGCCAGATCCCATTAGGATGCTTTGGATTGGCCAGTTGTCTTATTTTTAGAATAACTGAGGTCTCACAGGTACCTCTATCATTAGAATGCCTGTGGTTGACCAGGAGTCTTTATTGTTATAATGCCTGGGGTTGGCCAGTAGTCTCTTTCATTAGAATGCCTGGGGTTGACCAGGTGCCTCTATCCTTAGAATGCCAGAGGTCACACAGGTATCCCTATCATTAGAATGCCTGGGGTAGGTTCAGAGTCTCTCTCTTTAGAATTCCTGGAGTAGGTCAGGTGCCTCTGTCCTTAGAATGCCTGAGATCACACAGGTGTCTCTATTATTAGAATACCTGGAGTAAGCCAGGAGTTTCTACCATTATAATGCCTGGGGTCAGCAGGGGTCTCTCCAGTTAGAATGCTTGAAGTCGGTCAGGTGTCACTATCCTTAGAATGCCTGAAGTCTTCCATTGTCCCTATCACTAGAATCCATGAGATCAGCCAGAAGTCTCTTTTATTAGAATGCATGGGGTCAGCCAGAAATCTCTACGGTTAGAATGCCTGGGATCTGCCACTGGTCTCTCTTGTTAGAATGCCTGGGGTCTCCCAGGTGTCTCTATCCTTAGAATGTGTGAGGTCTCACAGGTGTCCCTATTATTAGAATGCCTGGGGTCTTCCAGGTGTCTCTATACTTAGAATACTAGAGGTCACACAGGTGTCCCTATTATTAGAATGCCTGGGTTAGGCCAGGAGTCTCTATCCTTAGAATGCCTGGGGTCACCCAGGAGTCTTTCATGCTGAAATCTTTGTGGTCACCCAGTAGTCTCTCCCATTAGAATCCCAGTAGTTTACCAGGTGTCTCTATGTTCGTAAAGCCTGAGGTCGCCCAGGTGTCTATCATTGGAATGCCTGGGGTTTCCCTGGAGTCTCTATCATTAAAAAGCCTGAGGATTTCCAGGTGTCTCTCCTATAAGAATGCTTTAGGTTGGCCAGGTGTCTATCCTTAGAATGCCAGAGGTCACCCATGTGCCTCTGTCATTAGAATGCCTTGAGTCAGCCAGGAGTCTCTCTCGTTAGAGTGTATGGGTCAGCGAGGTGTCTCTATTTTTAGATTGCCTGAAATGGCCCAGGTGTCTCTGTCATTAGAATGCCTGTCATCAGCCAGAGGTCTCACCCGTTAACATGCCTGGGGTCAATGAAGTGTCTCTATCCTCCAAATGCCTGTGTTCGCACAGATGTCTCTATCATTAGAATGCCTAGGGTAGGTCAGGAGTTTCTATCACCAGAATGCCTCAGGTAGGCCAGCAGTCTATCCCATTAGAATGCCTGATGTTGGCCAAATGTCTCTATAGAATGACTGAGGTAGCCCATGTATCTCTAATCTTAGAATACTTGGGGAGGCCACTAATCTATATCATTAGAATGTCTGTGGTTGTCCAAGACTCTCTCTTGTTAGAATGCATTTAGTGGGACAGGTGTCTGTATACTTAGAATGTCTGAGGTCGCACAGGTTTCTCTATAATTAAAATGCCTGAGGTCTTCCAAAAGTCTCTGTCATTGAAGTGCCTGGGCTTGCCCAGGAGTCTGTCTCTCATTAGAGTGACTAAGCTCGGCCAGGTTTCTCTCTCATTAGAACGCCTGAGATCGTCCAGGTGTCTCTACCATTAAAATGCCTGGGGTTGGCCAGCAATCTCTCCCGTTAGAATGCCTGGGGTTGGCCAGGTGTCTCTAACCTTAGAATGCCTTGGGTAGGCCAGGAATGCCTGAGATCGTATAGGTATCTCTATCTTTAGAATGCCTGGGATAGGCCAGGAATCTCCAACATTAGAATTCCTAGAATTGGCTAGGAATGTCCACCATTAGAATGCCTTGGGTCAGCCAGGTGTTTCTATCCTTAGAATGCATTAGGTTGCCCAGGTGTCTCTATCATTAGAATGAGTTGGGTTGGCCAGGTGTCTCTCTCATTAGAATGTGTGGGTTTGGCCAGGTGTCTGTATCCTTATAATGCCTGAGGTTGCCCGGGTGCCTCTATCATTAGAATGCCTGAAGTATGCCAAAAGTCTTTATCATTAGAATGCCTGGGGTCGGTCAGAAGTTTCTCCAGTTAGAATGCCTTTAATCAACCAGGTCTCTGTATCCTTCAAATGCTTGAAGTCGCCCAGGTGTCTCCATCATTAGCATGCCTGTGGTTGACCAGGAGCCCCTCCCATCAGAATGCCTGGGATCAGTTATGTGTCTCTACTCTTAGAATGCCTGAGGTCACCCAGGCGTCTCTGTCATTAGAATGCCTGAGGTCAGCAAGGAGTCGCTCCTGTTAGAATGCCTGATGAATGCCTGGTTACTCCATCCTTAGAATGTCTGAAGCCCCCCAGGTGTCTCCCTCATTACAATGCCAAGGTTCAGCCAGGAGTCTTTATCATTAGAATGCCTGGGCCTGGCCAGGAATCTCTCAAGTTAGAATGCCTGAGGTCAGTTAGGTTTATTTCCCCTTAGAATTCCTGATGTCCGCCAGGTGTCTCTTCCATTAGAATGCCAGAGTTTGGCCAGGAGTCTCTCCCCTTAGAATGCCTGAGGCCTCCCGGACTGACTCTGGTTAGAATGAATAAAGTTGGCCAGGTGTCTCTCCCCTGAGAATGCCTGAGGTTAGCAATGTGTCTCTCCCCTGAGAATGCCTGAAGTTGGCCAGATGTCTCTCTGCTTATAATGCCTTAGTTGGGCCAGGGGAGTCTCCCTATAGAACGCATGAGTGCGGCCAGGGGTCTGTCCCTTTAGAATCCCTGAGGTCGTCCAGGTGTCTCTTTTCTTAGAATGCTTGAAGTCGTCCAGGTGTCTCTCCCAACAGAATGCCTAACGTCGGCCTGGGGCCTATACCCTCAGATTGCCTGAGGTTGCCCAGTAGTCTTTCCCCTTAGAATGCCTGAGGTCCACCAGGCGTCTTTCCTGTCAGAATGGATAAGGGGAGAGACAACAGGCCAACCTCAGGCGTTGTAAGGGGAGATTCTCCTGGCCGACCTCAGGCATTCTAAGAGGACAGTCAACTCTCAGACCTCAGGTATTCCAAGGGGAGCAGCCCTTTCTGACTTCAGGCATTCTAAAGGGAGAGACACCTGAACGACCTCAGGAAATGCAAGGGAAGAGAATCTTGTCCAACCTTAGGCATTCTGTGGGGGAGAGACTCCTTGCTGACCTCAGGCATTCTAACGGGAGAGACAAATGGCCAACCTCAAGCATACTAAGGGGAGGGACTACATGCTGACTCCAGGCATTCTAATGAGAGAGACACCTGGCCAACCTCAGGCATTCTAATGGGAGATTCTCCTAGTTGAACATAGGCATTCTAAGTGGAGAGACATCTGACCAACCACAGGCATTGTAAGAAGAGAGACAACTGGCTGACCTCAGGCATTCAAACGAGAGAGACACCTGGAAATCATCATTCATTCTACAGGAGAGACACCAGACCGGCTGCAGGCATTCTAAGGGGAGATTCTCCTGGCCAACCTTAGGCATTTCAAGGGGAGAGACTCCTGGTAGACCACAGGAATTCTGAGTGGAGAAACACTTTGTGATGTCAGGCATTCTAGGGGAAGAGACACCTGGCCGACCTCATGAATTCTATCAGGAGAGATATGTGGTTGACCTCAGGCATTCTACAGGGCAGACTTCTGGCCAAACACAGGCATTCTAATGGAAGAGACACTTGGTTGACCTCAGGCATTCTAAACGGAGAGACTCATTGCCGACCTCAGACATTCTAAAGAAAGAGACACCTGGACAACCTCAGGCATTCTAATTGGAGAGACTCCTGGCTGACCTCAGGCATTCTGAAGGGAGAGCAGCATGGCCGACCTCAGACATTTTAACAGAAGGGACACCTGGCTCAACTCAGGCATTCTAAGTGGAGAGACTCCTGGCCAACCTCAGGCATCCTAAGAGGAGAGTGTCCTAGCTGATCCCAGGCATTCTAAGGGAAGAAACACCTGGCTGACCTCAGGCATTCTAAGATAAGAGACACCTGGCAGACTTAAGAAATTCTAAGGGGAGAGACTCTTGGCCAACCTCAGGCATTCTTAGGGGAGAGACTCCTGGCTGACTTCAGGCATTCTGAGGGGAGAGACACCTGGCCGACCTCAATCACTCTAGTGAAAGAGTCACCTGGGCAACCTCAGGCATTTCAAGAGGAGAGGCTATGGGCCGACTGCAGGCATTGGCATTTCAAAAAGGAGAGACTCCTGACCAACCTCATCATTCTAAGGGGAGAGACTCCTAGGCGTCCTCAGGCATTTTAAGGGGATTGTCTCCTGACTGAACTTAGACATTCTAAGGAGAGAGACACGTGGTGAAACTCAGGCATTCTCACCTGAGAGACGCCTGGCTGACTTCATTCATTCTAACAGGAGGGACACTAAGCTGACCTCAGGCATCCTGAGGGAAAAGACACCTGGCTGACCTCAGGCATTCTGAGGGGAGAGAAACTTGGCTGACCTCAGGCATTCTAACAGGAGAGACACCTGGCTGACCTCAGGCATTCTAAAAGGAGAGACCCCTAGCTGACTTCAGGCATTCTGAGAGCAGAGACACCTGGCTGATCTCTGGCATTCTAATGGGAGAGACATCTGACCTACCTCAGGCTTTCGAAGTGGAAAGACACCGTGCTGACCGCAGGCATTCTAAATGGAGAGATTCCTGGCCTACCTTAGGAATACTAAGGGGACAGTATACTGGCTGACCTCAGGCATTGTAAGGGATAGTCTCCTGTCCAACCTCAGGCATTCTAAGGGGAGAGACACCTGGCTGACTTCAGGCATCCTAACGAGAGAGAAGTTGGCCAGGTGTATCTCTTGTTAGAATGTCTGATATTGGCCAGGAGTCTCACATCTTAGAATGCCTGAGGTCAGCAAGGTGTCTCTCCCTTAAAAATGCCAGAGGTCAACCAGGAGTCTCTCTCCTTAGACAGCGTGAAGTGGGCCAGGAGACTTTACCCTTAGAATGCCTGAGGTCAGCTAGGAATCTCTCCCTTTAGAACGTGTGAGGTCAGTCAGGTGTGTCTCCCCTTAGAATGCCAGAGGTCGGCCAGGTATCTCTTCCCTAAGAATGACTAAGTTCGTCCAGAAGTCTCTCCTCATAGAATGCCTGAGGTCTGCCAGGAGACTCTCCCCTTAGAATTCCTGATGTTAGCCAGGTGTCTCTCTTGTTATAATTTATGAGGTCATCCAGGTGTCTATTTCCTGAGAATGCCTGAGGTCTGACCAGTAGTCTTTTTCTTTAGAATATCTGAAGTCGGCCAGCTGGCTGTCTCATTAGAATGCCTGAAATTGGCCAGGAGTCTATCCCTTCAGAATGCCTGAGGTCAACCAGGAGTCTCTTCTCTTAGAATGACTGATGTCACAAGGTGTCTCATCCCTAAGAATGCCTGTGGTCCACCAGGGGTCTTTTCCCTTAGAATGTCTGAGGTCTGCCAAGAGACTCTCTTGTTAGAATGCCTGCGGTCAGGCTGATGTTTCTCCCATTAGAATAAATGAGGTCTTCCAGGTTTCTCTCTCATTTGAATGCCTGAAGTCGGCCAGGTGTCACTCCCCTTAGAATGCCTGAGGTCTCACACCTTAGAATGCCTGAGGTCAGCCAGGAGACTCTTCTGTTAGAATTCCTACATTTGGCCAGGTGTCTCTGCCTTTGGAATGAATGCAGTTGCCAAGGTGTTTCTCTCTTTATAATGCCTGAGGTCTCCCCTTTGTCTTTCTTCTTAGAATAGCTGAGGTCATCCAGGAGACTATCCCCTTAAAATGTCTTATGTTGGCCAGGAGTCTCTCCCATTAGAATGCCTGAGGTTAGCCAGGTGTCTCTAACATTAGAATGCCTGAAGTCAGCCAGGTGTCACTACCCTTAGAATACCTGAAGTCGGTGAGGTGTCCTTCCCAATAGTATGCAAGATGTGGGCCAGTAGGCTCTTTCCTTAGAATTCCAGATGTCGTCCAGGAGACTCTCCCTTTAGAATGCCTGAGGTCGGCCTGGAGTCTCTGTCCTTAGAATGCCTGGGGTCAGCCAGGTGTCTCTCCCATTGGAGTGCCAGAAGTCTGCCAGGATTCTCTCTTTTTAGAATGCCTGAAGTTGACCAGGAGACTCTCCCTTCAGAAAACCTGAGGTCAGGCAGGAGTCTGTCCCCTTAGAATGTCTAAGTTCAGAGAGATGTCTCTCCCTTTTGAATGCCAGAGGTCAGCCAGGTTTCTCTCCCCTAAGAGTGCCTGAGGTCGGCCATGAATCTCCCCTCATAGAATGTCTGAGATCAGTCAGAAGATTCTCCCCTTAGAATTCCTGAGGTTGGCCAGGTGTCTCTTCCGTTAGAATGCCTGAGGTTGGCTAAGTGTCTCTCTTCTTAGAATGCCTGAGGTCAGGCAGGTGTCTCTCTTCTTAGAATGCCTGTGGTTGGCCTGGAGACTTTCCCCTTAGAATGTCTGAGATCCACCAGTAATCTCTCTCCTTAGAATGTCTGAGGTTGGCAAGGTGTCTCTCTCATTATAATGCCTGAGGTGGGCCAAGTTTCAGTCACTTAGAATGCCTGATGTCAGCCAGGTCTCTCTCTGGTTAGAGTGCCTGAGGTCAACGAGGAGTCTCTCCTCTTAGAATGCCTAAGGTCAGAATGGAGACTTTTGCTTAGAATGCCAGAGTTCGGCAGGGGTCTTTCTCATTAGATTGCCTAGGGTGGCCAGCAGTCTCTTGCCTTAGAAATCCTGAGGTTGGCCAGGTGTCTGTCCCATTAGAATGCCTGAGGTTGGCCAGGCATCTCTCTCATTAGAATGCCTTAGGTCGGCCATGAGGCTCCCATTAGAATGCTGGAAGTTGGCAAGGTGTCTCTCCCGTTAGAATGAATGTGGTTGGCCAGTTGTCTCTACTGTTAGAATGCCTGAAGTCGGTCAGGGGTCTCTTCCTTTAGAATGCCTGAGATCGGCCAGGAGACTCTCCCTTTAGATTGCCTGAGATCAGCCAGTGTACTCTCCCCATAGAATGCATGAGGTCAGCCAGGTGTCTCTCCCACTAGAATGTCTGAGGTTGGCCAGGAGTCCTCCACTTAGAATGCCTGAGGTCAGCCGAGATACTCTCTCCTTAGAATGCCTGAGCTTGGTCTCGTTTCTCTCCCATTAGAACGAATGAGGTCAGCTAGGTGCCTCTTGTTAGAATACCTTAGGTCGCCAGGAGTCTCTCCACTTAGATGCCTTCAGTCAGACAGGAGACTCTCCCCTTAGAATGCCTGAGGTCAGCCTTGTGTCTCTCCTGTTAGAAGGAATGAGGTTGGCTTGGTGTCTCTCTCCTTTAAATGTCAGATGATGCTCCCCTTAGAATGCCTGAGGTCGGCCACGAGTCTTTTCCTTAGAATGCCTACAGTCTTCCAGGAGACTCTCTTTTAGAATGTCTGAGGGCAGCCCTGAGTTTATGCCCTTAGAATGCTTAGGGCAGCCAGGAAACTCTCCAATTAGAATGCATGATGTTGGCCAGGTATGTATTCCTTCAGAATGCCTGAGGTCGACCAGGATTCTCTCTTGCTAGAATGCCTGAGGTCAGCCAGGTGTCTTGCCCGTTAGAATGAATGAGGTCAGCCTGGTGTCTGTCCCCTTGGAATGCCTGGCATCAGCCAGATGTCTCTTCTGATAGAATGCTTGAGGTCGTCCACATGTCTCTCTGCTCGGAATGTCTGAGGCTGGCCAGGAGTCTCTCATAGAATTCCGGTCGTCCAGTTGTCTCTCTCGTTAGAATGAATAAGGTTGGCCAGGTTTCTCTGCTTTTAGAATGTCTGAGTCGTCCAGGAGTCTCTTCAAATAGAATGACTGTGGTCAGCCAGGAGACTCTCCCTTTAGAGTGCTAATGTCAGCCAGGTGTCTCTCCCCTTAGAATATCTGATATCGGCCAGTTGTCTCTCCCCTTAGAATGCCTGAAGTTGGCCGGGTGTCTTTTCCCTTATAATGTCTGAGGTCAGCCAGGTGTCTCTACTGTTAAAATGTCTGAGGTTGGCCAGGTGTCTCTCACCTCAGAATTTCTGAGGTGGGCCAGGACTCTCTTCCCTTAGAATGCCTGAGGTCAGCCAGCTGTCACTCCCTTTAAAATGCCTAAAGTTGGCCAGGTGTCTCTCCTGTTAGAACGAATGTGGTCGGCCAAGAGGAGTCTCTCCCCTTAGAATATCTGAGGTCGGCTAGGTGTCTCTCCTGTTAGAACGAATGTGGTCGGCCAGGAGTCTCTCCCCTCAGAATGTCTGAGGTCGGCTAGGTGTCTCTCCTGTTAGAATGCCTGAGGTCTGCCAGGGGTCTCTCCCCTTAGAATGCCTTAGGTTGAATAGGTGTCTCTCCCATTAGAATGAATGAGGTCGGCCAGGTGTCTCTCTCCATAGAATGCCTGAGTTTGCCACGTGTCTCTCCCCTTAAAATGGCTGAGGTCTTTCAGGAGTCAGTCCTATTAGAATGCCTCAGTTCAGCCAGGTGTCTCTCCCCTTAAAATGCCTGAGTTTGGCCAGGTGTCTTCCCTTAGAATGCCTGAGTTTGGCAAGGATATCCTTGCATTAAAATGCCTGAGTTCACCCAGGAGACTCTCCTTTTAGATTGCCTGAAATCAGCCCGGTGTGTCTTTTCTTAGGATGCCTGAGGTCGACCAGGAGGCTCGCCCCTTAGAATGCCTGAGGTAGGCCAGGAGACCCTCCTTCTAGAATGTCAGAAGATGGGCAGGTGTCTCTCCTATTAGAATAAATGAGTTCTTCTAGTTATCCTTTAATTAGAATGTCTAAATTCGGCCAGATGTCTCCCCCCTTAAAATGCGTGAAGTTGTCCAGGTGTCTTTCCCCTTAGAATGCCTGAGTTCAGCCAGGTGTCTCTCCCGTTACAATGAATGAGGTTGACCAGTTGTCTCTCTTGTTAGAATGCCTGAGGTCACTCAGGTGTCTTTCTCATTAGAATGAATGATGTCAGCTGGCTGTCTCTCCCCTAGAATGCTTTAGGTTGGCCAGGAATCCCTCCCCTTAGAATGCCTGAGGTTGGCCAGGTGACTCTCTGCTTAGAATGCCTGAGATCAGTCAGGTGTCCTTCCCTGTAAAATACCTGAGTTCAGCCAGGAGACTCCTCTTAAAATGCCTGAGGCAGGCCAGGAGACTCTCCAGTTAGAATGCCTGAGGTTGGCCAGATATCTCTCCTCTTAGAATTCGTGAGGCCAGCCAAATGTTTCTCCCCTTAGATGCCTGTGGTAGACCAAGTGTTTCTTCCCTTAGAATGCCTGAGGTCAGACAGGTGTCTCTCTCATTAGAATGCCTGAGGTCAGCCAGCTTTCCCTCCCCTCAGAAGGCCAGAGATCAGCCAGGTGTCATTCCCGTTACCATTTCCGAGGTCGACAAGAAGTATCCCACTTACAATGTATAAAGCCGGCCAGAAATCGACCAAGTGCCTCTACCCGTACAATGCCTGAGGTGGACCAGCAGTTTCTCCCATTACAATGCCTGAGGTCAACCAGAAGTCTATGCCCTTACAATGCTTGAGGTCGACCAGAAGTCTCTAGAAACAAGCAATCTGTGAAAATGCTTTGTGATATGTGGATTCATTACACAAAATGGAACCTGTGAGTTGATAGTTGGAATCACGCTTTTTGTACAATCTATGAGGGGACATTCCTGAGCCCATTGAGACCCACAAGGAAAAATATCCCACAATAAAAACTGGACACAAGCTATCTGTGAAAACACTTTGTGATGTGTGGATTCAACTCACAGAATGGAACCTGTGTTTTGACTCACCAGGTTGGATAAACTCTTTTCGTGGCATTTAGGAAGGAACATTTCTTAGCTCATAGAGGCATATAGTGAAAAACAGAATATACTGTGATAAAAATTAGAAATGAGCTATCTGTGAAAATGCTTTGTGATGTGTAGATTCACGTCAGAGAATGGAGCCTATGTTTTTATTCTCGAGGTTGGAAACACTCATTTTGTAAAATGTATGAAGGGGTGTTTTTGAGCCCATTGAGACCCATAAAGAAAATTTGAATATCCCGTGATAAAAACTAAAAACAAGCTATCTGTTAAAATGCTTTGTGATGTATGGATTAATCTCACAGAATGGAACCTGTGTTTGGATTCACCAGTTTGAAAACACACTTTTTATAGAAACTATAAAGGAACATTTCTGAGACCATTGAGGCATATAGTGAAAAACTGAATATCCTGTGATAAAAATTAGAAAGAAGCTATCTGAGAAAATGCTTTGTGATGTGTGGATCCATCTCACAGAATGGAAACTGTATTTAGATTCTACAGGTGGGAAACTCTCTTTTTGTAGAATCTACGAAGGGATATTTCTGAGCCCACTGAAGCCCGTAAGGAAAAATTGAATATCCCGCGATGAAAACTAGAAACAAGCTATCTGTGAAAATGCTTTGTGATGTGTGGATTCATCTCAAGGAATGCAACCTGTATTTTGATTCTCTAGCTTGGAAACACTCTTTATGTAGAATCTATGAAGGGATATTTCAGAGCCCATTGAAACCCAAAAGGAAAAGTTGAATATAATGCATTAAAAACAGAAACAAAGTATCTGTGATAATGCTTTGTGATGTGTGGATTCATCTCACAGAATTAACCTGTGCTTCAAAATTCCAGGATGGAAACTTTTTTTTTGTAAAATCAATGAAGGAACATTTCTTAGCCAATTGAGGTGTATAAGAAAAAATCCAATTTTCAGTGATAAAAACTAGAAAGGAGCTACCTGTGAAAAGACTTTGTGATGTGTGGATTCATCTCACAAAATGGAACCTGTGTTTTAATTCAGCAGGTTGGAAGCACTCTTTTTGAGGAATCTACAAAGGGATACTTCTGAGCCCATTGAAGATTATGTGGAAAACCGAATATTCAGCAATAAAAACTAGAAAGAAGCTATCTGTGAAAATGCTTTATGACTTGTAGACTCTTATTACAGAATGGAAAACTTGTTTTGATTCAGCAGGCTGGCAATACTGTTTTTGTGGAAACTATGGAGGGACATTTCTGAGCTCATTGACACATATAAGAAAAATTTGAATATCCAGGAATAAAAACCAGAAACAGACTATCCATGTAAATGCTTTGTGATGTGTGGATTCATCGCAAAGAATGGAAAATTTGTTTGTATTCAGCAGGTTGGAAACACCCTGCTTGAAGAATCTACAAAGGAACAATTCTGATACCATTGAGGTCTATTTAAAAAAAAAAGAATGACCAGCGATAAAAACATACAGAAGCTTTCTGTGAAAATACTTTGTGATGTGTCTATTCATATAACAGAATGGAAAGTGTGTTTTGACTCAACAGTTTGGAAACACTCTTTTCGTACAAACTATGTATAAACATTTCTGAGCTATTTCAGGCCCTTAAGGAAAATCCGAATATCCAGTAATAAAAGCTGGCAAGAGGCTATCTGTGAAACTGCTTTGAAATGTGTGGATTCATCTCAGAGAATGCAACCTGTGTGTTGATTTAGCAGTTTGAAACACTCGTTATGTAGAATCTATGAAGGTGCATTTCTGAGCCCATTGAGGCCTCTAAGAAAAAAACAAATATCCAGCGATAAAAAGTAGAAGCAAGCTACGTATGAAAATGCTTTGTGATGTGCGGATTCATTGCACTAAAATGGAACTTGTGTTTTGATTCAGCAGGTTGGAAACACTCTTTTTGGAGAATCTACAAAGGGATATTTCTGAGCCCTTTGATGCCTCTAAAGAAATACTGAATATCCAGTGATAAAAATTAGAAACAAGTGCACTGTGAAAATGCTTTGTGTTATGTGGATTCTTCTCACAGAATGAAACCTGTGTTTTGATTCAGCAGGTTGAAAACTCTCTTTTTGTAGAATCTATGAAGGGACGTTTCTGAACCCATTGAGGCCTTTAAGAAGAAAGGGAATATCTAACAATAAAAACTAGAAACAAGCTATCTGTGAAAAGGTTTTGCTATGTGTAGATTCATCTCACAGAATGGAACCTGTCTTTGATTCAGCAGGTTGGAAACACTCTTTTTGTAGAACCTATGAGGGGACATTTCTCAGAACATTTAGACCTCTAAGGTAAAACTGAATATCCAGTGATAAAAACTAGAAAAAAGCTATCACTGAAAACACATTGTGATGTGTGGATTCATCTCAAGGAAAGGAACCTGTGTTTTGATAGAGCAGGTTTTAAAAACTCTTTTTGTGGAATCAACAAAGGGACATTTCTCATCCCATTGAGGCCTCTAATTGTAAATTGAATACACAGTGATAAAAACTAGAAAGAAGCTATCGGTGAAAACTTCTTGGGATGTGTGGCTTCTTCTGACAGAAGGGAAAATTTGTTTTGATTCAGCAGGTTGGAAACACTCTTTTTGTAGAAGAAAAAAAGGGACATTTCTGAGCCCATGGAGGCCTCTAAGGAAAAACCGAATGTTCAGAGATAAAAACTAGAACTAAGGAATCTGTGAAAATGCCTTGTGATGGGTGGATTCAACTCACAATATGGAAGCTGTGTTTTGATACACCAGGTTGGAAACACTCTTTTGGTGGAATCTACAAAGGGACAATTCTGAGCCCATTGTGGCCTATAAGATAAAAGGGAATATTCAGAGAAAAAAACTAAAAACAATCTCTCTGTGACAATGCTTTGTGATATGTGGATTAATCTTACAGAATGGAATCTGAGTTTTGATTCAGCATATTGGAAAAACTCTTTTTGTAGAATCTATGAAGAGACATTTTTGAACGCACTAAGGCCTATAAAGAAAAACAGAATATCCAGCGATAAAAATTAGAAACAAGCTTTTGTGAAAATGCTTTGCGATATGTCTATTCATATCACAGAATGGAAAATGTGTTTTGATTAAGCAGGTGAAAACACTCTTTTTGTAGAACCTATGAAGGGACATTTCTGAGCCCATTCAGGCCCTTAAGTAAGATCCAAATATCTAGCAACAAAAGCTAACATTACAGCCTATCTGTGCAAATACTTTGTGATGTGTGGATTCATCTCACAGCATGGAACCTGTGTTATTATTAAGCAGGTTGAGAACATTCATTTTGTAGAAATATGAGGGTGCATTTCTGAGCCCATTTAGGCCTCTAAGGAAAAACTGAATATCTAGTGATAAAAACTAGAAAAAAACTATGCTTTGTGATGTGTGTATTCATCTCACAGGATGGAACCTGTGTTTTGATTCAGCAGGTTGGAATCACTCTTTTTGTAGAATCTATGAAAGGACATTTCTAAGCCCTTAAGGCCTCTAAGGAAATACCAAATATTTAGTGATAAAAATTAGTAAAAAGTTTACTGTGAAAATGCATTGTGATGTAGTATTCATCTCACAGAATGGAACCTGTGTTTTGATTCGGCAGATTGGAATCACGTTTTTTTGTGAAATCTACAAAGGAATATTTCTGAGCCCATTGAAGCCTATGAGAAAGTATGAAATATCCAGCCATAAAAACTAGAAACAAGCTATCTGTGAGAAAGCTTTGTGATGTGTGGATTCATCTCACAGGATCAAAACAATGTTTTTGTTCAGCAGTTTGGAAACAATTTGTTTTTGAAATGTATGAAGGGCCATTTCTGAAACCATTGAAGCCTATAAGGAAAACCAAATTTCCACGGAAAAAATCTAGAAACAAGCTATCTGTGAAAATGCTTTGTGATGTGTGGATTTACCTTGCAGAGTGGAACCTGTGTTTTGATTCAGCAGGTTGGAAACACTCTTTTTGTAAAATCTCCGAAGGGACGTTTTTGAACATACTACAGCCCATAAGTAAAAACCGAATATCCAGAAAAAAAAAAATAGTAGAAACAAGCCATCTGTGAAAATGTCTTTTGATGTGTGGAATTATCTCACAGAATGGAACCTGAATTTTGATTCAGCAGGTTGGAAACACTCTTTTTGTAGGGTATACAGAGAAATCCTTCTGAGCCCATTGAGGCCAATAAGAAAAAATCCAATATTCTACAATAAAAACTAGAAACAAGGCATTTGTGAAAATCGATAGTGACGTGTGGATTTTTCTGAAAGAATGAAACCTCTGTTTTGATTCAACAGTTTGGAAACATTGCTTTTTTGTGGAATCTACAAATGGACTTTTTTTTGTGTACTTAGGCCTGTAAAAATTCCAAATAACCAGAGATAAAAATTAGAAACAAGCTTTATATGAAAATGCTTTGTTATGCAGGCAATAAGAACTAGCAACAGACTATCTGTGCAACTGCTTTGTGATGTGTGGATTAATATCACAGCATGGAACATGTGTGTTTATTAAGCAGGTTGGGGATGCTCTTTTTGTAGAAATACAAAGGTGCATTTCTGACCCAATTGAAGCCTCTAAGGAAAACCCAAATATCCAGTGGTAAGAACTAGAAACAAGCTATCTATAAAAATGCTTCATGATGTGTGGATTCATCACACAGAAGGAAACCTGTGTTTTGATTCAGCAGGTGGGAAAAACTCATTTCATCGAGTCTATGAAGGGACAATTCTGAGCCCACTGAGGCCGATAAAAAAATACAAAATATGTAGCGATAAAAACTAAAAACAAGTTATCTGTGAAAATATATTGTGATGTATGGGTTTATCTTACAGGATCGAAACAGTGTTTTGATGCAGCAGTTTGGGAACAATTTTTTTGTTGAACGTATGAAGAGATATTTCTGAAGCCATTGAGGAATATAAGGGAAAACAGAATATTCAGGGAAAAAAACTGGAAACAAACTATCTTTGAAAATGCTTTGTGATGTGTGGATTCATTTAATTGAATGAAACCTGTATTTTGATTTAGTCTGTTTCAAACACTCTTTTTTAGAATCTATGAAGGAATGTTTCTGAGCCTGTTGAGATCTCTAAGGAAAAACAGAATATCCAGGGATAAAAACTAGAAAGAAGCTATCTGTAAAAATGTTTTGTGATGTGCAGATTCATCTCACAGAATGGAACCTGTGTTTTCATTCAGCAGGTTGGAAACACTCTATTTGTAAAACATACAAAGGGACATTCCTGAGCTCACTGAGTTCCTTAAAGAAAATCAGAATATCCTGTGACAAAAACTAGCAACAGGCTATCTGTGAAAATGTTTTGTGATGTGTGGATTCATCCCACAGAATGGAACCTGCATTATGATTGAGCAGGTTGGAAACATTCTTTTTATACAATCTATGAAGGGGCATTTCTCAAACCATTGCAGCCTCTAGGGAAAAACAAAATACCTAGCAATAAAAACTAGAAACAATCTGACAGTAAAAATGCTTTGTGATGAGTGAATTCATCTCACAGGATGGAAACTTTGATTCCTCAGTTTGGAAACAATTGTTTTTTCAAATGTACCTAGGGACGTTTCTGACCAAAAATTGAGGCCTGTAAATGAAAACCAAATATCCAGCAAAAAAACTGGAAACAAGATACCTGTGGAAATGCTTTGAGATGTTTGGATTTAGCAGACAGGGTGGGAACTCTGTTTTGATTCAACAGGTTGGAGAATCTCTTTTTGTAGAATCTATGAAGTTACATTTCTGAGCCTATTGAGGCCTTTAAGAAAACCCAAATATCCAGCAATAAAATCTAAAAACAAAGAACCGTGAAAATGATTCTCGATGTGTGGATTCATGTCACAAAATGGAAACTGCATTTTGATTCAGCAAGTTGGAAACACTCTTTTTGTAGAATCTACAAAGGAACATTTCTGAGCCCCTTGTGGCCTATAAGGAAAAATCCAATATTCAGCAATAAAAACTAGAAAGAAGCTATTGTGAAAATGCTTAGTGTTATGTGGATTAATCTGAAAGAATGGAACATGTGCTTTGATTCAGCATGTTGGAAACACTGGTTTTGTAGAATCTACAAAGGGAAATTTCTGAGCCCATTGAGGCCTCTAAGGAAATGTCAAATATCCAGATATAAAAATTAGACACAAGCTTACTGTGAAAATGCTTTCTGAGATGTGGATTCATCGAACAGAATGGAGCTTGTGTTTTTATTCAGCAGGTTGGAAACATGCTATTTGTAGAATTTACAAAGTGACAATTCTGTGCCCATTGAGATCTCTAAGGAAAAAACAATATACAGTGGTAAAAACTAGAAAAAAAGCTATCTGTGAAAATGCCTTGTGATGTGTGGATTCATCTCACAGAATGTAACCTGAGACTTGACTCAGCAGGTTGGACACACTCTTTTGTAGAATCTACAAAGCGACATTTCTGATGCCATTGGGCCCACTAAGTAATAACCGTATATTCAGTGATAATAACTAGCGACAGGCTATCTGTGAAAATGCTTTGTGATGTGTGTATTTATCTCCTAGAATAGAACCTTTGTTTTGATTCAGCAGGGTGGGAACACTATTTTTATAGAATCTACAAAGGGACATTTCTGAGTCTAATAAATCCTATAATGAAAAACCAAATATCCAGTGAGAAAAACTAGAAAGAACTATCTGTGAAAATGCTTTGTGATGTGTAGATTCATCTCACAGGTTAGAAACTGTGTTTTGATTCAGTTGTTTAGAAAGAATTTTTTTTTCGAGACAGAGTCTCACTCATGCCAGGCTGGATTCCAGTGATGCAATCTCAGCTACTGCAATCTCCACCTCCGGGGTTCAAGCAATTCTCCTGCCTCAGCTCCCTGAGTAGCTGGGACTACAGATGTGCACCACCACACCCAGCTAATTTTTGTATTTTTGGTAGTGACGGGTTTTCACCATGTTGGCCAGGATTGTCTTAATCTCTTGACCTCGTGGTCTGCTCACCTTGGCCTCCCAAAGTGCTGGGATTACAGGCTTGAGCCACTGCACCTGGCTTAGAAAGAATTTTTTATTTATCGAATGTACAAAGAAAGATTACTGAAAACTTTGAGGCCTGTTAAATAAATAAATAATAAGTATCCAGGGATATAAAATAGAAAAAAGCTATCTGTGAAAATGCTTTGTTATGTGTGCATTCACTTCCCAAAATGGAACCTGTCTTTTGATTCAGCAGGTTGGAAATACTTTTTTTTGTAGAATCTAAGAAGGGACATATTTGAGCCCATCGAGGTCTATAAGTAAAAATCAAATACCTAGAGATAAAAATTACAAACAAGCTTTTTGTGAAAATGCTCTGTGATGTGTGGATTCATCTCACAGAATGGAAACTATGTTTTCATTCAACAGGTCAGAAACTCTTTTTGTAGAATCTTCAAAGGGATATTTCTGAGCACCTTTAGCATTCTAAGGAAAAACCGAATATCCAGGGAAAAACAAACAAACAAACAAACAAAAACTGAAAACAAGCTATGTGTGAAAATGCTTTCTGACGTGTGGATTCATCTCACAGAATGGAACCTGTGTTTTCATACAGCAAGTTGGACACTCTTTTAGTAGAGTCTTTGTAAGGACATTTCTGAGCCCATTGATTCCTATAAGGAAAAACCAAATATCCAGCAATCAAAACTAGAAACAAGCTATCTATGAAAATGCTTTGTGATGTGTGAATCATTTTGCAGAATGGAAAATGTGTTTTGATTCAGCATGTTGGAAACACTCTTTTCGTACAAACTATGAAGGGACATTTTTGAGCTCATCGAGCTTCTTAAGAAAACTCCGAATATCTAGTGATAAAAACTAACAACAGACTATCTGTGAAAATGTTTTCTCATGCGTGGATTCATCTAACAGTATGAAAACTGTGTTTGAATTTAGCATGTTTTTAAACACTCTTTTTTGCAGAATCTACAATGGGACATTTCTGAGCTGATTGAGGCCTATGAGATAAAAATCAATATTAAGCTATAAAAACTAGAAATAAGGTATCTGAAAAAATGCCTAATGATGTGTGGATTCATCTGAAAGAATGGAACCAGTGTTTTGATTCAACAGGTTGAAAACACTCATTTTGTAGAAACTACGAAGGGACATTTCTTAGCTCATTGAGGCCCTAAGGGAAAATCCGAATATTCAATGACAAAAACTAGCAACAAGCTATCTGTAAAAATGCTTTGTGATGTGTGGATTCATCTCACAGAATGGAACCTCCGTTTTTATTCAGCAAGTTATAAAAACCCTTTTTGTAAACTTTACAAAGGGACATTTCTGAGCCCATTGAGGCTTATAAGGAAAAACCAAATATCCAGCTTTATAAACTAGAAAAAGTTCTCTGTGAAAATGCTTTGTGATGTGTGGATTCATCTCACAAGATGGAAACTGTGTTTTGATTCAGCAGGTTGGAAAGAGTCTTCTTGTAGAATTAACAAAGGGTTATTTCTGAGCCCATTGAAGCCTATGTGAAAAAACTAAATATCTAGCCATAAAAACTAGAAACAAGAACTCTGGGAAAATGCTTTGTGATGTGTGGATTTATCTCACTGAATAGAACCTGAGTTTTGATTCAGCACTTTGTAAACACTCTTTTAGTGGAATGCAACAAGGGATACTTTTAGTCCATTGAGGCCTGTAAGGCAAAACAGAATATCCAGCAATAAAAATTAGAAACAAGCTATCTGTAAAAATGCTTTGTGATGTGTGTATTTATCTCACAGAATGAAAAGTGTCTTTTAATTCAGCAGGTTGGAAATGCTCTTTTTGTAGATTCTACAAAGGGACATTTCTGAGCCCATTGAGGCTTATAAGGAAAATCAGAATATCCAGTTTAAAAAACTGGAAAAATGCTATCTGTGAAAACGCTTTGTGACATTTGGATTCACCTCAAAGAATTGGACCTGTGTTTTGATTCTCCAGGTTGGAAACACTCTTTTGGCAGAATCTATGAAGGGTCATTTCTGAGCCCATTGTAGCATTTAGGGGAAAACCGAATATCCAGCAACAAAAATTAGAAACATGCTATCTGTGAAAATTCTTTGTGATGTGTGGATTGATTTCACAAAATGGAACCTGTGTTTTGATTCATCCAGTTGGAAGCAATCTTTTTGTAGAATATACAAAGAGACATTTCCGCATCCATTTAGGATTGTAAGAAAAAACTGAATATCCAGCTAAAAAAATCTAGAAACAAGATACCTTTTGAATCACCCAGTTGGAAACAATCTTATTGTATAATATACAAAGGGATATTTCTGAGGCCATTGAGGCTTATAAAGAAAAACTGAATATCCAGAGATTAAAAACTAGAAAAAAAGCTATCTGTGAAAATGCTTTGTGATGTTTGCATTCTTCTCACAGAATGGAATATACATTTTGATTCAGCAGTTTGGAAACACTGTTTTTGTAAACTCTAAAAAGGGACAATTCTGAGCCTAATGATGCCTACAAGGAAAAACAGAGTATCCAGTGACCACAACTAAAAAAACCTATCTGTGAAAATACTTCATGATGTGTGGATTCATCTCAAAGAATGAAAGCTGTGTTTTGATTCAGCAAGTTGGAAAAATTCTTTTGGTAGACTCTATGAAGGGATGTTTCTGAGACCATTGAGGTGTATAAGGAATAACTGAATATGCAGCTTTGCAAACTAGAAAAAAATCTCTTTGTGGAAATTCTTTGTGATATGTTGACTCATCTCACAAGATGGAAACTGTGTTTTTATTTAGCAGTTGGAAAGAATTTTCTTGTAGAAGCCACAAAGAAATATTTTTGAGCTCATTGAGGCCTATAAGGAAAAACAGAATATCCAGTGATAAAACCTGAAAACAAGCTATCTGTGACAATGCTTTGTGATTTATCTCACAGAATGGAACCGGTATATTTTTCACCAGGTTTGAAACACTTTTATTGTAGTATTCACAAAGGGACTTTTCTGAGCAAATTGAGCCATATGGGGCAGGGTGGGGGGTGGGTAAGAATATGCAGTGATAAAAACTAGAAACAAGCTATCTGGGAAAATGCTTTATGATGTGTGGATGCAACTCACAAAATGGAACCAGTTTTTTGATTCACCAGTTTAGAAACACTATTATTGTAGAATCTATGAAAAGATGTTTCTGAATCCATTGAGGATATAAGAAAATACAGAATATCCAGGGATTAAAACTAGAAACAAGCTATCTTTGGAAATGTTTTGTGATGTTTGGATTCATCTCACAGAGTGGAACATGTTTTTTTCAGCACTTTATAAACACTCTTTTTGTAGAATCTACGAAGGGACGTTTCAGAGCACAATAAGGCTTATAAGAAAAAAATGAATATTTAGCCTTTAAAACTAGAAACAAACTATCTGTGAAAATGCTTTGTGAAGTGTGAAATCGTTTCATGTAATGGAGCCTGTGTTTTGATACACCAGTATAGGAACACTGTTATTGTAGGTTTTATGAAGAGACGTTTCTTAGCCCATTGAAGCTATAAGGAAAAACAGAATATCCAGCAATAAAATCTAGAAACAATCTATCTGTGAAAATGCATTGTGATGTGTGGATTCAGCTCACAGGATGGAAACTGTGTTTTGATTCAGCTTGTTGGAAACACACGTTTTTAAAAAAATAATCTATGAAGGTACATTTTGAGCCCATTGAGGTTTATAAGAAAAAACGAATATCCAGCGAATGAATCTAGAAAAAAACTATCTGTGAGAAGGCTTTGTGATATGTGGAATCATCTCACAGAATGAAACCTGTGTTTTGATTTACAGGGTTGGAAACTATTTTATTGTAGAATCTCCAAAGAGACATTTCTGAACCCATTGAGGCCTACAGGGAAATAACGAAATATCCAGTGATAAAAACTAGAAGTAAGCAATCTGTGAAAATGCTTTGTGATGTGTGGATTTATCTCACAGAATGGAACATGAATTGTGATTCAGCATGTTGAAAACAATCTTATTGTAAAATCCATAAAGGAATATTTCTGAGCACTTTGAGTCCTATAAGGAAAAACAGAATATAAACTGATAAAAACTAAAAACAAGTGATCTGTGAAAATGGCTTGTGATGTGTGGATTTATGTCACAGAATGGAACATGTGTTTTGATTCGATATGTTGGACACACTCTTATTGTAGAATTTACAAAGAGACATTGCTGAGCCCATTGAGGTCTATAAGGAAAAACCTGAATATCCAGCAATAAAAGCTAGAAAATAGCTGTTTGTGAAAATACTTTGTGATGTGTGGATTTATCTCACAATACAGAACATGCCTTTTGATTCACAAGTTTGGAAACACCCTTTTTGTAGAATCCACCAAGGGACATTTCTGAGCCCAACAAAGCCTATAATGATAAACCAAATATAAAACAATAAAAACTAGAAATATGCTATCTGTGCAAACGCACTGTAATGTGTGGATTCGTCTCACAGAAAGTGACCTGTGTTTTGATTCACCACGTTGGAAACCCTCTTTTTGTAGAATCTAGGAAGGGACATTTCTGAGCTCATTGAAGTCTTTAAGGAAAAATGAAACATCCAGTGATAAAAATTAGAAACAAGCTATTTGTGAAAATGCTTTGAGATGTGTGGATACATCTTACAGAATGGAACCTGTGTTTTGATTCATGGTGCTGGAAACAGTGTTCCATAGAGTCTATGATGGGATATTTCTGAGTGCATTGAATTCTATTAGGAAAAGTCAAATATTCGATGATAAAAACTGGAAACAACCTATCTGTGAGAATGAGTGTGATGCCTGGATTCATCTCGTAAATGAAACTTTTGTTTTGATTCACCTGGATCAAAACTCTCTTTTTGTAGAATCTACAATGGGACTTTTCTCAGCCCATTGAGGGCTATAGGGAAAAATCCAATATTTAGCAAAAAAATAAAATAAAAGCAACCTATCTGTTTAAATGCTTTGATTTTTGTGGGTTTATCACACAGAATGGAATCTGGGTTTTGATTCACGGTGCTGGAAACATTCTTTTGTAAAAGCTATGAATGGACATTTCTTAGCCAATTGTGGCATATGAGGAAAAATAGAATATCCAGTGATAAAAACCAGAAACAATCTATCTGTGGTGCGGGGAAAAGAAAGAGAGATCAGACTGTTACCGTGTCTATGTAGAAAGAAGTAGACATAAGATACTCCATTTTGTTCTGTACTAAGAGAAATTCTTCTGCCTTGAGATGCTGTTAATCTGTAACCCTAGCCCCAGCCCGGTGCTTGCAGAGACATATGCTGTGTTGATTCAGGGTTTAATGGATTTAGGGCTGTGCAGGATGTGCTTTGTTAAAAAAGTGCTTAAAGGCAGTATGCTTGGTAAAAGTCATCACCATTCTCCAATCTCGAGTACCCAGGGACACAATACACTGCCAAAGGCCACAGGGACCTCTGCCTAGGAAAGCCACGTATTGTCCAAAGTTTCTTCTCATGTGATAACCTGAGATATGGCCTCATGGGAAGGGAAAGACCTTACCTTCCCCCAGCCTGACACCCATAAAGGGTCTGTGCTGAGGAGGATTATTAAAAGAGGAAGGCCTCTTTGCAGTTGAGATAAGAGGAAGGCATCTGTCTCCTGCTCATTCCTGGGAATGGAAAGTCTCAGTGTAAAACCTGTTCTATTTACTGAGATAGGAGAAAACCACCTTATGGCTGGAGGTGAGACATGCTGGTGGCAATACTGCTCCTTAATGCACTGAGATGTTTGTGTAAAGTCAAACATAAATCTGGCGTACATGCACATCAAGGCACAGCACCTTTCCTTAAATTTATTTATGACACAGAGGTCTTTGCTCAGATGTTTTCCTCCTGACCCTCTCCCCACCATTACCCTATAGTCCTGTCACATCCCCCTCTCCGAGATGGTAGAGATAGTGATCAATAAACACTGAGGGAACTCGGAGACCAGTGCCGGCACGGGTCCTCCATATGCTGAGCACCAGTCCCTTGGGCCCACTTTTCTTTCTCTATACTTTGTCTCCCTGTCTTATTTCTTTTCTCAGTCTCTCATCCCATTTGATGAGAAACACCCACAGGTTGTGGAGGGGCAGGCCACCCCTTCACTGTGGAAATGTTTTGCAATGTGTGGATTCACCTCACAGAATAGAACCTGAGGTTTGATAGACAAGGTTGGAAACACTCTTATTGAAGAATCTACAAAGGGACATTTTAGAGCCCATTGAGGCATACAAGGGAAAACCGATTATTCAACAATATAAACTAGACACAAGCTATCTGTGAAAATGCTTTGTGGTGTGTGACTTCATCTCATAGAATGGAATGTCTGTTTTGATTCAGCAGGTTGGAAACACATTTTTTAGTATTTTTGAAGAGACATTTCTCAGCCCATTGATGCCTATCAGGAAAAAAATATCCAGCAAAGAAAGCTAAAAATAAGCCATCTGTGAAAATGCTTCGTGATATATGGATTTATCTCACAGAATGGAACCTTTATGTAAGATCTATGAAGGGGCATTTCTGAGCCTATTGAAGTCTATAAGGAAAAGTTGAATATCCAGCTATAAAACTAGAAAAAATCTATTTGTGAAAATGCATTGTGATACCTGGATTGATCTCACAGAGTGGAACCTGTGTTTTGGTTGACCAGGTTTGAAAGACTGTTTTTGTAGAATCTATGACTATATATTTCTGAGCTCAATTGGGCATATTAAAAAAACCCTGAGTATCCCATGATAAAAACTAGAAACGGCTACCTGTGGAAATGCTTTGTGATGTGTGGATTCATCTCACAGAATAGATGCTCTCTTTTGATCCACCAGTTTGGAAACACTCTTTTTGTAGAATTCATGAGGAAACATTTCTGAGCCCATTGAAGCCTGTAAGGAGAAACCAAATATCCAGCAATAACAACTAGAAACAAGCTATTTGTGATCATGCTTTTTGATGTCTGCATTTTTTTATCTTCTTCTTTTTATTTTTTTTTTTACTTTTTCTGGGATACTTGTGGAAAACGTGCAGGTTTATTACATAGTTATATATGTGCCATGGTGGTTTGCTGCACCCATCAACCCGTCATCTACATTAGGTATTTCTTCTAATGCTATCCCACCCCTTGACAGGCCCTGTGTGTGATGTTCCCCTCCCTGTGCTGATATGTTCTCATTGTTCAACTCCCTCTTATTGGTAAGAACAAGTGGTGTTTAATTTTCTGTTCCTGTGTTAGTTTGCTGAGAATGATGGTTTCCAGCTTCATCCATGTCCCTGCAAATAGCAAGAACTCATCGGTTTTTATGGCTGCATAATCTTCCATTGTGTATATGTGCCACATTTCCTTTATCCAGTAACATTGATGGGCATTTGGGTTGGTTCCAATTCTTTGCTATTGTGAATAGTGTTGCAATAAACATACATGTGCATGTGTCTTTATAGTAGAATGATTTTCAAACATTTGAGTATATACCCAGTAATGGGATTGCTTGGTCAAATACTATTTCTAGCTCTAGACCCTTGAGGAATCACCATGCTGTCTTCCACAATGGTTGAACTAATTTACACTCCCACCAACAGCGTAAAAGCATTCCAATTTCTCCACATTATCTCAAGCATCTGTTGTTTCCTGACTTTTTAATAATTGCCATTCTAACTGGCATGAGATGGTATCTCATTGTGGTGTTGATTTGCATTAATCAGTGCAATGATGAGCTTTTTCTCATATGCTTGTTTGATGCATAAATGTCTTCTTTTAGAGCAGAACTGAAGGAGTCTGAATTCTTGTCACAGAATGGAAACAGTGTTTTGATTCAGAAGGTTGCAAACACTCTTTTTCTAGAATCTACAAAGGTACATTTCTGAGCCCACTAAGATTTATAAGGAAAAACAAAATATCTAGGGTAAAAATTAGAAACAAGCTATCTGTGAAGATGCTTTGTGATGTGTGGATTCACCTCACAGAGTGGAACCTGTGTTTTCATTGACCAGGTTGGAAGCACTTTTTTCATAGAGTTTACATAGAAACCTTTCTGAGCCCATTGAGGCTTACAAGGAAAATCTTTGTACCCAGTGATAAGAACTAGAAACAAGCTATCTGTGAAAATGCTTTGTGATGTGTCAATACATCTCAAAGAATAAACCTGTGTTTTGAATGACTTGGTTGGAAACAATCCTTTTGTAGAATCAATGAAGAGACATTCCTGAGCCCATTGAGGCCTTTAAGGAAAAAGTGAATATTCAGCAACCAAAAGTGGAAAGAAGCTATCTGTGAAAACGCTTTGTGATATGTGGATTTAATTCACAAAATGGAACCTGTGTTTTGATTGACCAGAGATTGGAACACTCTTTTGGTAGAATCTATGAAGGGACATTTCTGATCTGTCAAGGCCTATAAGGAAAAATCAAATATCCAGTAATAAAAACTAGAGACAAGGTATTTGTGATAATGCTTTTGGTGTGGATTCACCTCACAGAATAGAATGTGTGTTTTGATTGACCACGTTGGAAGCACTCTTATTGTTGAATCTATGAAGGGACATTTCTGAGTCCATTGTGGCCTGTAAGAAAACAAAAAACAAAAACTACAGCAACAACGGGAAAACAACAAAAAACCAATAAACAGCAATAACAACTAGAACAAGCTATCTGTGAAAAAGCTTTGGTATGTGTGGATTCATTTCACAGAATGGAACTTGTATTTTGATTCACCAGGTTGGAAACACTTTTTTTGTAGGATCTACAAAGGGACATTTCTGAGCCTATTGAGGTCCACAAGGAAAAGCTGAATATCCAGCAATGTAAACTAGAAACAAGCTATCTGTGAAAATGCTTTGTGATGTGTGGATTCAACTCACAGAATGAAACCTGTGTTTTGATTGACCAGAGATTTTAACACTATTTTTGTAGAATCTACAAAGAGACATTTCAGATCTGTCAAGGCCTATAAGGAAAAATCAAATATCCAGCAACAAAAACTAGAAACAAGGTATCTGTGATAATGCTTTGCAATGTGTGGATTTATGTCACAGAATGGAACCTGGCTTTTAATTCAGCAGGTTCAAAACACTCTTTTTGTTTAATCTATGAAGGGACATTTCTGAGTCCATTGTGGCCTGTAAGGAAAAACTGAATATACAGAGATAAAAACTATCAACAAGCTATCTGCCAAAACGCTTTGCTATGTGTGGATTCGTTTCACAGAATGGAACTCGTGTTTTGATTCAGCATGTTGGAAAAAGTTTTTTGTAGGATCTACAAAGGAACATTTCTAAGCCGATTGAGGCCCATAAGAAAAAACTGAATATCTAGCGGTATAAACTAGAAACAAGCTATCTGTGAAAATGCTTTGTGATGTGTGGACTCAACTCACAGAGTGGAAATTGTGTTTGCATTTACCAGATTGGAAACACTTTTTTGTAGGATCTACTATGGGACATTTCTTATCTGTTGAGGCCTATAAGGAAAAATTGAATATCCAGAGATAAAAACTAGAAACAAGGTATCTGTGATAGTGCTTTCTGATGTGCGGATTCATCTCATAGAATGGAACCTGTGTTTTGGTTTAGCAGTTTGGAAACACTCTTTTTGATGCATCTGGAAAGGGGCATTTCTGAACCCATTGAAGCCAGTAAGGAAAAACTTAATATCCAGTGATAAAAACTAGAAAGTTATCTGTCAAGATGGTATGGGCTGTGTGAATTCATCTTACAGAGTGGAACCTGTGTTTTGATTCAGCTGACTGGAAACTCTCTTATTGCAGGATCTCTGAAGAGACATTTCTGGACCCATTGAATACTATAAGGAAAAAACAAATATCCAATGATAAAAGTGAGAAACAATCCATCCGGGAAATTGCCTTGTGATGTGTGTATTTATCTCATGGAATGGAACCTGTTTTTTACTAAAGCAGCATGGTACTGACATAAAAAAACAACACAGGGACCAAGGGAATATAATGTAGAACTCAAAAACAAATCCCCACACCTACAGTAAACTCATTTTATTTATAGTTGCCAATAACATACATTGCAGAAATGTCTTTCTCTTTGAAAAATGGTGCTGGGAAAATGAATATCTATATGCAAAAGAATGAAACTAGACCTGTATCTCTCACTATATGCAGAAATGAAATCAAAATACATTAAAGACTTAAACATAACATTTCAAGCTATGAAACCATTACAAAAAAACTTTTGGGAAACTCTCTAGGATGTTGGTCTGGGCAAGAATTTTTGATGATTACCCCACAAGCACAGGCAACTAAAGCAAAAATAAATAAAAGATACTACATCAAGTTAAAATGCTGCTTCACATCAAAGGTACCTATCAAGAAAGTGAAAATATAACCCACAAAATGGGATAAAATATTTGGAAAGTACACATCTGACAAGGGATTTATAACCAGAATGTATAAGGAGCACAAACAACTTTACTGAAAAAAAAATCTAATAATCTGATTTAAAAATGTGCAAAAGATTTGAATAAAAATTTCTCAAAAGAAGACATACAAGTAACAAACAGGTATATGAAAAGGTGATCAACATTAGAGATTGACAGAGAAATACAAATCAAAACTACAATGAGATATCATCTCATCTGAGTGAAAACAGCTTATATCTGAAAGACAGGAATGAACAAATGTTGACAAAGATGTGGAGAAAGGGGAACCCTTGTACACTGTTGCTGGGAAGGTAAATTAGGACACCCACCATGCAGAACAGTTTGGAGGTTCTTCAACAAAATAAAAATTGAGCTACCATATAATCCAGCAACACCACTCCTGGATAAATACCCCCCAAAAAAGAAGTCAGGAAGTCAGTATATTGAAAGAATATCTGCACTCCCACGGTTTTTGCAAGCACTATTAACAATAGCCAAGAATTAGAAACAACCTAGGTGTCCATCAAAAGATAAATACAGAATCTACAAGAAAAATAAATCACCAAGAAAAAAATAAATAATCCCACAAAACATGGGCAAAAGACATGAATAAGATATTTTACAAAAGTGACAAAAACAAACAATGGGGAAAATATTTTTTATTAATAAATAGTGCTGGGATGACTGGCTAGCCATAAGCAGAAGATTAAAATTGGACAACTTTCTTACACCATACACAAAAATTAACTCAAGATAGATTAGAGACTTAAATGTAAAACCCAAAAATGTAAAAGCCCTGGAAGACAGCCTAGGTAATACCACTCAAGACATAAGCACAAATATTTCATGTTGAAGATGCCAAAAGCAATTTCAACAAAAGCAAAAATTGACAAATGGGATTTAACTAAATTAAAGAGCTTCTGCATAGCAAAAGAAACTAACAGATGAAATAAACAATCTACAGAATGGGAGAAAATATTTGTAAGCTGCACATTTGACAAAGGTCTAATATCCAACATCTATAAGCAACATAAACAAATTTACATAAAAACAAATGGACAACCCCATAAAAAGTGGGCAAAGGACATGAACAGACACTTTTCAAAAGAAGACATACATGTGGCCAATGGTCAAATGATAAAATGCTCAATGTCACTGATCATTGCAGAAATGCATATTAAAAGCACAATAAGATACCATCTCACACCGGTCAGAATGGCTATTACTAAAAAGCAAAAAAACAACAGATGCTGGTGAGGTTGTGGAGAAAACGGAATGCTTATACACTGTTGGTGGGAATGTAAATTAGTTCAACCATTGTGGAAAATAGTATGGTGATTCCTCAAAGAGCTAAAAGCAGAACTATCATTCAACACAACAATCCCATTACTGGATATATACCCAGAGGAATAGAAATTATTCTACCATAAAGATACATGCATACAAATGTTCATTGCAGCGGTATTCACATTAGCAAAGACATGGAATCAACCTAAATGCCCAGGAATGGTAGACTGGATAAAAAAGTGGTACATGTACACTATGGAACACTATGCAGTCATATAAAAGAATGAGAGTCATCCTGACTAACATGGTGAAACCCTGTCTCTACTAAAAATACAAAAAATTAGCCAGGTGTGGTGGCAGGTGCCTGCAGTCCCAGCTACTTGGGAGGCTGAGGCAGGAGAATGGCGTGAACTTGGGAGGCAGAGCTTGCAGTGAGCCGAGATCATGCCACTGCACTCCAACCTGGGTGACAGGGCAAGACTCCATCTCAAAAACAACAACAACAACAACAGCAACAACAACAACAGCAACATCAACAACAACAAAGAACGAGAATATGTCCTTTGCAGGGACATTGATGGAGCTAGAGATCATTATTCTTAGCAAACTAACACAGAAACAAAAAAACAAATACCATGTGTTCGCACTTATTAGTGGAAGCTAAGTGATGACAACATGTGGACACATAGAGGGGAACAACACACAATGACGTTTATCAGAGGGCGGAGGGTGGGACCAGGGAGAGGATCAGAAAACATAACCAACGGGTACTAGGCTTAATACGTGGCTGATGAAATAATCTGTACAACAAACCCCCATGACACAAGTTTACTTACGTAACAAACTTGCACATGTACCCTTGAACTTAAGATAAAAGTTAAAGAATGAAATGAATAGATATTTATTGACAGTAGATATACAAATGGCCACCAAACATATGGAAAAATGCTCAGCGTCACTAATCCTTAGGGAAATGTAAATCAAAACCACTGTGAAATACTACATTACTCCTACAAGAATGGCCATTATAAAAAGTCAAGGAACAATAAATGATGGTGTGGATGTCAGGAATAGGAAACACACATTGCTGGTGGTAATGTAAATTAGTAAAGCTTCTATGAAAAACAGTATGGAGATTCTTTAAAGAGCTAAAAGTAGATCTATCATTTGATCTTGCAATCCCACTACTGTGTATCTACTCAAAGGTAAAGAAGTCATTACATGAAGAAGACACTTGCACACATATGTTTACAGAAGCACAATTCAAAATTGAAAAGACAGTGAATTAAACTAAGTGCCCATTGACTAATGGGTGAATAAATCAATTGTGGTATATATGTACCATGTAATACTACTCAACCATAAAGAGAAGTAAAATAATGTATTTTGCAGGAACTTGAATGGAGCTGGAGGCCATTATTCTAAGTGAAGTAACACAGGAGTGGAAAACCAAAAACTGTATTTTCTCTCTTATAAGTATAAGCTAAGCTATGAGTATGCAAAGGCATACAGAGTAATATAATGGACTTTAGACACACAGAACAGGGAGTTGGGGGGGGTGGACCCTGATAAAAACTACATATTAGGTACAATGTACACTGCTTGCATTATAGGTGCACTAAAATCTCAGAATTCACCACTACATAATTCATCCGTGCAACAAACAACAACTCATACCCCCAAAGCCATTGAAATAAAAATTTCAAAAATATGAATTGTACATGTACACAACAGAATACTATGCAGTAATTAAAAAAGAATGATTTCCTGACATTCACAAAAACATGAATGGAACTGGAATTAATTCTGTTAAGAGAAATATGCCAGGCACAGAAAGACAAACTTTGCATATTTTTATTTATTTGTGGGAGCTAAAAATGAAAGCAATTAAATTAATGAAGATAGGGAGTAGAAGGATGGTTACCAGAGGCTGGAAACTGTATTTGAGGGTGTTGGGAGAACTGAAGATGGCTAATGAGTACAAAAAGTAGTCAAAAATAATGAACAACACTTAGTATTTGATTACACAATGGGGTGACTAGAGTAAACACAAAATAATTGTTCATTTAAAAATAACTGAAAGGGTATCATTTGGTTGTTCATGACAGAAAGGATAAATTCTTGAGGGGATGGATACCACATTACCACATTTCCCTGATGTGATTATTATGCATTGCATTATCCTGATTTGATTATTATGCATTGCTTGCCTGTATCAAAGTGTCTTATGTACCTCATAAATATGTACACCTACTATGTACCCACAAAAATCAAAAATACGAAAATGGAAAAAAACACATTTCTCAAGCTTTTTTATGAGGACCCTAAATTCATCTATGAGGGCTTCACCCTTATGACTTAATCTTCTCTTATAAGCTCTATCATTTAACACTATTATATTGGTGGTTAAGGTTCAACATATGAATTTTGAGGGACAGACTTAGACTACAGCATACAATCAACTAATCTTCAACAAAGACATCAATAATACACACTGGGAAAAGAACAGTATTTTTAATAACTGATGTTGGAAAATCTGATATTTACATGCAAAATCCAGTTATAATAATTAACTCAAAATGGATTAAAGATTTATATAAAAGACTTGGAATTCTGAAACTCCTGGAAATACACATAGTGGAAAAACTCCTTGACATTGGCCTTGGCAATGGTTCTTCAGATATGACACCAAAATTGTAGGCAATTAAAGCAAAACTAAACAAGTGAGACTACATCAAACCAAAAAGTTTCTTCACAGTAAAGAAAACAATCCACAAAATCAAAAGCCAATCTTTATAAACCATATACCCAATAAGAGATTTAGCTCCAAAATATATAAGGGATTCCTAGAAGTAAATAGCTAAATAAATAAATACATATAAAAATAAACTTGATTAAAACTTGGGCAAAGAACCTGAATACACATATTTTTTTCAAGAAAGATATAAATGATCAATAAGTATATGGAAATGTACTCAACACCACCAATCGTTAGGGAAATGCAAATAAAAACTGCGATGAGACATGAACTCACATGTGCTGGATGGCTATTACCCAAAAGTAAAAAAGAAAAAAAAAAAAAAAATGTGTTGATGAGGAAATCTCACTTCTGAGTTTATAAACAAATAAATTATAATCACCATATTAAAGTGATATCTTCACCCCATTGTTTGTGGCAAAATTATTCATAATAGCCAAAATATGAAAACAAAGTGTGACCATATTAGTAGTATTACTAATATTAATTAGTATGAACTAATTAAAATATTTAACACACAAAGGACAATTATGCAGTCTGAAAAAAGGAAAAAAAAACTCTGCCATACACATATAGGGTTTTATGCTAATTGGAAAAATACACAGAAAGACAAAGGCTGAATGATCTCACTTACATGTGGAATCTAAAGTAGTCAAACCCATAGAAGCAGAGAGTAAAATGGTGGTTGCAAAAGCTAGAGGTAGGTGAGAATGGGGTGATGTTAGTTAAGAGTACGAAATGATAGTTATAAAGATGAATATGTTAGGAGATACAATGCATATTGTGATAACTATAGTTAGCAACACATCATTTTACACTTAAAAAATTGTTAAGAGGGAATATCTCATGCTAAGTGTTTTAACACACACAAAAAAGTAGTGGAGCAGAATAAAAATTTTGGAGGTTATCAGTATATTTATTAACTTGAATATGGTGACGGTATTATGGATGTGTTCATATGCCCATACTCAATGAATTGTATACATTAAATGTGTGCAATTTTCTGTATATCAATTTTACTTCAAAATCTATTTTTTGACATGGAGTCTCACTCTGTTGCCCAGGCTGGAGTACAGTGGCATTATCTCGGCCTGATACAAACATCTTTGTCTCCCCTATTCACTGATATGATTAAACTCTTGTTTTGTGTAGAAAGGGGGAATCCACTTTTGGGTCCATGTGAGTGTTGGTTGTGGTGTTGTTGGCTGGCTGGGTGGACCTGACCTCAGGCCCTGGGGAAAGTGGTCAGGTCCAAGCAATGTTGGAGTAAGCCAGGTAATTTCTCAGTTCCTAGGCCCCTTGATGGCTCACTAGGCAGCATGTATGAGTGCTGAATGGACTAAACTAGGATTGGACTACGCCGGAGTTCAGATGCTGCCGAGACGAGCTTGGTCATGGAGAACCTAACCCAGCAGTGCTAGAGGAATTAAAGACACACACACAGAAATATAGAGTGTTGAGTGGGGATTGGGGGCTGACAGCCTTCAGAGCTGAGAGCCCCAGAGATTTACCCACATATTTATTGACATCAAGCCAGTGATAAGCATTGTTTCTATAGATTACAGATTAACTAATAGTATTCCTTACAGGAAACAAAGGGATAGACCAAAACTAAGGGATGGGCTCTGGCTAGTTATCTGCAGCAGAACACGTCCTTAAGGCACAGATCACTCATGCCATTGTTTGTGGTTTAGGAATGCCTTTAAGCAGTTTTTCTCCCTGGGTGGGTCAGGTGTTCCTTGCCCTTACTCCAGTAAACCAACAAACTTTGGTGTGGGTGTCATGACCATCACAAACATGTCACAATGCTGCAGAGATTTTGTTTATGGCCAGTTTTGGGGCCAGTTTATGGCCAGATTTGGGGGCCTGTTCCCAACAGATGCTGTTGTGATGGGAAAGGGTGGGCTGGTCTTTGGGTCACTGGCAGACTTCTCAGATGGGGGCAGGCAGCTCAGGTGGTAGAAGCCCAAGGAAAGATTACAGGCCCATGGAAGTTGTATTCTCAGAAAAACTGTGGGTCAAATATTCTCAGAAGAGTGCCGGGCCTCATGTTCAAGAGGAGGCAGAAAAGCTGTGCTCTAGGCTTTTCACTGAGGAGGAAAGGACCCTTCAGTTGGGTTAATGGAGACTGGTGGCTCCTGGACATGTGGCATGCTCACAATTCCGTCCCACATGAATAATGCTGGATTTCACTGTGGGAGGTGTGCAAGGGTGCCAAATCTTCTCACTCCCATGCTAGCCTGGAGGTGGTAGGCATGAAGGTGTTGATAGTATCAAATGGAAAATGCTACTTGCTGGCTTCAGGGAATTGGGCCCTCAATTGAACTGAGCCATGTCTGGAATATTTGTATGAGGGTGGGAAGGTTGCATGGGGGTGCAACTTAGTGAGCTCCATTTTGGCAAGGAACAGCAGAGGAAAGGAGTCATGCGTTGCACAGTCTGTCTACTTCTGCCAAATATTTTATATTTTGGCGGTAGCATCCACCCTGAAGACCCATGAAAGTGCCCAGCTTACTTGATCCCTTTATGGCCTGGGAGAAGCCGGGGCAGAGGCAATGAGAGCAACAATCACAAAAGCCCTGTAAGCTACCTCTGGGAGCTATGCACTCAGTGCATAGCCACGACTGCTATGTTCAGGCATGGGCAGGGTGGGCGTGCTGGGGGCTGTAAGGTGGCAAGCCTCATTTATCAGTGAGTAGTGGAGGCAGGGTGTTGTAAGGCATGCAATCTGCTCTCTGCTCCTCCATATTCTTGGCTGTGGCATACATGCTGGAGGTACTTGGAAGTGTCAGCCTTCTCAGTCCCTCTTTAACCATGGGTGACGGGGCAGAGGGAGTGGTAGGGGCAATTGCAAAGGGCCTAATCAGCTACTTATGGCAGTTTTGGTCCCAGAGGAATGCAGAGCCAGCCATGTCTGGCTGCAGTTTCCAGGTGGGGGTGGGGCAGCAGCACTGGGAGCCTAATTAGGTGAGCCCTACTTGGCAAAGAGTAGGGGAGGTGAGGGGTTGCACAGTACACTGTCGGGCTGCTCCTCAGTACCATGGCTGTGGCACCTATCATAGGGACTTGCAAAACCACCTCACCTCCCTTTATGGTGGGGTGATGGCAGCTGGCACCAGGCTGTTCAGGGACGTGTCCATGGGGTTCCATGTAAGCTTGATTAGTGCCTCTGCACAAATCTCTGACAGCTCTCTGTGCCAGTATGAAGGACTGGGGAAATCAAGGGGGCTTTTTTATGCCTAGGATTGCAAGGGTCTATGGTGGAAGTGTGAATCCTTTAAAGACTCTCACTCACTCACCCTTTCCCCACATTATGGAGCTTTTCCAGACTCCTTACCAGTCGTCGGTGTACAGCTGCCTGGCTTCACTTCTCCCTAGTCTCCCTGAGTCCTGTTGCTTCTTTGGTGAATCCCAGAGTAATTTATTAGACGATCCACTTGAAGAACTATTATTTACTTGATATTTTGTTTCCTCTCTGTGAAAGGCAGCTAGTAGATAGTTCCAGTCAGTCGTCTTGAACCACAGCCCCCAAATATACATTTTAAATAATCCAAGTTTATTTAAAAATAATATTATATTCCTTTCATAGTAGAAGAATTGTAAGACTAGTATATTTTTATTTCTTCACTCATATTCCTTAGCTCTTTTTTATTTTTTTCTTATCAAAAACATTTTAATTAATTCCAGAAATTTTTCTTAGGACTAACCATGTACCAGTACCACACTAAGCACAGGGATCTAAGGTTATGAAAGAATAAAAGCACTCAAGGAGAAAGAGAGGGAGAGGGAAAAGGGGAGGGAGGAATAAAGAGGGGAGTTTTTAGAAGGATGGAACTTTTTACAATGTTGTTATTATTATTCCTGAGGACTAAAATAGCAAAAAAACTAAAAATCATTCATTAGATTTAACATCTTGTACATTACAGGAAACTTTTGAAAAGCAGTTTCTGCAGGGTAGAGGTCAAAATGTGGTTGGTTCATATTTTCATATTAAGGGAAAAAAGTAGACACAGCACATTCTTTTCTCTTTTTAAGAGAAAAGGTGTTAGTCTATCTCATAGGCTGAAGTCCAGTGGCACAGTCATGGCTCACTGCCACCTCAAACTTCTGGGCTTAAGTGATCATCTCACTTTAGACTCCTAAGTAGCTAGGACTACAGGCATGCACCACCAAATAGAGCTACACAGCAGGTGTTGAGGAGCTTTCAGGGATCTTGATGTGAAGCAAATAAAAAGTGCAGGACAATAATTTCAGAAAGAAATAAAAGCAGAAAAAGAAGATTCTTTAGAGACATGAGAGAATTGACCTTATATGGTGAGGTTAAAACAAAAATACTACTAGAAGGGAAAATGTGGAAATTATAGGGGAGTAAGTGCAATACCCCAAGAAGCAGCCAGAAATGGGACTTTGAAGACAGGTGTGGGGATTGGGTTTGGACAACAAACATAATAATAGCAGTAATGGCAACTGTATTAGTCAGGGTTCTCTTGAGGGACAGAATTAATAGGATACAAGTATATATGCAAGTGAGTTCATTAAGGAGAATTGACTCACACAATCACAAGGTGAATTCCCACAATAGGCTGTCTGCAAGTTGAGGAGCAAAGAGGCTAGTAGTGACTCAGTCCGAGTCCCAAAACCTCAAAAGTAGGGAAGCCAACAGTGCAGCCTTAACTCTGTGGCTGAAGGCTTGAGAGGCACTGGTGTAAGTTCAAGAGTTCCAAAGGTGAAAAACTTGGAGTCTGCTGTTCGAGGGTGGGAAGCATCCAGCACAGGAGAAAGATGAAGACCAGAATACTCAGCAAGTCAACTCCTTTCACCTTCTTCTGCCTACGTCATTCTAGCTGCACTGACAGCTGATTAGATGGTGCCCACCCAGATTGAGGGTGGGCCTGCCTCTCCCAGTCCACTGACTCAAATGTTAATTTTCTTTGGCAATGCCTTCAGAGACACAACCAGGAACAATACTTTGCATCCTTCAATCCAATCAAGTTGACACTCAATATTAACCATCACAAGTCCACCTCTTGTAAACATGAACCCATACTCACCTTCTGAAATCATACATAATCCTCAAATAAAGACAATCATAAGATCATAATTACTGCTAACATAATACAGCTATCCTTTGTACAACCAGAAGCTCACTAATCCTTAACCTAAATGCTATTACTTAAAGTTAACACCACTTAAATGTTGATGTGAAGTCAATAAATACTATGTCACATGATAAAGAAAAAATAAAGGAAATAAAAATATTTTTAGTATAAGTGTAAACGTGCACACGCATTCTTAACAGAATAAGGAGAAAATATTTATGACAATTATAATCCTTGTTTCTGCAACTGGTCACAAGGTCATAGCTGATATTGATGACTACCTCTCCTATTACTCACTCTGTATTCCCTGCCAAAGGCTCCAAACAACATCCCTATCTGCCACTGATACCTGAAGCATGATTGGATCTGCTGAGTCATATGGCCCCAGTGGCAGAGCAGCTTTCACAGACATTTGCAGACCTGTTGCAGAGGCTTCTCTTGTTCTAGACACCACTCAAAACTGGAAGCATTTGACGTCACTCAATAAACAAGCTGGAGTAACACATCCAAATGAGAAATATGTTGCTTCTGAAATCCAAATAGGTCCTGTAGGCATTGTTTCAGTTTTTGATTGTAGGAGCAGTCAAATGCAGTAACTTATTTTTCACCTAGAAAGAATATCTTTACAGGCCCCACCCCACTGGATGCCTATAAATTTCACTGAGGTAGAAGGTCCCTGAATTTTAGTAGGATTTATTTCCCATCCCCTGGCATGCAAATCTCTCCCCAATCAGTACAGTGTGTTTGTTTACTATTTTTCCTCACGGGGTACAATCAGCACAATGGCATAACAAAATGGAACAGTCAGTGTGATATCTTGTGGAAGAGAAAAGTGATCAAGATATCTGCAAATGAGGTTATGTCACAGAGTGGGAGAGTTGATATATCCCTGAGGTAGGAGAGTGAAGTTATATAGCTGGCCTTGCCAGCTGAAGGCAAATTGCTTCTGGTGGGCCTTATGGACAGTAACAGAGAAAAAGGCATTTGCCAAATCAATGGCTGTATGCCATGTACCAGGAGATTTGTAAATTTGTCCAAGCAATGAAACCACAGCTTCAATTGGAGTCACCACTTGGTTAAGCTTACAATAATCCATGTCATTCATCAAGATCCATTTTCCTTCAGCACAGACCAAATAGTAGAGTTGAACAGGAGTGTTGTGGGAGTCACCACCCCTGTGTCTTTCAAGTCCTTGATGGTGGCACTAATCTCTGCAATCCCTTCAGGGATATGATAATGTTTTTGATATATTATTTTTCTAGGTAGAGGCAGCTCTAATGGCTTCCATTTGGCTGTTCCCATCATTATAGCCCTCACCCAACTGGTTAGGGAGCCAATGTGAAGCTTTTGCCAGCTGGTAATTATGTTTATGCCAATTATGCATTCTGGCACTGGAAAAATGACCACAGGTTGAGTCCGGGGACCCACTGGACCTACTTTAAGTTGAACCTGCGCTAAAACTCCATTAATTACCTGACCTCCATAAGCTCCTACCTTAACTGGAGTACCACAGTGATGTTTTGTGTCCCCTGGAATCAACATCAGCTCAGAGCCAGTGTCCAGTAGTCCCTGAAAAGTCTGATCATTCCCCTTTCTACAATGCACAATTACCCTGGTAAAAGGGCAGAGGTCTTCTTGGGGAAAAATGGGAGAAAGATTAACAGTATAAACTGTCAGTAGTGTAGTGGGGTCTTTCCCCAAGGGGACCTGGCCTACCCTTCATTAAAGGGGTTCTGTGTCTGTAAATTGGTTCAAGTCTGGAAATTGATTGAGGGGCTGTGATTCTCTATATTTATAATTCAAATTAGTCTTTTATTCACTCAACCTGGAAGTTTTCTGCTTTCACAAATCAAGTAAGAATGCAGTAGGCTTCCTAGCAATTTTACTTCTAGGAACACTGTAATTAATTAGCCAATGTCAGAGCTCTGCACAAGTCAGACTATTCTGATTGCTACTTTGCCTCTGTTGTCCCTTGTGGTAACTATGCCCACTTTGCCTTTGATGGTTGAGTGCTGCCACTTGGCTCCTGCCATCTCAGGATCCAATTGTTTTCATTGCCTTTAAGTTTTCCAATTGATTGACTGCAGTTCTCACTTTTAAGGTCTGGCATAAAGAGAAGAGCAATCACAGAGGTCTTCAAGGATGCAGGTGCTCCCCTCCCGAATCTGTGTCACAAGATATTAGTGAATGATATGTCTTCTAGACCTTCTGATATGGTTTGACTGTGTCTCCACCCAAATGTCACCTTTAATTTTGGTTCTCATAATCCCCAAGTGTCATGGGGGGGGGGACCCTGTGAGAGGTAATGTAATCATAGAGGCGGTTACCGTCATGCTGTTCTCTTAATGGTGAGTAAATTCTCACAAGATCTGATGGTTTTATAAGGGGCTTTTCCCCATTTTGCTTGGCACTTCTCCTTGCTGCCACCATGTGAAGAATGACGTTTTTGCTTTCCCTTCACCCATGATTGTAAGCTTCCTGAGGCCTCCACAGCCATGCTGAACTGTGAGTCAATTAAACCTCTTTTTGTTATAAATTACCAGGTCTCAGGCATATCTTTATTGGCAGTGTGAAAATGGATTAATACACTCTCCCAGTTCGAATGAGTAGGTCTAAAGTGACTAACCACTCTAGCATTTTAATCTCCCTAAGCCTTTGGATCCCTTCCTCTACATTAAACCAAGGGAGATCAGACATTTCTAGTTCACTCACAGTGGTCCATTTTTTGATCCGTGTTTCAGCTAACCAAGAAAATAAACGATTAGAACGTTTTTTTAACTCCCTGAGCTACAACATTAAATGCAGAATCCCTGCTTAGTGAGCCCGTATTAATAAATTCAGCCTAATTCAACATCATGTTACTTCCTCCATTATCCTTCACCCTTATTATCCAATCCCATACCTGTTCTCCAGATTTTTGCTTATATAAATTAGAAAACTCAAGCAGTTCTTTTGGAATGTAGCACACCTCCTCATGGGTCACACTCTGAACCTCACTTATAGGGGCCCACTGGGACATAAGTCTAGTTATAAGTCGAGAAGCAAACAGGGGTGTTGGAGGTGGGTCCTGAGGAGAATCAGCATTGTCTTGCCTGACAACTGCCTCAGGCAGTGCAGGGCTAATCTCAGAGAAAGGTGGGAAGACTGATGGCAGTGTGAGTGGGAGGGGGGTGTTGATACCATGGGACTGGGGAGGCTGTTTCCTCTGGCAAAAAAAGCGTCATCAGAATTTAGGAATTCAGTGCCCCCAACCTCTTCAGAGTCCTCTCACACATCCCCATTCGAAGTTGCAGGGCCCCATTCTTTTCCAATCAATGACCTCATTTGAATAGCAGACACCTGGCGAGGTTTGGCATGCATCTTTCATTGCAAGTCAGCCACTTACATGATAAGAGCTTATGTCTGATTTTCCACAATTTCAGCCCTTTGTTTACAAGAGATAAGACTCTCACTCAGGGCAATCTTAGAAGACTCAAGACTCAGTATGTGCTTCTGGAGCCTGGAGTTAGAATCCATGAGCTCATCATTTTCTTTCATCACTTTGTCCAGCAAACTTAGGAGCAACAAAACAACTTCATTACATTCCTTGGATCTCCACCTATGGTCAAAGTTATTATGTGCAGAGTCACTAAACTTGATTCTCAAGAGTAGTGAATCAGGAGTATCAAATGCATTCTATTGGGGGAACCTGCCCCCAATATTTCAACACAGGTTCTTTCAATTTTCCATAAGTGTCAGCTGGCTGGCAAATAAAGAGAGACAGTACAAAGAGAGGAATTTTACAGCTGGGCCGCTGGGGGTGACATCACTTATTGGTAGGACCGTGATGCCTGCCTGAGTCTCATACCAGCAAGTTTTTATTAAGGGTTTCAAAAAGTGGAGGGGGTGTGAGAACATGGAGTAGGTACAAAGATCACATGCTTCAAAGGGCAAAAAGCAGAACCACTAATAAGGGTCTAACAAAGATCACATGTTTCTGAGGGAACAGGACAAAGGGAAAAAGCAGAACTACAGATAAGGGTCCAACAAAGATCACAGGGCAAAGGGCAAAAACAGAACCACTGATAAGGGTCTATGTTCATTGGTGCACATATTGTCTTGATAAACATTTTAAACAGCAGAAAACAGGGTTTGAGAGCAGGGAACTTGTCTGACCACAAATTTGCCAGGGCAGGGTTTTCCCAACCCTAGTAAGCCTCAGGATACTGCAGGAGACCAGGGCATATCTCAGTCCTTATCTCAACTGCACAAGACAGACATTCCCAGAGCGGCTGTTTATAGACCTTCCCCCAGGAACGCATTCCCTCCAAATGGTATTGATATTAATATTCCTTGCTAGGAAAATAATTTAACAATATATTCCCTACTTGCACACCAGTTTATAGGGTCTATGCAAGAAGAAAAATATGGCTCTTTTTGCCTGACCCGCAGGCAGTCAGACCTTATGGTTGTCTTCCCTCGTTCCATAAAAATTGCTGTTACAATTTTCTTTCTCAAGGTGGACTGATTTCATATTGTTCAAACAATCAATTTGTACAGTTAATACAATTATCACAGTGGTCCTGAGGTGACGTACATCCTCAGCTTATGAAGATAATAGGATTATGAGATTAAAGTAAAGACAGGCATAAGAAATTATAGAAGTATTATTTGGGAATGGATATATGTCCATATTAATATGAAATCTTCACAACTTATGTTCCACTGCCATGGCTCCAGCTGGTACATCCATTCAGGGTCCCTGACTTCACGCAACAGCATTCATTTTACATAACTCTCTAAACTTTTCACACCTAAGACTACCAGTGTTCTCCATACTTTTGGAAGTAGAGTTCTTAGCATTTTGGCGTCTAATCAGATTAAGCATTCAACCCTAGAAACCCCATAACCAATTAAATAAATCCATCCTTAAAATTCTGATTCTATAGAACCACTCCTGGTAGCAAAAATCCATATTAGGGTTCTCTAGAGAAACAGGACTAATAAATATTTAATATATATATATAATATTATATTATATATGTATATATACTTTCATATATATTTTATATGTATAACATGTATATTTTATATATTATATAATAAATATTATATATATTATATATTTTATATTTTATATATATTATATATATTAAATATTTTATATACTATATATAACATATATTTTATAAATAGTATATTATATATTTTATATACTATATATAACATATATGTTATATATAGTATATTATATATTTTATATACTATATATAACATATATATATTTTATATACTATATATAACATATATGTTATATATAGTATATTATATATTTTATATACTATATATAACATAATTTACATAATACATAATATATATTTTATATATCATATATATTATATATATTTTATATATATATATTATATATAATATACAATATAATACATATTTTATAGATATAATATATAATATATGTATAAAATATGTATTATATATAATACATATTTTATCTATATAATACATATAAAATATGTATTATATATGATACATATAGAATATTTTTATATATAATATATTTTATATATAATACATATAAAATATGTATTATGTATAATACATATTTTATATATAATATATATATTTTCTAGATATCTATATTACATATATAATATATAGTATACATAATATATCATATATATTATATATTTTATATACATTATATATTACGTATATAATATATATTTTATATATTACGTATATAATACATATTTTATATATTACGTATATAATACATATTTTATATATTACGTATATAATACATATTTTATATATAATATATATTTTATATATGTTATATATGTAACATATATGACATAAAATATATGTCATATATGTAACATATATAACATATATTTTATATATATTATATATGTTACATATAATATATATTTTATATATAATATATTACATATATTATATATTTTATATACATTACATATATAATATATATTTTATATGCATTACATATATAATATATATTTTATATATTACATATAATATATTTTATATATTACATATATTATATATTTTATATATTACATATATATTATATATTTTATATATTATATATAATATATGTTTTATAGATATTACATGTATAATATATATTTTATAGATATTACATGTATAATATATATTTTATAGATATTACATGTATAATATATATTTCATAGATATTACATGTATAATATATATTTCATAGATATTACATGTATAATATATATTTCATAGATATTACATGTATAATATATATTTCATAGATATTACATGTATAATATATATTTTATAGATATTACATATATAATATATATTTTATAGATATTACATGTATAATATATATTTTATAGATATTACATGTATAATACATATTGTACATATTACATGTATAATATATATTTTATACATATTACATATATAATATATATTTTATACATATTACATATATAATATATACATGAAACTGAGTTCATTAAAGATAATTGACTCACATGATCACAAGGCAAAGTCTCATGATAGGTCATCTGCAAGATGAGGAGGAAGGACGCTAATAGTGACTCAGTCTTAGACCCAAAACCTCAAAAATAAAGAAGGTGACAGTGTAGCCTTCATTCTGTGGCTGAAGGCTGGAGAACCACTGGTGTAAGTTCAAGAGTTCAAAAGATGAACTTGGGGTCTGGTGTTCAAGGGCAGGTAGCATCCAGCAAGGGGAAAAAGATGAAAGCCAGAAGACTCAGCAAGTAAACTCCTTCCACCTTCTTCTGCCTGCTTTATTCTAGGTGCGCTGGCAGCAGATTAGATGGTGTCCACACAGATTGAGGGTGGGCCTGCCTTTCCCTGTCCACTGACTCAAATATTAATCTTCTGTGACAATACCCTCACAGACACACCCAGGAACAATACTTTTCATCCTTCAATCCAATATAGTTAACACTCAATAGTAACCATCACAGTAACTAATAAGTATTGATCCCTATGTGCTATACCTGCATAAGGATTATATATGTTATTTAATCTTCTCCCTAAGACTGTTAGATGTTTATAATTATAACCCCATTTTACTGGTAACTTATAAAAGTGAAACACTAAGAGAAGTAGTGTAGATATGGGCAAGTTTTTAGGTGGGGAAATAAATTAAGGTATATATTTTGTGTGCTTCACTTTGGCTTTGTAAAGCAGAAGATGAGTAAATCTACTGAGAATGAAGAAGAAGCTGATACAGTATAGGTTTGGGGTTTAATTGTGAAAGTTGGAAATAGTTGTGGAGAACTTGGAAGTGGCCTCCAAATAGAAATTATAGAAGACTTCCTGAGAAGGTCCGAGGAACTGAGGTTCAAGATTATGGATTTTCAAAAGTTCCTATCAACTTAATTGTGCCATTTTCTCCTGCTGTACTTGTATCCCAGTGAGCAGAGGAGGTGGACACCTGGTATTGACACCAGGATCACAGTCTTTCTCTGCAACTCCCAGAGCTGCCAGCACCTTGAAGACATCAGTGTTCACATGATGGCCAATAAAATATGACATCATCAAATATCCTTTACTCTCTCCATTCCAATTATCTTCCACTCTACTCCATTTAACCCATTCACTCCATGTTCATTTCATGAACCACATTATGAACTTTATTTGCAAAATATATATTCTGAGACCTCATTATCAGTACTTAAGTTGTCCATCTTTTCCAAAGCCATGAGATTTCTCTTATCAACCCAGATCTCAAGTTGAATCATTTTATCCATTTAGAGTTTTTTAAGAATTCTCTTTCTGTCCTCTCTCGCTCTCTCTTTCTCTCCCCCCTGCGGAGTCAAATCTTAATAGCCAAGACATTGAGGGAAATGCCTCAAAGACATTTCAGAGACCTCCACAGCAGCCCTACCCATAGCAAGCCTGGTAACTTAGGAGTAAAGTATGGTTTCATAGGCCAGGCCCAGGGGCTGGCTGCCCTTCACAACCTTGGAAAACTACTGCTTCCTGCCTCCCAGCCACTCCATCTCCAGGTGTGGCTAAACGACCCCCAATTATAGTCCAGGCCACTGTTCCAGAATGTGCAATCTGCCTTAGCAGTTTCCACGTGGTGTTAAGCCTGTGGGTACACAAAGGGCAAGAGCTGAGTATCGGGAACTTCTGCATAGATTTCAGAGGATGTGTGAAAAATGCCTGGATGTCCAAGCAGAAGTCTGCTGCAGGGGCAGAGCCCTCATGGACAACCTCTATGAGGACAGTGCATGGGAAAAAATATAAGGTTGGAGCCCTCACACAGAATTCTCACTGGGGCACTCCCTAATGGAGCTGTGAGAAGATGTCCAGTGTCCTACAGAACTCAGAATCGTTGATCAACCAACAGCTTGCACCATGCACCTGAAAAATCACAGGTTCTCAATGCTGGGCTGGGAAAACAACTACGAGGACTGTACCTTGCATAGCTACAGGCGCAGGGCTGCCCAAGTCCTTGGTCGCCCACTCCTTGCATCAGTGTTGCCTGGATGTGAGACATGGAGTTAAACGGGATTATTCTGGAACTTTAAGATGTAATTAATGCCATGCTGGCTTTAAAACTCACATGGGCCCTGTAGCCCCTTTGTTTGTGCTGATTTATCCCTTTTGGAACAAGTGTATTTACCCAATTTCTGAACCCCCATTGTATCTTGGAAGTAGCTAACTTGTTTTTAATTTTACAGGCTTATAGATGGAAGGGACTTGCCTCATCTCAAATGAGGCTTTGAACTGTGGAATTTTGAATTAATGCTAAAAGGAGTTAAGACTTTAGAGACTATTGAGAAGGAATTATTGCATTTTGCAATGGGAGAATGACATGATATTTGAGAGGGGCTAGGGGCAGAATGATAAGGTTTGGGTTTGTGTCCCTGCCCAAATCTCATGTTGAATTGTAATCCCCAGTGCTGGAGGAGTGGCCTAGGATGAGGTATTTGAGTCATGGGAGTGGATTTCCTACATGCTTTACTCATCATGGTGAGTGAGTTCTCTCGATATCTAGTCTAGTCATTTAAAAGTGTGTAGCACCTTCTTCTTTGCTCTCTTCCTCTTGCTCTAGACATGTAGGTTGTGCCTACTTCCCTTTCAACATTCACCATAATTTTAAGTTTCCTGATATCTTGCTTCCTACACAGCCTGCAGAGCCATGAGCAAATCAAACTTCTTTTCTTTATAAATTTCCCAGTCTCAGGTAGTTCTTTCTAGCAATGTGAGAACAGACTAATACAGTGTATATATATTTAAGATAGTTAGGTCTTCTTGTTGATCTGGACCCTTTACCATTATGAAATACCTTTCTTTTTGTCTTTTTTGGTCTTCGTTGTTTAATAATGCAACTCCTCCTTTTTTTTTTTTTTCATTTTCTTGGTAGTTTTTTTTTCCATCTCTCTATTCTGAGCCTAAATGTGTTGTTGCATGTGAGATGGGTTTCTTGAAGACAGTATGTCATTGGATCTTGGTTCTCTATACAGCTTACTACTTTGTGCCTTTTAATTGGGGCCTTTAGCCCATTTTCAATAAATGGTAGTATTGATAAATGTAAATTCGATCCTGTCATCATGATGTTACCTGGTTGTTATATAGACTTACTTGTGTGGTTGCTTTATAGTGTCACTGGTTTGTGTACTTAAGTATGTTTATGTAGTGGCTGGTATGGTATTTTAATATTTAGTGCTTCCTTCTGGGTTCTTGTAAGGCGTGTCTGGTGACAGCAAATTATTTCAGTATTTGCTTGTCTGAAAATGATCTTATTTCTCCTTTGCTTATAAAGCTTAGTTTGGCCAGATATAAAATTCGTGGTTGGAACTTTGTTTCTTTAAGAATGTTAAATGTTGGCCCTCAATATCTCTGGCTTGTAGAGTTTCTGCTAAGAGATTCATTGTTTCTCTGATGGGCTTCTTTTTGTGGGTGACCTGACCTTTCTAGCTGCCTTTAATATTTTCTCATTTTGATATTGTACAATTATATCAGTATGTGTCTTGGTGATAATCTTTTTCTGAAATATGTAACTCGGCTTCTAATTTGAATGTTGGCTGCTCTAGCTAGGTTGGAAAAGTTCTCATATATGATAACCTAAAATATGTCCTCCAAGTTGCTTCCACTCCCCATCTCTTCCAGAGACACCAATGAGTCATATATTTGGTCTCTTTAAATAATCCCATACTTCTAGGCAGTATTATTTATTTTTTCTCTTCATTTGATACTGTTTTATTTAAGAAAACCAGTCTTTCAACTCTAATATTTTTTGGCTTGGTCTATTCTGCTATTAATACTTGCATTTTGAAATTATTATAGTGTGTTTTTCATCTCTATCAGGTCAGTTACATTCTTTTCTATACTGGCTATTTTGTCTGTCATATCATTTATCATTTTATTATAATTTTTAGCTTCCTTGGAATGGATTTTAACATACTGCTGCATCTCGATCATCTTCATTCATTCTCATGTTTGGAAACGTTATTTCTATCATTTTAATCATCTCAGCCTGGTTCAGAACACTTGCTGAAAAGTTAGTGGGTCATTTGGAAGAAAGAAGACACTTTGGCTTTTAAAGTTGTCAAGAGTTCTTGTGCTGGCTCTTTCTCATTTTGTGGGCTGGTGTTATTTTAGTCTTTGAAGTTGCTGTCTTTTGGATTTTTTTAAATCCTATTTGATGGCCTTGAGGGTTTGTGTTATAAGCTAGGTTCAGTTAACTGGCTTCATTTCTGGACTATTTTAAGGAGCAAAAGCTCAGCTCACAACTTTTATACTGTGTGCGGTAACTCTGGAAGATAAATATTGGAGCCCAATGTAGTTCTTTGTCTTCTCAAATTTAGGAATTCGGTGCACTTGTGGGTCTTAGGTGTGACTGGACCACTGGTCCAAGCACTCTGATGGGTGGTGTCAGCCAAAGCATTTAATAGGGCTGTGGCAGTGGAATCCATCTTTATTCATGCCTTCTAGCAACAGCAACAGTAGCAGCATGGTGGGCTGTATGCTTGTTTGCTGTGGCAGGATGTTAGCAGGTGAAAGCTTGCTCACCTTTGTGAGAATATTTGCAACAGTAACAGACATAGCACAGTGCAAGGGTGTGTGGGGGGGTCTGCTACTCATGACTGCATGTAATTTGTCCTGGTGGTAGTGTTAGCATGTGAGTGGGGTGCTGGTGGGCACGGGGTGGTGTTCACCCTCTGTGCATGTTTACACAGATAGAGGAGGCCATGCAGGATGGGGAAGGATCAGCTGTTCTTCTTGCTTAGTTTCACCCCCAGCAGCAGTGTTGGTGCAGGAGTGGGGTGCCATTGGGGGCAAGGTCAGCAGGCTCTGTGGCCACCAAGGCTCTGACTGCAATGGCAGTACAGTGAGGGAGGGGGGTGGATTGCACTTACACTGGTGGCAGTGGCAGGGCAGGGTGCATGCCTGTGTACATTCTGGTGGGGCAGGTAGGGCATGATCCACCTGTGCATACATATGCCAGCAAAGTGATGTTGGTGATGGCCATGGGGTTGAAGGAAGCTTCAGAGGGGTAGAGAGTGAGTGGGCTTGTGTATGACTGCGGGGGCCGACCCACTGAAGCTCTCCAACAGTCAGGGGCAGTCCATCAGCACAAAAGCTATGATGTGGGCCCAAAGAGCATCCATTCCCCACAGTTGTTAGAGACCAGGGATGAGTTCCAGGCACAGGGTTCTCAGCTAGCTGACTCTTCAGCCTGGCTTATGTATCTTCCTTCAGTGTCTTTCCTCTGAAGTTCTGTTAGGAGTGTGTCAGTCATATCAGTCCCTTGGTGACAGCTGCTCCACTGGTTGTGTCTAGTCGGTCATCTTGCCAGGTTTTCTCCATTTCTTCTTATATTTTCACTTTTATTTATTCCATAAACAACCATTACTTTGCTACTTTCATTGCCTCAAATAGGTAACTGTCAACTTGAAAAACTTGAAAAATGAAAAATAATTATTTAACTTTAATTTATTCCACTTCTCAGAATTTTTTATGCATATTTAGTCTTCACTACTGTATCACGTTTCTTCTTTTTGAAGAATTTTCTACAAAATTTCTTGTATAGAAGCCCTTCTAACAAGAAATTATTTCCTTTTTTTGGCAAAGTATTTATTTCTATTTTTGACTAATATTTTTCCCAAATACGTAATTTGGTTTGACTTTTTTTCCTACAGAAACTTTAAAGCGGCCACCCCATTTTATTATTCCTTTCACAATTTCCAAGGAGAATTCCACTGTAACTCTTATTGGTGTTACTCAAAATGTAAGCACAAACTTTCTCTCTCAATTATCTCCCATTTTTTCCTTTGTCTTTGGTTTTAAGAAGTTGAACATTATATGTCTAGGTTTAGTGTTATTGGTATTTATTCTGCTTGGTGTTTTCTGAGCTTCCGCACATTTGCTTTGGTTTCTGCCAGGAATTTTGAGAAGTTATTGGCTACTATTTATTTTATTTCTGTATATTATGTTAAAAATGCTTAATATGAGATCTACTCTTAAATTTTTAAGTGTGCAATACATTATTCTTGACTATAGGTGCAATAATATATAGCAAATCTCTAGAGATTGTTCATCTTACTTTACTAAAACTTTATACCTATTGATTAGTAACTAGTCATTACATACCCCACTCCAGGCCCATGGCAATCACCATTTCACTTTTGATTCCAGAAATTTGCCTATTTAGATATCTCATATAAGCGGAAGCATGCATTTGTCTTAGTCCACTCTCTGTTGCTTACAACAAAATACTTGAAACACAGTGGGTAATCTATAGCAAAAAGGAATTTATTTTTTATAGTTATAGAGACTGAGAAGTTCAAGGTCAAGGGGTCCCATCTGATGAGAACCTTCTTCCTGCTGGGAACGTTCTGCCGAAGCTGAAACCTCACATCTCTGCTTATCTTTGCTCTTTTGGGGGCTCTCTCTGAAAAATCTCTATCTGGATGCCTTGGATTTTGACAACATCCTTTGACATGTGGTAGAGGCTGTCAACCCTTTTCATGTCTTTCTTTCTTCAAATCTGAAGAACTATCACCATGTGGATGTTGCCAAGGTTTATTACTTGTTATTCCTGGATCTGAAGCATGAGATGCACTTAACACCTCTTGAGCCATGATTTCGGCTGGCTATGAAACACTGCAATGGTGTGTGGGGACCAGTGTTCTAAGGTGACTCTTAGTAGTGAGCCCATGGAGAGTGTCCAGGCCTGCTGCCTGAAACCTGAAACCAGTCTGCCCTTCTAGGTGTTTGATTCCATGATGAAAGTGGCAGCCTTGAAAATATCTGAAATGCTTTTTTCTTCCATTGTCTTGAGGAATAGCACCTAGCTCTTTTCTATGTGTGTTTATTTAGAAAATGGCGATTGGGCTACACCCTTGGTTTTCTCTCCTGGACACATTTTTGTACTGGCCACTTTTGTGGCCAGGCTAAGAATTTTCCAAATAAGTTTACTCTGTTTTCCTTTTAATTATGAATGCTGTTTTTAAATTGTTCTTTTTCTTCAGAATATCACTGTGAGTGGCCAAAATTATCCAAGAACCTCCTTCTATATTTTGTGTAGAAATTTCTTCTGCAAAATATCCTGCCATATCACTCACAAGTTCAGCCTTCCACAAAGCCCTTGGGCATGGACAAAATTCATCCAAGACATTTGCCAATTTATGAGAAGGATGGCCTTTACTTCAATTTCCGTTCCTTACTCTTCAGTTCTATCTAAAACGTCATCTGAATGGCCTTTACCTTTCTACATCTATCAGCATTCTGGACATGACCACTTAAAAAAGCTCTAAAAAGGTTTAAATTTTTTCTTGTCTTTTTGTCTTCTACATCCTCACCAGAATCTGGGCTTTTTCTAGCCTTTTTCTCTAAATTCTTCTAGCATGTGTCAATTGCTCATTTTCAAATCTACTCCCACACTTTTGAATATTTATTATCAGTAAAACCTCACCCCTTGGTACCAATTTTTGTCTTGGTCTATTTTCTGTTGCTTATGACAAAATACCTATAACTGGATGAGTTATAAAGAAATAAAATTAATTTTTACTGCTTTTGGGGCTGCAAAGTTAAAGATCAAGGAGCCAGATCAAATGAAGGCCTTCTTGCTGTTGTGGCCTCTCTGCAGAGTCCCAAGGTGGCAGAGGGAATCACAGGGCTGGGGATCTGAGTGTGCCAACTCAGGTTTTTCCTCTTCTTATAAAGCAACACATTTACTCCCATGATAACTTATTAATTGAATCTCTCATTAATCTCTTAATTTATTAATCCATTAAGACTAATCCATATATAGGGGCAGAGCCCTCTTGATTCAAACACCTGTTAAAGGCCCCATCTCCCAATACTGCCAAATTGGGAATTAAATGTCAACATGAGTTTTAGAGGGAAAAAATACACCATAGCTCTTAGCAGCATTTAAAATGTTGTTACATATTTCAGAATTTACATTTTTTAAAGGAAAATTGTATTCTATTGTGTATGTATACACCACATTTTATTGATGGAATAATTTGTCAATAAATACTTGTTTGTTTCCACATATTAGCTACTGTGAATATAATTACAATGGATATAAGGGTAATAATACCTTCTTGAGATTATAATTTCTATTCTTTTGGATGAATGCTTAGAAGTGGGATTGACAAATAGTATGTTAGTTTTATTTTAAATTTTTTGAGAAAGTTGCAAACTGTTTTATTTATCAGCTGTACCATTTTGCAGTCCCATGTACAGTGTACCAAACTTCCATTTTTTTCACATCATCACCAACACTTGTTGTCTTTTACTTTTTTTGGTAGCAGCCATTCTGAAAGTTGCAAGGTGATATTGCATAGTCGTTTTAATTTGCATTGTTCTGATGATTAGTGTGAGTAAGCATTTAAAAATATATCTATTGGCCATTTGCATGTCTTCTCTAGACAAATATCTACCTATGTTCTTAGCCCCTTTTAAAAATCAAAATATTAGAGTTTTTTTGCTATTGAATTATAGATGTTCCTTATTTTTTTTGAGTTTATCTCTTATCAAATATATTGTTTCCAAATACATCTCATTCTGTAGGTTGCATCTTCACTCTGTTGATTGTTCCCTTTGCTGTACAGAAGTTTTTGGTTTTATGTAGTTTCACTTGTTCATTTTTGGTTTTGTTGTCTATACTTTTCATGCCATAGCTGAGAAATCATTGCCAAGACCGTTAAAAATGATTTTAATGTGTTTTAAAACTTTTACAGTTTCCATATTGAGTTAATTTTTTATTATGATGTAAAATAAAGATTAAGTTTTTTCTTTCACATGTGTGGGGGAAGTTTTTCCAATGGCATTTGTTGAAGAGACTATCATTTTTCATTGTATTTTCTTGGCAGACTTATAAAAGATCCATTGACCATACATGTATGAATTCTTTTTTTTCTGAGCCCTGTTTTGTTCCATTGGTCTATCTATCTTATTTTATGCCATACTCTTTTAACAGCTATAGTGTTACAACATATTTTGACATCATAAAATGTGATACATTTAACTTTTGTTTACTGAAGATTGATTTGGCTAAGTGTGGCCCTTTGTGTTTTCAAATAAATTTTATATATACATTTTTATTTTTGTAAAGAGTACCAATTTGATTATCATAAAATTGCATTAAATTTGTAGATCACTTTCAATAGTATGAACATTTTAACAACATTGTCCCCCAATTAATTAACACAAGATTTTTTAATGTATGTGGTCTTGTTTAATTTAGTTTATCATTTTTTAAATTATTTAATATAGATGTCTTTTGTCTCTTTGTTTATTCCTAGTCTTACTTACATTTTTGTAAGGGGTGCTAATTTGAATTGAATTGTTTTCCTAATTTTCTTTCCAGATGCTTTGTTTTTAGTGTATAGAACTGTAACTGGTTTTTGTATGTTGATTTTGTATTATGAAACTATTGGGGGTGGAGGAAAAAGATGGCTGACTACAAGCAGCTAGTGTGTGGTTCTCTCATTGAAAGAAGAAAAAGTCAAGGGGCAAGGCCAAGACAGTCAACTAGAAACAGCTGCTGTCGAAGGCTCTCACTGAGAAGAACCAAAAGAGTGTAGGAATCCTGCACCAGCAACCGAGGTATCCAGGTTCTGACATCTGGACTGACTAGGCTGTTGGTGTGACCCACAGAGAGCAAGGAAAAGCAAGGTGGTTCAATTGCCCACTTGAGAGCCACATGGGCCAAGGGGACCGCCCCACCCACAGACAAGGAAGGCAATGAATAATAGTGCTACCCCACCTGGGAAACTGTGCTTTTTCCATGGATTTGTGCAACCCACAGATCAGAAGATTCCACTCATGAGCCCATGCCATGAGGACCTTGGGTCCCAACAACAGAGCCACGCACATTCTCAACAGCCACTTTGCTGGAAACTGCCTAAGACTACTGAGCTCTCTGAGGAGGGGTAGCCATCATCACTGTGGCTGTCTGCTGCCTAGGGTGACTTAGACACCTAAGGAAGGGGCAGCAGCCATCACCATGGCTGCCTGTGCCTAAGACAAATGAGCTCCCTGAGGGAGAGTCAGCAGCCTTCACTGTGCCTACCTGCTGTCTAAGACAACTGAGCTCCCAGAAGAGGGGTGGCCATGGTCACTGTGGCTGCTTGATCCCTAAGACAACTGAACTCCCAGGAGGGAACGGCGTCAGCCATCACTGCAGCTCCAGTCCACCGTTTTTGCCCTGCTTGTGCCAGACAGACTGGATGGCTTGGACCCAAGAGTAATTCCCCACAGTGCAGCACCACAGCTGTGGCAGATTGTGGCCAGACCACCTCTTTAGGCCAGACCTTGACCCACCCCTTCTCACTGGGTGGGGCCTTCCTGCAGGATATTTGGCAACTCCAGCCAGGGACTTAGGAAAAAAACTCTGATATCCCTGGGCTTCAGCCCCTTGGAAGAGGGGTGGCCTTGGTCTCCACAGACCAGCAGACTTAGTATTTCCCCCTGCTGGCTCTGAGGAACCTGGGCAGCCCAGATGAGTGGGCTTCCCTCTAGCATAGCACACGCCCTCCACCAAGTGTCAGTCAGAGTGCTTCATTAAGCAGGTCTTGGATCCCAAGCCCCTTGACTGAGTGAGAACCCCCAACAGAGGTTATCACCAGACACCTTATGCAGGAGTGTTCCTGCTGGCATCCAGGTGGTGCCCTTCAAAGACAGAAATCACAGGCAACAATCTTTGCTGCTCTCCAGCCTCCTTGTGGTGGAACCAGGTGTGGGTGGGACCCAGGAGAATAGGGACTGAAGTGAACCCCCAGAAAACTACAGCAGCCCTACAGAAAAGAGGCCTGACTGTTAACAGAAAAACAAATGAACAGAAAACAACAATAACAGCATCAACAAGAAAGTCCCCACAAAAACCCCATTTAAAGGTAAGCAGTCTCAAAGATTGAAACTAGACAAACTCATAAAGATGAGAAAGAATCAACAAAAAATTGCTGAAAACTGAGATGGCCAGAGTTCTACTTCTCTTCCAAATAATTGCAACAACTCTCCAGCAAGGGCACAGAACTGGACGGAGGATGAGATGAATGAACTAACAGAAATAGGCTTCAGAATGTGGGTAATAACAAACTTCACTGAGCTAAAGGAGCATGTTCTAACCCAATGCAAAGAAACTAAGAACAATGATAAAATGTTACAGGAGCTGTTAACTAGAATAGTCAGTTGAGGGAGAAACATAAATGAACTGATGGAGCTTAAAAACATAGCTCGAGAACTTTGAGACACAAACACAAGTATGAATAACCGAACTGATCAGGCAGAAGAAAGAATAGCAGAACTTGAAGACTATCTTGCTGAAATAAGGTAGGTAGAAAAGATTAGAGAAAAAAAATGAAAAGAAATAAACCAAATGTCCAAGAACTATGGAACTATGTAAAAGACTGAACGTATGACTGATTGAAGTACTGAAAAGACTGGGAGAATGGAACCAAGCTGAAAAACACACTTCAGGATATAATCCAGAACTTCCCCAACCTAGCAAGACAGGCCAGCATTCAAATTCAGGAATTCCAGAGAACCCCAGTAGATACTCCAAGAGAAGAACAACCCCAAGACACATAATCATCAGATTCTCCAATGTCAAAATGAAGGAAAATGAGATTAAGGACAGCCAGAGAGTAAGGCCAGGTCACCTACAAAGGGAAACCCACCAAACAGCGAACCTCTCAGCAGACACCCTACAAGCCAGAAGAGAGTCGGCACTCAACTAAAAACTTCTAAACAGCAAAAGAAACCACCATCAGAGTGAACAGACAATGTACAGAATGGGAGAAAATTTTTTCAATCTATCCATCTGACAAAGGTCTAATATCAAGATTCTACAAGGAACTTAAATAAATTTACAAGAAGAAAACAACCCCATCAAAAAACTGTGCAAAGGATATGAACAGACACTTCTTAAAAGAAGACATTTATGTGGCCAACAAATATGAAAAAACAGCTCAATGTCACTGATCATTAGAGAAATGCAAATCAAAATCACAATGAGATACCATTACACACCAGTCAGAATGAAGATTTTTAAAAGTCAAGAAACAACAGATGCTGGAAAGGCTGTGGAGTAATAGGAATACTTTTACACTGTTGTTAGGAATGTTATTTAGTTCAACCATTGTGGAAGGCAGTGTGATAATTCCTCAAAGATCTAGAAACAGAAATACCATTTGACCCAGCAATCTCATTACTGGGTACATACCCAAAGAAATATAAATCATTCTATTATAAAGATGCATGTACGTGCATGTTCACTGCAGCACTATTCACAATAGAAAAGACTTGGAACCACCCAAATGCCCATCAATGATAGACTGAATAAAGAAAATGTGGCACATATACGCCATGCAATACTATCCAGCCATAAAAATGATTGAGATCATGTCCTTTGCAGGGACATGGATGGGGCTGGAAGCCACTATCTTCAACAAAGTAACACACAAACAAAACCAAACACTGTATGTTCTCACTTATAAGTGTGAGCTGAACAATGAGAACACATGGACACAGGGAGGGGAACAACACACACTGGGGCCTGTCAGGGATGCAGGGAGAGGGAAAGTATCAGGATAAATAGCTAACACATGCAGGGCTTAATAACTAGGTGATGAGTTGATAGGTGCAGCAAACCACCATGGCACACTTTTAACTTTGTAACAAACCTGCATGTCCTGCACATGTATCCCAGAGCTTAAAATTAAATTAAACTAAATTTAAATTAAATTAAAAAGAAAGAAAGAAGAAAAAGTCATGAGGAAATTCTAGATCTTCAACTGAAATATCCAGGTGGACACATTGAAATTCATTGAGGAAAAAATTTGACACACAGAAAATGGAGAGGGGCGAGACAGGATGACTGCCAACCTAAGAGTGGCAAAGAGACATGGTTTTCTTACCATGAGGAAATAGTAAATGAGTGAGAGTCCCTCAAGACTCATACATCTTCCATGAACCTTTTCAACCTTAGGCTCAGGAGATCCCCTAATGAGCCCACTCCCCTGGGGCCTTCAGACTGACATGCAGAGCTACATGTAGTCTGGGCAGAGACACTGTTCAGGTGCACACAGAGTCCAGGAAGCCTTGAATCTCCAAACATACCAGCATTAGTGGCTGCAGCTCTGGCAATGGGGGAGATCACGCTCCCTCACGTGACCACAAGACAGGAGCCAAACCCAGGAGGTTGAACACTGATGGACTGCAGGTTGAACATTGATGGGCTGCAGGCTTAACTTCCACTGCATTTCACAAGATAAGGCCCACTGGCCTGGGACTCCATGCACCACCCACCAGAGCTGTTGAGCCAGTAGCCACTCTGCACTTGTGGGAATGGAGCTCTCACAGGAAGAGGCAAACTGCCATTTTTGCTGTCTTGCAGCCTTTGCCACTGTTGCCTTCAGGCCCCAGAGAGTGTGCAGTTACTACGGACTGGCAGGGATACCCAGCACAATGCAGCCATCCCACAGAAAAAGCAGCCAGACTGGTTTTTATGCAGGTTCCTGATCCTCCTTCTCTTCAATGTGTGAGAATTCTCAATCCAAGACTTCAGTTATCCCTTCCCAGGGCTCTCAGGCTGGTAGCAGCTCTGCATTTCCCCAGGACAGAGCTCTCACAGGGAGAGGCAAGCTTCCATTTCTGCTTTCTTGAAACCCATGCTACTGTTGCCTTCAAACTACAGAGAGTGCACAGTGACTAGAGGCAAGGAATGGATCCCCAGAAAAATGCAGCCACCTCATGGATCTCCTTTGTTACACAGCCACCTGCATAATAAAGTGGCCACACTTTATTGCACAACTTCCTGGTTCTGTTTCTCCTTACTGGGTGGGGCCTCCTTACCTCGGGTTCCAGCATAACTACTCTGCCCCCACACAAACACTTTAGTGGAGGTGGTTCTGCAGTTCTTTGAGGAGGAAATTCCAGGGACAATCCACAACTCTTCCACTATTGTAGCTACAGTGGTACCACCCTAACTGCTTTTGGGCTAGGGAAGGAATAAAGGACCTAGTTATTATCCTGACACCTCCAGCACACTGCAGCCACAATACAGAGAGGGATCCAGTCCCTCTTCCTTGGAAGCCCCCACGTACAACTCTTCACCAGGCAGGGCCCTGGTTCAGGACCACAGATCAGGTGACCCACCCACAGCTGAGACCCACCCACAGCTGAGCTCAGAGCCACTGGTAGTGGCTCTGAGATTTCCTGGGAAGGGGTTCCAAAAGACAATAAACATCCCCTCTGCCACTGCCACAGCAGCAGTTTTGCCCCTGCTGCCTTCTGTTTGGGCAAAAATAAATAGTCAGGGCTTCAACTCTGCTCCCAGCATGCCACAGTCACAACCTGTAGAGTAGCTCAGTCTCCTCCCTGTGAGCAGTGCAGCCATCCCACCACCAGCTGAACAATTCCAGTAGCAGTGGCTTTACATTTCCCTGAGGTGGAGCTCCAAGAAGCAACACAAATCCCCTCTCTTACTGCCACTTCAGTGGTACTGCCCTTGCTGCCTTTGGATGGGCAAAGGAGAAAAGACCCTGAGTGCTTTAACCACATCTCGAGCAAGTTGTAGTTGCCCTAAGGAGAAAAAGGCAGTCTGTCTACCCCATGACCCACCCTTCACCTCTGCTCATTACCAAGCAGGCCCCCCCTGGCTTGGGCTCACAGCACAGCCACCCCATCCCAGACCAATAACATTGATTGATAGCAGCCCTGAATGTCTCTGGGGTGGAGTTCCAAGAAATAAGTGAAAGGCTTCCTGCCATAACCACAGCTAAGGTCCCTTCCCCTTCTGTCTGCATGCTTGAGAGTTGGGTGGGACATAAAGCCTGAGCTCCTGAGAAAATACCTTGTGAGAAAATACATAGGAGCCATGTGGGTGAGTAAGAGCCCCCTTACTGCTCATTATGCTTAAGTGCCACATACAGGATCACACATGAAATCTTCAACACCAAAAATACTTTGCTGATATACCTCCATGTGAAACCAAGGGCAAGAATTCATCTACAAATGAAGACTCTGCACAAAGACTTAGCTCTCTGAAAACATCCAGGAAAAAAAAGTCTACTGACTGCATTCAAATTGTGTCACAACTAAAGGAAACATGTCCAAACAGATGAGAAAAAAACCTGTGCAAAAGCTATGAAAATTATGAGAAATATGGGATTTTCTAAAGAGACCAACTCTATGACTCACTGGTGTCCCTGAAAGACATAGTGAGAAAGCGGGCAACTTGGAAAACATATTTCAGGATACTGTCCATGAAAATTTCCACAACTTCACTACAGAAACCAACATTTAAATTCAGGAAATGCAGAGAACTCTGTGAAATAATACACAAGAAATCCATCCCTTAGATGCATAGTCATAAGATTCCCCAAGGTCAAAATGAAGAAAAAATGTTATAGACAGGTAGAAAGAAGGGGCAGATTACCTATAAAGGGACCACAACAGGCTAACAGTGGACTTATCAGCATAAACCCTGCAAGTCAGAAGATAATGAAGACCTACATGCAGCAGTCTTAAAGAAAATAATTTGCCATCAATGTTTTTACGTCTAGCCAAACTAAACTTTATAAATGGAGAAGAAACAAAATCCTTTTCAGAAAAGAAAATGCTAAGGAATTTATTACCACGAGATCTGACTTATGAGAGGTCCTAAAAGGAATGCTAAATATGCAAAGAAAAGACTATTACTGGCCACTACAAAAACACGCTTATATACACAGATCAGTGACACTATAAAGCAACCACAAAAGTAAGTCTACATAATAACCAGTTAACAACGTGATGACAGGAACAATTCTGCACATATCATTACTAACCTTGAATGTAAATGGGCTAAGTACTCCAATTAAAAGGCACAGAGTGGTAAGCTGGATAAAGTAGCAAGAACCAATAGCATGCTGTCTTCAAGATTGTCATCTCACATTCAGTGACCCCCATAGACTCAAAATAAACAAATAGAGAGAAACCTAGCAAGCAAATGGAAAACAGAAAAAAGGAGGAGTTACAATCCTAATTTCAGACAAAACGGACTTTACACCAACAAAAATTAAAAATGAAAAAAAGCATTACATAATGGTAAAAGATTTAATTTCACAAGAAGACCTAACTATCCTCAATATATATGGATCCAACACCTACTCATAAAGTGCGTGTTTATTTATATTCAGAAAGCAATTTTTAGACACCTACAAAGAGACTTAGATTCCAGCACAATAATAGTGAGAGACTTTGTCACCCCACTGACAGTATTAGACAGGTCATACAGACAGAAAATTAACAAAGATATTCAGGACTCCAACTGAGCACTGGATCACATGAACCTGTTCCAGTGCTCAGTTGAAGTCCTAAATATCCACATGGACCCAATCACATAGAAATATACAGAACTCTCCACCCAAAAGCAACAGGATGTACATTTTTTTCTTTGCAACATGGCAGCTACTGTAAGATCAATCACAAATCAGACATAAAACAATCCCTAGCAAATTAAAAAATAAACACTGAAATTATACCAAGCACACTGTCAAACCACAGTGCAATAAAAATAAAAATCAATACTTAAAAATCTCTCAAAACCATGCGATAACTTGGAAATTAAATAACTGGCTCCTGAATGACATTTAGTAAATAAAGAAATTAGGAAAAATTTATGAAATTCTTTAAAACTAGTGAGAACAAAGATACAAAATACCAGAGTATTTCAGAGACAGCTAAAGTAGTCTTAAGAGAAATTTATAGCACTAAATGTTCACATCATAAAGAAAGGACTCCAATTAACAACATAGTATCACAATGACAGAAACTAGAGAAACAAGAACAAACCAATTACAAAGCTAGTAGAAAAGAGGAAATAAACGAATTAGAACGGAACTAAAAGAAAAAAAACAGAGACACACAAAATATACATAAGAACAATAAATCCAGGAGTTGGTTATTTAAAAAAAATAACAAGATAGACAACTAGCTGGACACATAAAAAAGAGACAGAATCCAAGTAAGCACAATTAGAAAAGACAAAAGGGACATTAGCACTGTCCCCAAAGAAATGTAATAAAACCTTCAGAAACGACTGCAAACACCTCTATGCACATGAACTAGAATACCTAGAAAAACAGATTCCTGGAAACATACCACCTCCCAAGAGTAAACCAGGAAGAAATCAAATCCCTGAACAAACCAGCAATGAGCTCCAAAATTGAAAGAGTGATAAAAAGCCTACCAGCCACAAAGGCTCAAGAGCAAACAGATTCACAGCTTAATTCTACAAGATGTATAAAGATGAGCTGATATTCTTTCTACTGAAACTATTCAAAAAAATTGAGGAGAAGGAAATCCTTCCCAACTCTTTCTATGAGGCCAGAGTCATTCTGATATCAAAACTTAGCAGAGATAAAACAAAAGCAGAAAACCTCAGGGCAGTATACCTAATGAACAGAGATTCAAAAATTATCAATAAAATACTGGGAATACAGCAGCACATCAAAAAGCTAAAGCACTGGGATCAAGTAGACTATATCTGTGGGCAGCAAGGTTAGTTCAACATGTAAATTAATAAATGTGATTTATTACATAAACAGAACAAAATAAAAACCACATGATTATCTCAATAGATGCAGAAAAGGATTTTCATAATATTCAACATGCTTCACGTAATAATCCTCAATAAACTAGGCATTGAATGAATATAGTTCAACATAGTAAGATCCATCTATGACAAACCCACAGCCAATATCATACTGAATGGGAAAAAGCTGAAAGCATTCCCTTCTGAAAATCACCATAAGTCAAGGACAGCCTGTTACCACTCCTATTCAACATAGAATTGGAAGTCCTGGCCACAGAAATCAATCCAGAGATAGAAATAAAAGATATCCAAATAAGAAGAGAGGAAGTCAAACTATCTCTGTTTGCAGATGACATGATTCTATTACTGGAAAACTCTATAGTCTCTTCTCAAAAGCTCCTTGGCCTGATAAAAAACTTCAGCAAAGTTTCAGAATACAAAATTAATGTACAAAAATCAGTAGCATTCCTATACACCAACAACTTCGAAGCTACAAGCCAAATCAGGAATGCAATTCTATTCACACTAGCCACCAGAAGAATAAAATATCTAAAGATCTCAACAGTAAGAATTACAAAACACTACTCAAAGAAATCAGGGACGACACAAAGAAATATAAAACATTTTGTGTTTACAGATAGGAAGAATCAATATCATTAAAATTACCATACTGCTCAAAGCAATGTACATATTCAATGCTATTTCTATCAAACTACCGATGACATTCTTCACAGAATTGGAAAAACTATTTTAAGATTCATATGGAATCAAGAAAGGCTTGACTAGCCAGGAAAATCCTAAGTACATAGAAGAAAGCTAGAAGCATCATGTCGCTTGACTTCAAACTTTATTACAAATATATGTCACATCTGATTATTGTCTTAATTATAGTCTTGGCTCTTTAGACTGTGTTTTCCCTTACATTTTAACATGCCTAATAATTTTTTTTGATGTTGAAAGCTGGGCATGTTTTATTGGGAAATTAAGACTGAGACAAGTAGGACTATAGTGCAGGAATTTATGTTTATCTAGCTAAGAGTTCAACTGCATTTTACATTTTTTTGTTATTGTTGCTATGAATTTCTTCAGTGACCTTGTTTTTGTCACCCCCTTTTTCCCCTCTTTACTTTGTATCTTTATTTTTCTTTTCTTCAAGGAGTCTGTCTCTTGCAACTCTCCCAGTGATAGTTCTCTGTTATATTCATGCCTTGTTATGGTGTCCGTAATATGTATTGAAGAGATGTTCATTAATGTTATAATTAAGCCTTGGCTTTTAGAGTGCACAGTAGCTCTATCTCACAGGGATGTGTCTCGAGTGTTTCATCTTCCCTCTCTCGGAGGCCTATTTTGTATTTTCCCCCATTCACATTCTAAGCCACAAAAATGTACCCTCCAATATTTACAGTCTGTATATTTAAATACTTCCCTGCCGCAAATTAAGGCCTTTTTTCTTAAGTGAGACAAAGATTATAGTGCTGATGACATTTTCCTCCTTTCAACTTTAATACCGTTTCACTAACGGCCTTTGCTGGTATCCTTTTCTCCTAAAAATTAAACTTGTTTTTTCCACAAGGGACTTAAGCCTATGTAGATGTCACAGTGACTATTTACCACCTTCTCGACTTAGCACCAGCAGAGGGAGCTGTCTTCCAATTGATCTGTTCTTCCCCCGAAAGCCTGTTGAAACTCCTAGGGGGGAAAAAAAAGAGGTTGCAAATGGACATCAACCTCAATACCACTGTGGCCCCCACCAGCTTCGGACAAACTAGCTTGTACTTGGCCTTCAGCAATTCATAGTTATTTTTAATTTTATGTTTCTATCAGTTTATATGGTGTTAACATTTTTTCTTTTTCCTCCAGGAAAGCAAATGGTTCATGTGTCTTCTTCCATGAGCCTTCAGGATTTTGAGACGGTCACATATCCATTGGCTTCAATTTTCTGCTGAGAATTAAGTTTTTAATATTCATGTTTATTAATTTTATTCTGAGTGTACACATGAGCTGTTCTAGATTAGATAAGTTTTCTTACTATACCTCACAGTATGTAATAAGTATGTTGGCTTGCCTTTTGCCTATTCATGGACACTATGGTGACATGATCACCAAGTCAATTGTCCTACATCAGTAGTTAGACACTCTATAGATGAATAAGAAAAAAATATTCCTTTCTGCTTACAAATGGAAAGGGGATAGCTGCTTTCATTCCCTCCTGAAAGGACCTTCTCATTATGCCAATATGCTGGTATATAATAAAATCTCTCCAGGAGCCACACAGGCCCATGTCTCTCAGCTTTTATGACCCATAGATGTGTAAAAGATCAGAGTTTATTCTTCCTAGAAATTCAAATATCTAGAAAGATAGCCACTCCAGAATCTCTAGCACCTCAAATCTTAATTTAGATAACTAGTCCAGGACATAACTCTTTTGTCATCTCTGGAAACGATACAATAGACATTAGCAAATGGCAAGATACCTGTCTCATTATATGTAAATAGTTATTCAAAGGCTAAGGCTTTATCCAAAAAAATTAGGAAGTCTAAAAATATTCTATTTCACCACAGCAGGTTCTTGAAAAATAGTTAACTTTTTGTTTGTCTACTTCATTTCTTGTTAAAAAGTAAAAGCTTCTGTTCTCAACTTCTTATCTGTCTGAACTGAACCCAAAAGTCCTAATCATTTTTTAATGACTTAAATATCATGGTAATACGCAAATAATATATAATTTACCACTTTAACCATTTTTAATTATACAATTTAGTTGTATTAACTACATTCACGTTATTGCATAATAATCACTACTACCCAACTCCTGAAATTTTGTCATCTCAAACTAAAATTTTGTGCCCATTAAACCATAACTCCAAACTACTCCCATTCCCAGCCATTGATAACCACTATTCTACTTTGTACCTATATTTATTTTAATATTCTAGGAATCTCAAATACAAGGAATCATACCATATTTTCCTTTTGTTGGTGGCTCTTTTTACTTAGCATAATTCTTTCAAGGTTCATTCACATTGTAGCATGCCTTGGAATGTTACTCCTTGTAAGGATGAATAATATTCCATTATATGTATATACCACCTTGTATTTATTCAATCAAGCATTGATGGACACTTGTTGCTCTAACCTTTTTTGTCTATTGTGAATAAAGCTGCTATGAACATGGGTTTAAAAATATCTCTTCATGCTTGTTTTCAATGTTTTTAGATATACACTTATACTTTATGATCATATGATAATTATTTTTTTTTTATTTTTTGAGGAGCTCTTAGATAGTTTTCCATTGTGGCTATATTATTTTACATTTTCATCAACAACGCACAAGGGCCTACTTTCTCTACATCTTTGCCAAAATTTGTTATATACTTTTTTTTAGTTAGTATCCATCTTAGTGGGTGTAAAGTAGGATCCGATTTGGAGTTTGATCTGCATTTTCTCAATGATTACTGATGTTTAACATCTGCTTATGTTTTTGTTGAGCTGCAATATATTTCATTTAGAGAAGTGTTCATTCAAGTCCTTCGAAATATATAGTCAAATATTTGTACGTTTCACCTGGGTTTTGTTGTTGTTGAGTTGTAACAGATGTTTATATATTATGACTATTAATTTCTTAACAGATATTTGATTTGCAAATATTTTCTCTCATTCTGTAGTTTGAGTTTTCACTATTGACAGTTTTCATGTACATAAGATTTTAGTACTAATGAAGTCCAATTTATCTAATGTTTCTTTTGTTACCTATGATTTTAGTTTTATATCTAAAAACAAAATTTTCCAAATCCAGCATCACGAAAATTTTCCACAATTATTCCTTCTAAGACTTTGACAGTTTTAGTTTTTGTGTTTAGGGCTTTGATCAATTTTTTGTTTTGGTTTTCTTTTATTGTGTAAGGTCAAGGTCCAACTTCATTCTTTGCAGGTGTAGATAAGTTTTCTCAGGAACATTATTTGAATAAACTGCTCTTTCTCTATTGAATCATCAGGAAAACATTGTCAAAAATTACTTGATCATAATCTACTTAGCTTATTTCCTTCTCACGATTGTATCCATCGGCCTATATGTTTGTCTTTATGCCAGTACCACACTGGTTGTATTAGTGTAGTTTGGCAGTAAGTTTGAAATCAGAAAATGTGAGTACTCCAACTTTGTTCTTTTTCGAGGTTTTTATAGATCTATAGAGTCCCTGGAGATTCCAAAAGATTGATTTGTCTATTTCTTTTTAAAGTTATTATTATTTTGATAAACAAGTTATAATTGTATACCTTTATAGGAAAGAAAGTCATGTTTTGATAAATGTGTACAAACTGGAATGATTAGAGAAAGCTAACATATTAAGCACTTAGCTTACCTATAATTTTTGTGACTAGTTACTTAAAATTTACTCTGTTTGTTGTTTTGAAATATACAATAAATTATTGTTGATTATAGCCACCATTCTATGCAAGAGATCTTAAACCATATATATATAGGTCAACTCGTGTCATGGGGGTTTGCTGTGTAACTTATTTTGTCACCCAGGTACTAAGCCTAGTACCAAATAGTTATTTTTTTTCTACTCTTTTCTCCCTTGCTCCACACTCAAGTAGGCTCCAGTGTCTATTGTTCCCTTTGTTGCGTCCATGAGTTCTCCTCATTTAGTTGCCACTTGTAAATGAGAACATGCTGTATTTGGTTTTCTGTTCCTGCAAAAGTTTGCTAATAATAATGGCCTGCAGCTTCATCCATATTCCTGCAAAAGAAATCATCTTGTTCTTTTTTATGGATGCATAGTATTCCATTACCACATTTTCTATAGCCAATCTGTCATTGATGGGGATTTACACGGATTCCAAGTCTTTGCTATTGTGAATAAGGCTGCAATGAATGTTCACTTGCATGTGTCTTTATGCTAGAATGATTTATACTCCCCTGGGTACACACTTAGTAATGGGATTGCTGGGTCAAATGGTAGTTCAGTTTTTAGCTCTTTGAGGAATCATCACACTGCTTCCACAACGGTTGAAATAATTTACACCCTCACCAACAGTATATAAGTGTTTCTCTTTCTCTGCAACCTTGCCAGCATCTTTTATTTTTTGAAGTTTAATAATAGCCAACCTGACTGGTGTGAGATGGTATCTCATTGTGGTTTTGAGTTGCACTTTTTTAATGATCAGTATTATTGAACTTTTTAAAAATATGCTTGTTGGCCACATGTATGTCTTCTTTTAAAAACTGTGTGTTCATGTCCTTTGCCCACTTTTTTCATCTCCTTTGCCCACTTTTGAATGGGTTAGTATTTTTTTTTATTGTGAATTTGTTTAAGTTCTCTGTGGATGCTACATATTAGACCATTGTCAGATGCGTAGTTTGCAAATATTTTCTCCCATTCTGTAGGTTGTGTTTTTACTCTGTTGATTTTTTTTTTTTTTTTGCTGTGCAGAAGGTTTTAATTAGAACTCATTTATTACTTTTTGCTTTTGTTGCAATTGTTTTTGGTGTCTTCTTCATAAAATCTTTGCCTGTTCCTGTGTCCAGAATGGTATTGCCAAGTTGTCTTTCAGGATTTTTATAATTTGGGGTTTTACATTTAAGTCTGAAATCTTTCATGAATTAATTTTTGTATATAGTGAAAGGAAGAGATCCAGTTTCAATCTTCTGCATATAGCTGGGAAGTTATCCCAGTATCATTTATAAAATAGGAAATTCTTTTGCCATTTCTTGTTTTTGTCAGCTTTGTCAAAGATCAGATGGTTGCAGGTGTGTAGCCTTATTTCTGGGCTTTCTATTCTCTTCTCTTGGTCTTTGTCTGTGTTTGCATTAGTACCATGCTGTTTTGGTTACTGTATTCCTGTAGCATAGTTTGAAGTTGGGTAACATGATGCCTCTAGCTTTGTTCTTTTTGCAAAGGATTGCCTTGATTATTCAGGCTTTTTATTTGATATAAGTTTTCAAATAGGTTTTTCAACTTCTGTGTAAAATGTAAGTGGAAATTTGATAAAAATAGCATTGAATATGTGATTTGCTTTGAGCAGTATGGCCATTTTATTAGTGCTGATTTTTTTTTATCAAAGAGCATGGAATGTCATTTTATTTGTTTGTATTATCTCTGAATTCTTTGATCAGTGTTTTGTAATTCTCATTGGAGAGATTTTTCACGTCTCTGGTTAGTTGTATTTCTAGGTATTTCATTGTTTTGTTGGCTGTTGTGAATAAGATTGCATTCCTGATTTGGCTCTCAGCTTGGATGTTATAGCATATAAGGATTTTAGCAATTTTGCTGCTAATTTTGTATTCTGAAACTTTGCTGAAGTTGTATGTCAGCTAAAAGTGTTCTTGAGCCAAGAAGATGGAGTTTTCTAGATACACAATCATGTTGTCTGAAAACAGGGTTAGTTTGACTTCTTCTCTTTCATTTTGGATGCCTTGTATTTTTTCTTCTTGGCTGATTGCTCTGGCCAGGACTTCCAATACTATGTTGAATAGGCGTGGTGAGAGGAAAGCATCCTTGTCTTGTGCTGGTTTTCAAGGGGAATGAATTAAGTATGATGTTGGCTGTGAGATTTTCACAGATGACTTATTATTTTGAAGTATGTTTCCTCAATACCTAGCTTATTGAGAATTTTTTACGTGAAGGGGTGTTGAATTTCACTGAAAGCAGTTTCTTCATTTATTGAGATAATCACATGGTTTTTGTCTTTATTTCTGTTTATGTGATGAATCACATTTATTGATTTGCATATATTAAACCAACCTTGCATTTTAATGATAAAGCCTGCTTGATTTTGATGGATTCACTTTTTGATGTGCTGCTAGATTTTGTTTTCTAGTATTTTATTGAGGATTCTTGAATTAATGTTATCAAAAGTATTGGCCTAAAGTTGTCTTTTTTTTGAGTTTTCTTTTTCTGAAGTTTTTGTTTGTTCATTTGTTTGTTTGTTTGTTTGTTTTTCTCTGCCAGCTTTTGGTATCAGGATGATGCTGGCCTCATAGGATGAGTTAGGGAGGAGTCCCTTCTCTTCTGCTTTTCGGAGTCATTTTAGTAGGAATAGTACCAAATCTTTATTGAACATCTTTCAGAACTCAGCTCTGAATCCATCTGGTCCTGGGCTTTTTTTTTTTTTTTTTTTTTTTTTTTGGTTGGTAGGCTATTTATTACTGATTCAATTTCAGAGTTCATTGTCAGTTTGTTTGGAGAATCAATTTTTTCCTGGTTTATTCTTGGGAGGGTGTTTGTGTCCAACAATTTATCTCTTCTAGGGTTTTTAATTCATGTGCATAGAGGTGTTCATAGTAATTACTTATGTTTATTTTTATTTCCGCAGGGTAAGAGGTAACATCCTCTGTCATTTCTAATTGTGTTTATTCGGATGTTGTCTCTTTTTTTATTAGTCTAGCTTGTGGCCTATTTATTTTATTAATTTGTTTCAAAAAACCAACTCCTGAATTTGTTTATGTTTTGATTGGTTTTTTATGTCTTGATTTCTTTCAGTTAAACTCTGATTTTGAGTATTTCTTGTCTTTGGCTAGCTTTGGTGTTGGTTTGCTATTCTACCTCTAATTCTATCTCTTGTAATGTTAGGTTGTTAATTTATGATCTTTCTTACTTTCTGAGGTGGGCATTTTGTGACATTAACTTCCCTCTTAACACTGTCTTAGCTGTGTTTTAGAGATTATAGTATGTTGTAGCTTTGTTCTCATTAGTTTCAAATAACTTCTTGATTTCTGCCTTAATTTCATATTTTTTCTGAAAGTCATTCTGGAGCCATTGTTTAATTACTATGTAATTACATGGTTTTGAGCAATCATCTGGGTCTTAACTTTTATTTTTTCTATTTTACTGTGGTCCAAGAGTGTGTTTCGTATGATTTTCATTCTTTTGCATTTACTTAGGATGGTTTTATGTCCAATTTTGTGGTCGATTTTAGAGTATGTGCCATGTGTTCATGAGGAAAATGTATATTTTGTTGTTTTGGGTTGAGGATTACTGTAGAGGTCTATCAGATACATTTGGTTCAATGTTGAGTTCACATACTAAATATCTTTGTTCATTTTCTGCCTTTATTATCTGTCTAATACTGTCAGTGGAGTGTTGAAGTCTCCCACTATTATTGTGTGGGAGTATAAGTCTCTTTGTATGTCTCTAAGAATTAATTTTGTCAATCTGGGTGCTTCCACGTTGCGTGCATATATATTATGTAATGTCCCTTTTAGTATTTTTTTTATTTTGTTGGTTGAAAGTGTTTTGACTGAAGTTAGAATTGCAACCCCTGCATTTTTCTGATTTCCATTTGCTTGGTATATTTTTCTCCATCCCTTTTTGTTTGAGGCTATGGATATTATTAGGTGTGAGACGGGTTCCTTTAAGACAGAATACCATTGGGTCTTGGTTCTTTATGCAACTTGCCATTCTGTGCCTTTTAAGTGGGGCATTTAGCTCATTTACCTCAAGGTTAGTGTTGATATGTGTGGATTTGACCCTTTCATCATGTTGTTAGCTGGATATTATGCCAGCTTGTTTGTGTAGTTGCTTTATACTCTCACTGGTCTGTGTACTTAAGTTTGATTGGTAAATCTTTCCTTTCTATATTTAGTGCTCTTTTCAAGGGTCTCTTGTAAGGCAGGTTTGGTGATATCAAATTCCTATAACATTGGCTTATCTGAAAGAGATCTTATTTCTCTTTTACTTAAGAAGCTTAGTTTGGCTGGATATAAAATTCTCGACTGAAAAAAATTTTTTAAGAACATTCAATACAGGCTCCTAATCCCTTCTTACTCATAGGGTTTCTGCTGGGAGTTCCAACGTTAGCCTGACAATGTCCATTTGTGTGAAACTTTCCCTTTCTCTCTAGCTGTCTTTAAAATTTTTCATTAATTTTTGACTTTAGAAATCTGATGATTATGTGTCCTGGTTTTTTAAATATATATATAGAATCCTGCAGGAGTTCTGTGTATTTTCTGAAATTGACTGTTGGTTTCTTTTGCCAGGCTGTGGAAGTTTTCATGGACAATATCCTGAAATATGTTTTCCAAGTTGTTTGCTTCCTTCCCATCTCTTTCAGGGATGCCGAAGATTCACAGATTTGGCCTCTTTACATAATCCCATAGATTTCAGAGTTTTTTAAATTTATTTTTATTCTTTTCTCTTTATTTTTATTTCACTATCTTATTTCAGAGAGCCAGTTTTCAATGTTTGAGATTTTTTTCCTCAGCTGGACCTATTCTGCCGTTAATACTTGCAAGTGCATTCTGGAGTTCTTTTTTTTTTTTTTTTTTTTTTGAGACGGAGTCTCACTGTGTCTCCCAGGTTGGAGTGCAGTGGCGCCATCTCGGCTCACTGCAAGCTCCGCCTCTGGAGTTCTTGTAGTGTGTTTTTCAGCTCTATCAGATCCATTAGGTTCTTTTTTATACTGGCTATTTCATCTTCATTTTCCATATTATTTTATTGTGATTCCTAGTTTCCTTGGATTGGGTTTTGCAATACTCCTGAATCTCAATGATATTTGTTTCTATCCATATTCTGAATTCTGTTTCTTTCATTTCAGCCAACTTAGTCTGAATAAGAACCATTAGTGGGGAACTACTGTTGCTTTTTGGAGGACATAAGCCACTCAGACCATTATAGTTACTGGAGTTCTTGTGTTGGTTATTTCTCATCTGTGCGTGGGCGTTCCTTTAACTTAAGTGTAGATTGAGTAAAGTCAATAGACTTCTTTCCTAGATGTTTTCAGAAGTTGAAGGTTTTGTGCAGGGTCTTTATTTTTGGGTGATTTCTTGTCTTTGGTTTCACATAAGGGTTATGTTAGCAAGGTATTTTTGGTGTTGAAGCTTTGGGGCACAATCCAGTAGGTGGGAATTAGGTATAGTTGTCAGTTGGTTGGCTCTTGCTCAGTCGTGTCTCCCCTATATTTCCTCACAGCTGCAGCCATGCTCCCTCTCTATGCTCTGAAAGTGGGGGCTTCTCCCCTATTTGAGTACTGGCTGTAGATTGCAGCTTGACACTTCTGGGCTGCTCACTGCAACTCTGTAAAGATCTCAGGGTTCATATTTCCTCCCCAACTCAGAGGCAGCATAAGAAGGGACCTTACTGGTGGTTGTGGCAGAGGATCTTTTGCTTGTCTTCTGGGGACACCACCCTAGAGAGATGCAGGTCAGCAATTACTCAATGCAATCAGCACAAGCTGGAGGGTATGTGCTGTGGGGTTCCTTGTCTTGCAACAAGGCAAGGGTTTCTCACCTCATAACAAGCAGTGGGTGAGTGGAACCCATGGGAGATAGAGTTGCTTCCATTTATTGGGTTGACTTCAACTTGTTGAAGGTGTAAATAAGGTACTTAGCATCTTTGCTCATTCATTAGCCCAAGGGTAGCAAGGGCAGTTCCACTGAAGAGGCAGTGGCAAAGGGGCTTTTGGTTGCTGCTGGGTCTCTACCTCTGAGAAAAGCAGAGCTTCTGTTATTGGGAGTGTTCAGCCAGTGGAAAGGGGCTGCAGCACTGCTGGTGTGAGCTTAAGGTTTTGCTTGTTGGGTAGAAGGTTTAAGGCTCACCATGAGGAAAGGCTGATCTCCTCTCTATATGGTGAATGTGACATGCTATAAGCTCGAGTGTAACCCTCAGGCTCTTTGTTTCTTTCCCAGAGCAAAGGCAGCCCAGGGATAGAACTGTTGCTGTGGCAGTGGCAGAGGGGCTGTCATATGCCTCTGGGAGCCTCTCTCCAGGTAAACTCTTGGATGCTACAAGTGGGTATTCCCAGCCATGGGTGGAGTGACCACTCTTCATTCATGAGCCAGGAGCCCTGCTTGGTTAAGAGTGGGCCGGGGGTTCCCAGGGAATAGGAGCTGGACTTCTCTCCATATGGTGGATATGGTGTGCTGGCAGTACTGACATACTGACTAAGCCCTTTGTTCCTTCCCCAGCCGGAGGATTGTTAGGACTATAACATTGTAAATATAGTGGTGGAGAGGTTTTGGATTGACTCTGATTTTCTTCTCAGAGAAATGCTAAACTATCTCTGATTTTGGTGATCAGATGGAGGCAGGGTGTTTGTGCTGGAGTCTCAGGTCAGGTGGTCCTGCATTGTGAGGAGCCAAAAAAAAAACCAGTATTTCTGTGGAGAACAGTCTGATTACTTTTCTTCGAGGTCATTGCTCTGTGCTGGGAATCTTGACCTGCCACTGGTCCCTGCAGACTCTCTTGAGCCTGGAGACAGTAAGGGCAATGGCTGTGAGACAGCAAAGATGGCAACCCATCCCTCCCCATGGAAGCTCTGTCCAAAGAGTTGCAGAGCTGCTATTGGTTTGATAGCCCTAGCAATGTGTGGCAGGAGACCCAGGCCTGGAGGACCTGCCCACTGAGGAGATATGGGAATGAGAACCCACATAATAATCTGGCCATTTTTTTGGAAGGCTGCTGCAATATGCTGGGGTTCCTATCCTGTCCCTAGTCATGTTGGATTTTCCAAGTACCTGGAGTTGTCAACAGTGAAGGCTGTGAAACAGCAAAGATGGTGACCTACCCCTTTCTCTGAGAGCTCCTTCCCAGGAAGGTAAAGATCTGTGGTCAGCCTGAATGTGCCTGCAGGAAGTGGCTGGTGACACCAGTGGGGAGATCCCACCCATTGAAGAGGAGTAGGACTGATACTGTACTTTAAAAAGCAGTCTGGCCACCTTTTCATAGAGCAACTTTGCTGTGCTGGAGTTCTGCTCCAGCTCTCAGTTGCCTTAGACTCTCCAACGCCCCAAGGCAAGTACAGCTAAGGCGGCCAAACAGCAAAGATGGTGGCCTAACCCTACCTCTGGGAACTCCATCCCAGGGCGGTTTGAAATTGCTGCTGGCCAGAAAACACTGGTGGGGGTGACTGGAGACCCCACTAGGGATATTCCACCAAGTGAAGAGAAAAGGAATTCAAGATTCACATGAATAAGTATTCTGACCACTTCTCCTTAGAGCTGCTGGGCTCCAACAGCTGGGGAGCTCTTCCAGTCTTTAGCTGCCTCAGACTTACTGGATTCCTAAGGCAACAATGGCTAAGACTGATAAACAGCAAAGACAGTGGTCCAACCTTCCCCATGGAAGCTTCGTCTCTGAGAGGTGTAATGCTGCTACTGGTGGCTGGCTGGAGTTCAAAGCCAGTGGGTCGTATCCTGTGAGGTGCCATGAAAGCAGGACCTGCAGCCCATTACTGCTCAGCCACCTGGATTCAGCCCCTTTCCTAGGGGTATAAATAGGGGCTAACCTCTTACTTTGCTGGAGTTGCAGCTGCTTTTGCTGGGAAGCCTGAGTATCTATGGCTCCTGAAGCTCCATGTATGCCTGAATAGCTCCTTTGGCAATAATCCACATAGCTCTATGTGTCAGACTGAAGGCTCCGGAGGGGTCAGTTCACAAGGGAATCTTCTGACCCAAGGTTTTCAAAGATCCCTTGGAGAAGTGTGGGTTCCCGCGATTGCTCACTCACTCTCTGCTTCCCTGGGTGAGGAATGTCCCCCTTGCTCTGTGTCACTCCTGGTTGAGAAATAATCCTGCCTTTTATTTCTGTTCTCTATGGGTCGAGATGTTTCCTTGATTAGTCCCAATGCGTGTACCCAGATGTTTCAGTAAATGGTGTTGTATTTAATCATCCCTTCCATTTCCTTCTGTGAGAGTCATGCACACCAGTCACTTTTAGTCAGCCATTGTGGCCAAGCCCTCTAATTCTTTAAATAAATCCATAAAATATATAAATGTTTGACCTTCAATCAGGAGTTTGTGCTTTCAAGAGTGCATCATCTGTGGTCCTACAGAGAGGACGCAAAATTGCCCTAGGGACACTTAGTTAAGTATTCAGGTTTCTCAGGTGGTGGGCAGGGCCATAGAGCTCCAAAGAGATTATGACCTTTGTCTTTGCCTACCAGAGCTCCTAGAGAAAGATCACCAGGTGGGGTCAAGTATAGGCGTGTCTGAGCTCTGCCTTTCCTTGGGTGGGCTTGCTATGATTGCTGTTGGGGATGGGGTTGTGGTTCCCAGTTAACAAGACTGAAAAACAGAAAAAGAGAAGAGAGAAAATATATTAATCAAAACAGGTAACTTCACTACAAACCTTGCAGGCATGAACAGATAATGAAGGAATACTCTCAAAAATTTTACACACAGGACACTGGAATTAAGAAGGCAGATAGGAGGCAGAACTAGCTTGCAGCTTATGCTCAGATGAACAAAGCTTCATGTGGAGACTCACATCATAAACTTTTTCTTCAAGAACTACCGCAAGAACATACCAGGAAATACGAGGTAATCCACAGAACCTTTGAAAAAACTGAATCACCACTGCAGGCTGCCTGATATGCCAAAAAACTGAGTCTGATTGCTTTCTCACCAGGGAAGCTCATGGTCTGGGGCAAGTTCTTGACCCTGGTCACTGGTTGCCTGGAAATAAACTCTGTGCTGTTGGAAGAACACAGTGAAAGTGAGACCGACCTTTAGGACTGTGGGCTGCATGGGAGCAGGCTGAGACCTGTGATGGCTGGCATTCCCCCTCTTCCCTGCTGACCTGTATGACTCAGGAAAGACAGCCATAAATCCTTCTGGGAATATAACTCCATTGGACCAGGAACCACACCCCCATCTCCCACAGCAGCCACAACAAGCCCCACCCAAGGAAAGACAGAGCTCAGACACACCTTTCCCTGACCCTACTGGTTAGTCTTTCTCTACCCGCTCTGGTAGCAAAAGATGAAGGTTCCAATCTTTTGGGAGCTCTATGGCCCTGCCCATCACCTGAGAAAGCTGAATACTTAGCTAAGTGTCCCTAGGGCAATCTTGCATCCTCCCTATAGGACCGCAGCTGATGCACTCTTGAAAGTGCAACCTCCTAGTTGAAGGCCATCCAACACAAAACCAGTGCACTAAACAAGAACACAACCAAGGACCCTCACAGAGTCTACTTCACTCCCCTGCTACCTTCACCAGAGTAGGTGTTAGTATCCATGGCTACAAGACGTAAAGACAGATCACATTAACAGACTCGTTGCAGACACTCCCCATTACCAGCCCAGAGCTTGGTAGCTCTGTTGGGTGGAAAAACTTAGAAGAGAAAAAAGAAAAGAAAAAAAAAGACTACAGTTTATCTCTCAGAAAGCCCCATTCCTAGGGGAAGGAGGAGAACACCACGTCAAGGTAGCACCCCATTGGACAAAATAATCTGAACAGCAGCTTTTGAATGCCAGATCTTCCGTCTGACATAGTCTATCCAAATGAGAAGGAACCAGAAGAACAGTTTCAGTAATGTGGCAAAACAAGGTTATTTAACACCCCCCAGAAATCACACTAGTTCACCAGCAATGAATCCAAACCGAGAAGAAATCTCCAAATTGCAAGAACGAGAATTCAGAAGGTGAATTATTTAAGCTAATCAAGGAGGAACAGAGAAAGGTGAAGACCGACTTATATCAAAAACATGATATAGAATATAAAAACATAGAAAATAGAAATAAAAAACATGATATAGAACATAAAAAGAAATTTTTCAATGAATAGAAAGCATAAATAAAAAACAATAACAACTTCTAGAAATGAACAAGACTTTTAAATTAACCCAATTCGTCAAAGACAAAGAAAAAAAGAATGAAAAAAAGTGAACATAGCCTTCAATAAGTTTGGGACTATGTTAAACATCCAAACCTAAGAATAATTGGTGTTTCTGAGAAAGAAGAGAAATCTAAAAGTTTGGAAAACATATTTGAGGGAAAAATTGAGGAAACATTTCTGGTCTTGCTGGAGATCTAGACAGCCAAATACAAAAAATGCAAAGAAGACCTAGAAAATTCGTTGCCTAGGCACATCAGGTTATCTAAAGTCAAGACAAAACAAAGAATCTTAAGAGCTGTGAGGCAAAAGCATCAGGTAACCTATAAAGAAAAACCTATGATATTAAGAGAAGATTTCTCAGCAGAAACCCTACAACTAGAAGGGATTGAGATCTTATTTTTAGCCTCCCTAAAACAATTATCAGCCAATAATTTTGTATCCAGTGAAACTAAGCTTCATAAATGAAGGAAAGATACAGTCTTCTTCAGACAAACAAATGCTGAGGGAATTCTCCAGTACCAAGCCAACACTACAATAACTGTTGAAATGAACTGTAAATCTTGAAACAAATTCTCAAAATACACCAAAACAAAACATTCTTAAAGCATAAATCTCACAAGACCTACATAACAATAACACAGACACAAGAAACAAGGTATTCAGGCAACAAATAGCATGATGAATAGAATAGGACTTCACATCTTAATAATAACTTTGAATGTACATGGCCTAAATGCTCCACTTAAAAGATACAGAATGGCAGAATTGATAAGAATCCACCAATTAAATTTCTGATGTCTTCAGGAGACTCACCTAACAATAAGGACTCACATAAACTTAAGGTAAAGAAGTGGAAAATCATACTCCATGCAAATCTACACAAAAAGCAAGCAGGAGTAGCTATTCTTAATCAGACAGAACAAACTTTAAAGCAACAGCAGTTTAAAAAGACAAAGATGGACATTATATAATGGTAAAAGGACTAGTCCACCAGAAAAGTATCACAATTGTAAATATATATTCACCTAACACTGGAGATCCCAAATTTATAAAACAATCCCTACTAGACCTAAGAAATTGAGATAGACAGCAACACAATAATGGTGAGGACTTCAATGTTCTACTGACAGCACTAGACGAGTCATCAAGACAGAAAGCAAACAAAGAAATAATGGACTTAAACTGTACTCCAGGACAAATGGACTTAACAGATATTTGCAGAACATTCTACCCAACAACTGCAGAACATACATTCTATTCATCAACACATGGAACATTCTCCAAGATAGACCATATGAGAGACCACAAAACAAGTCTCAGTAAATTTAAGAAAATCAAAATTATATCAAGTACTCTCTCAGACCATAGTGGAATAAAATTGGAAATCAACTCGACTCCTCAAAATGGTGCTAATATATGAAAATTAAGTAACCTGCTCCCAAATGATCGTTGGGTCAACAATAAAGTCAAGATGCAAATTCAAAAATTCTTTGAATTGGACAGTAATAGTGACACAATCTATAAAAACATCTGAGATACAGCAGAAGTGGTGCTAAGAGAAAGCTTCATAGCATAAAATGCCTACATCAAAAAGTCTGAAAGAGCACAGACTACCTAAGGTCACATTTCATGGAACTGGAGTAACAAGAAAAATCCAAATATAAACCCAGCAGGAGACCAGAAAAAACGAAGGTCAGAGCACAACTAAATGATATCAAAACAAAAAAATACAAAAAATAAATGAAACAAAATCTCGTTTTTGAAAAGATGAATAAACTTGATAGACCATTAGCAATATTAGCAAAGAAAAGAAGATATTGAAATAAGCTCAATTAGAAACAAAACAGGAGATATTACAACTAACACCCCAGAAATACAAAAGATAATTCAAGACTAATATGAACACTGTTACACATGCATAAACTAGAAAACTTGGAGGAGGTGAATAAATTCCTGGAAATATACAACCTTTCTACATTAAAGCAGAAGATATGGAGTCTTTGAACAGATCAATAACAAGCGGCATGATTAAAATGATAATAAAAAATTGCAGATGACAAAAAGCCCATATCTAGACAGATTCACAGCTGAATTTTATCAGAGATTCAAATAAGAATTGGTACCAATGCTATTGACAGTATTCTACAAAATAAAGAGGTAATCGTCCCTAAATCATTATATGAAGCCAGTTTTACCCTAATACTAAAACCAGGGAGGGACATAACAAAAAAGAAAACTACAGGCCAATATTCCTGATTAACATAGATGCAAAAATCCTCAACAAATTACTAGCAAACCAAATGCAACAGCATATCAAAAAGATAACCCACCATGATCAAACGGATTTCACACCAGAGGTGAAGGGTTGGTTTAACATACATAAGTCAATAAATGTGATACACCACGTAAACAGAATTAAAAACAAAAATTACATGATCGTCTCAATAGATGCAGAAAAAGCATTTGAAAAAAATCCAGCATCCCTTTATGATTATAACCTTCAGCAAAATCGGCACAGAAAGGACATGCTTTAAGGCAATAAAAGACATCTATGACAAACCCACAGCCAACGTTGTACTGAATGGGGGGAAATTGAAAGCATTCCCCCTGGAAACTGGAACAAGACAAGAATGCCCACTTTCATCACTTCTATTTAATACAGTACTGGAAGTCCTAGCCTGGGCAGTCAGACAAGAGAAAGATATAAAGGGCATCCAAATTGGTAAAGAGGAAGTCAAACTCTTCCTGTTTGCTGATTGTATGATTTTATACCTAGAAAATTTTAAACACTCATCCAAAATTCTCCTAGAACCGGTTAACAAATTCAGCAAAGTTTTAGAATACAAAATTAATGTACACAAATCAGTAGCTCTGCTATACACCAAAAGCAACCAAACTGAAAATCAAGTCAAGAACTCAATCCCTTTTATAATAGCTGAAAAACAAAACTATACTCAACTGAACTAAAGAATATAGCTAACCAAGGACATGAAAGACCTCTACAAGGAAAACTACAAAACACTGCTGAAAGAAATCATAAACAACACAAACAAATGGAAACACATCCCATGCTCATGGAAGGGTAGAATCAGTATTGTGAAAATCACCATACTGCCAAAACCGATCTATAAATGCAGGGCAATTCCCATCAAAATACTGCCATTATTCTTCACAGAACTAGAAACAATGCTAAAATTAATATGAAACAGAAAAGGAGCCCACATACCCAAAGCAAAACTAAGCAAAAAGGTCAGCTATGAAGGCACCACTTTGCCCATCTTCTAATTATACTATAAGGCCATAATCACCAAAAGAGCATGGTACTGGTGTAAAGATAGGCGCATATACCAATAAAGCGGAATAGAGAACCCAGAAATAAACCAAAATACTTACAGCCAAGTGATCTTCGACAAAGCAAACAAAAACATAAAGTGGAGAAATGACACCTTATTCAACAAATGATGCTGTGATAATTGGCAAGCCACAGTTAGGATAATGACACTGGATCCTTATCTCTCACCTTATACAAAAATCAACTCAAGATGGATCAAAGACTTAAATCTAAGTCCTAAAAACTTAAAGATTCTAGAATATAACATTGGAACAACCCTTCTAGACATTGGCTTATGCAAAGACTTCATGACCCAAAACCCTAAAGCAAATGCAAAAACAAACAAAGAAACAAAAAACAAAGATAAGTAGATGGGACTTAATTAAACTAAAAAGCTTCTGCAGAGCAAAATAAATAATCAGCAGAGTAAACAGACAACCCATGGAGTGGGAGAAAATCTTCAGAACCTATACATTTAACAAAGAACTAATATCCAGAATTCACAAAAAAAAACAACCACGAACAATTCATCAAGAAAAAAGCAAATAATTCCAACAAAATGTGGGCTGAGGACATGAATAGACAATTCTCAAAAGAAAATATACAATTTGCCAATAAACGTATGAAAAAATGCTCACCATCATTAATTTTCAGGAAAATGCAAATCAAAACCACAATGCAATAACCCCTACTCCTGCAAGAATGGCAATAATAAACAAACAAACAAACAAACAACAACAACAAAAAACCTAATACTTGTTGGCGTGGATGTGCTAAAAACAAAACATCTTTACGCTGTTAGTGGGAATGTAAATTAGTACAACCACTGTGGAAAAGAGTGTGGAGATTCCCTAAAGAACTAACAGTAGATCTACCATTTAATCCAGCAATCCCACTACTAGGTATCTATTCAGAGGAAAAGATGTCATTATATGAAAAATATACTTGCACATGCATGTTTATAGCAGCACAATTTGTAACTGCAAAAATATGGAAGCAGCCCAATTTCCCATCAATCAATGAGTGGCTAAGGAAAATATTGTATATACATGCCATGATATACATACATACATGATGTGGAATTGAAGACTACTGTTCTAAGTGACTTCACTTAGAACTCAGGAATGGAAAACCAAACATCGCATGTTCTTCCTCACATGTGGGAGCTAAGCTATGAGGACGCAAAGGCATAAGAATGCTACATTGGACTTTGAGGATTCAGGGGAAAGGGTGGGGGGTGGCAAGGGATAAAAGACTACATATTGGGAACCGTGCACACAGCTTGGGTGATGGGTGCACCAAAATCTCAGAAATCACCACGAAATAACTTATTAAAGTAACCAACCACCATCTGTTCCCTAAAACCTATTAAAATAAAACAAAATCAAAAAATATATTTTAAAAATTCTACACAAATATATTTTACAATTTTAAAATTTTTATTAATTTTTACAATTTTGAGGGTACATGGTAGGCATATGAAGTATTTTGATACAGTCATGCAATGTGAAATAAGCACACCAAGTAGAATGGGGTATCCATTTCCTCAAGCAGTTATTCTTTGGGTTACAAACAATCCAATAACATTCTTTAAATTATTTTAAAATATGCAGTAAAGTTATTATTGACTAAAATCACTCTGTTCTGCTACCAAATAGTAGGTTTTATTTATTCTTTCTATTTTTTGATACCCATTAACCATTTGTTACTGTTTGCAGCCTCTTATAACAATCCTTCTACTCTCTATGTCCATGAGTTCAATTCATTTGATTTTTACATCCCACAAATATGTGAAAACATGTGATGTTTGTCTTTCTGTGCCTGGCTTATTTCACTTAACATGATAATCTCCAGATGCATCCATGAATCTCATTCTTCGTTACAACTGAATAGTATTCCATTGTGTATATGTACCATATTTTCTTCATTTATTCATCTATTGATAGACACTTAGGTTGCTTCCAAATCTCAGCTATTGAAAACAGTTCTGCAACAAACATAGGAGTGCAGATGTCTCTTCAGTAAAATAATTTCCTTTCTTTTGGGTATATACACAGCATTGGAATTGCTGGATCATATGATAGGTAAATTTTTAGGTTTTTGAGAAATTTTGAACCTGTTTTTTATAATGGGTGTACTAGTTAACATTCCCGCCAATGGTTTATGAGAATTCTCTTTTCTCCACATCCTCACCAGCATTTGTTATTGTTTAGCTTTGGATATGAGCCATTTTAAGTGGGGTGAGATGATACCTCATTATAGTGTTGATTTTCATTTCTCTGATGATCAATAATGTTGAGCACCTTTTCATACGCCTGTTTGCCACTTGCGTGTCTTCTTTTGAGAAATGTCTGTTCAAATATTTTACCCACTTTTTTGGTGGGATTATTAGTTTTTCCTCTAGAGTTGTTTGAGATCCTTATATATCCTGGTTATTATTTCTCTCATTCTTTGGGTTTCCTTTTCTCTTTGTCGATAATATCCTTTGTGGTGCAGAAGTTTTTTTTAATTTGTTGAGATCCCATTTGTCCATGTTTGCTTTGGTTGCCAGTTCTTGTGGTGTCTGGCTCAAAAAAATTTTGCGCACACAAATGTCCTGAAGAGTTTTTCCAAAGTTTTATTGCAGTAGTTTCATAGTTTGAGGTCTTAGACTAAAGTCTATAATCCATTTTGATTTTTTATATGGCGAGAGATGGAATCTAATTTCATTTTAGCACCATTTATAAAAGAGACAGTGCTTTCCCCAAAGTAGGTTTTTGGCAATTTTGTCAGAAATGAGTTCAGTGCAGGTGTGTGAATTTGTTCCTGGCTTCTCCATTCTGTTTCATTGGTCTATGTGTCTGAGTTTATGCCATCAAATACCATGCTGTTTTGGTTACTATAGCACTGTAGTATAATTTCAAGTCAGGTAGTGTGATTCCTTCAGTTTTTTTTTTTTTTTCTAAGAATAGCTTTGGCTATGCTGGGTCTTTTGTTGTTTCATACAAATTTTGGGATTATTTTTTATATTTTTGTGAAGAATATCATTGGTATTTTGATAGGGGTTGCATTCAATCTGTAGATTGCTTTGAGTAGTCTGGAAATGTTAACAATATTGACTCTTCGAATTTATGACCATGGAATATTTTCACTATTTTTTGGTGTTCTCTTCAATTTTCTTTATCTCTGTGTTACAATTTTCATTATTGAAATGTCATTGGTTAAGTTAATTCCAAGGTATTTAATTTTATGTGTGGCTACAGTAAATGAAATTACTTTTTAATTTCCATTTCACATTGTTCATGGTTGGCATATAGAAATGATACTAATTTTTTTATTATACTTTAAGTTCTGTGATACATGTTCTGTTTATGTGATGGATTACGTTTATTGATTTGTGTATGCTGAATCAGCCTTGCATCCCAGGGTTGAAGCCAAATTGATCGTGCCACGACGATCAAGTGGATAAGCTTTTTGATGTGCTGCTGGATTCAGTTTGCCGGTATTTTATTGGGGATATTTGTTTCGATGTTAATCAGGAATATTGGCCTAAAATTTTCTTTTTTTGTTGTGTCTCTGCCGGATTTTGTTATCAGGATAATGCTGGCATCACAAAATGAGTTAGGGAGGATTCCCTCTTTTTCTATTGTTTGGAATAGTTTCAGAAGGAATGGTAGCAGATCCTCATTTTATGTCCAGTAGAATTCAGCTGTGAATCCTGGTCCTGGACCTTTTTTTGGTTGCTGGACTGCCTCAGTTTCAGAACTTGTCATTGTTCTATTCAGGGATTTGACTTTTTCCTGCTTTAGTCTTGGGAGGGTGTATGTGTCCAGGAATTTATTCATTTCTTCTAGATTTTCTAGTTTATTTGCATAGAGGTAGTTTGTATTTCGATTGATGGCAATATCCCCTTTAATATTTTTTATTGCATCTATTTGATTCTTCTCTCTTTTCTTCTTTATTAGTCTGGCTAGCAGTGTATCTATTTTGTTGATCTTTTCAAAAAACCAGCTCCTGGATTCATTGAATTTTTTAAGGGTTGTTTTTTTTGTTTTTTTGTCTCTGTCTCCTTCAGTTCTGCTCTGATCTTAGTTATTTCTTGTCTTCTGCTAGCTTTTGAATTTGTTTGCTCTTGCTTCTCTAGTTCCTTTCACTGTGATGTTAGGGTGTCAATTTTAGATCTTTCCTGCTTTCTCTTCTGGGAATTTAGTGCTATAAACTTCCCTCTACACACTGCTTTAAATGTATCCCAGAGATTCTGGTATGTTGTGTCTTTGTTCTCATTGGTTTCAAAGATTTATTTCTGTCTTCATTTCCTTATTTACCCAGTAATCATTCAGGAGCACAGTGCTCATTTTCCATGTAGTTGTGCAGTTTTCAGTGAGTTTCTTAATCCTGAGTTCTAATTTGATTGCACTGTGGTCTGAGAGACTGTATGTTATGATTTCCGTTCTTTTTCATTTGCTGAGGAGTATTTTACTTCGAATTATATGGTCAATTTTAGAGTAACTGCGATGTGGTGCTGAGAAGAATGCATATTCTGTTGATTTGTGGTGCAGAGTTCTGTAGATATTTATTAGGTCCACTTGGTCCAGAGCTGAGTTCAAGTCCTGAATATCCCTCTTAATTTTCTGTCTCATTGATCTCTCTAATATTGACAGTGGGGTATTAAAATCTCCCACTATTATTGTGAGGGAGTCTAAGTATCTTTGTAGGCCTCTAAGAACTTGCTTTATGAATCTGGGTGCTCCTGTATTGGGTACATACATATTTAGGACAGTTAGCTCTTCTTGTGGCATCGATCCCTTTATCATTATGTAATGCCATTGTCTCTTTTGATCTTTGTTTGGTTACAGTCTGTTTTATCAGAGAGTAGGATTGCAAACCCTGCTTTTTTTTTTCTTTTCATTTGCTTGGTCAATATTCTTGTATCCCTTTATTTTGAGCCTATTTTTCATCTTTGCACATGAGATGGGTCTCCTGAATACAGCAAACTGATGGGTCTTGACTCTGTCCAAATTGCCAGTCTGTGTATTTTAATTAGGGAATTTGTCCCATTTACATTAAGGTTAATATTGTTGTGTGTGCATTTGATCCTGTCATTATGATGCTAGCTGATTGATTATTTTGAACATTAGTTGAAGCAGTTTCTTCATAACATCGATGGCATTTACAATTTGGTATGTTTTTGCAGTGGCTGGTTATTGTTGTTCCTTTCCATGTTTAGTGCTTCCTTCAGGAACTCCTGTAAGGCAGGCCGAGTGGTGACAAAATCTCTCAGCATTTGCTTGTCTGTAAAGGATTTTATTTCTCCTTCATTCATGAAGCTTAGTTTGGCCAGATATGAAATTCTGGGTATAAAATTCTTTTCTTTAAGAATGTTGAATATTGGCCCCCACTCTCTTCTGGCTTTTAGGGTTTTTGCAGAGAGATCCGCTGTTAGTCTGATGGGCTTCCCTTTGTGGGTAACTTGACTTTTCTCTCTGGCTGCCCTCAACATTTTTTTCTTCATTCCAACCTTTGGGAATCTGATGATTATGTGTCTCAGAGTTGCTCTTCTTGAGCAGTATCTTTGTGGTATTCTCTGTATTTCCTGAATTTGAATGTTGGCCTGCCTTGCTAGGTTGGGGAAGTTCTCCTGGATAATATCCTGAAGAGTGTTTTCCAACTTGGTTCCATTTTTCCCATCACATTCAGGTACACCAATCAAATGTAGATTTTGTCTTTTCACATAGCCCCATATTTCTTGGAGGCTTTGTTTGTTTCTTTTCACTCTTTTTTCTATCATCTTGCCTTCTCACTTTATTTCATTGAGTTGATCTTCAATCTCTGATATTCTTTCTTCTGCTTGATCATTTCAGCTACTGATACTTGTGCATGCCTTCTGAAGGTCTCATGCTGTGTTTTTAGCTCCATCAGGTCATTTATGTTCTTCTCTAAACTGGTTATTCTAGTTAGCAATTCCTCTAACCTTTTTTCAAAGTTCTTAGCATCCTTACATTGGGTTAGAACATGCTCCTTTAGCTCAGAGGAGTTTGTTATTACCCACCTTCTGAAGCATACTTCGGTCAATTAGTCAAACCCATTCTCTGTTCAGTTTTGTTCCCTTGCTGGCAAGGAGTTGTGATCCTTTGCAGGAGAAGAATCATTCTGGTTTTTGGAATTTTTCAGCCTTTTTGCGCTGGTTTCTCCCCATCTTCATGGATTTATCTACCTTTGGTCTTTGATGTTGATGACCCTCACATGGGGTCTCTGAGTGGACGTCCTTTTTGTTGATGTTGATACTATTCATTTCCATGTGTTAGTTTTCCTTCTAACAGGTCCCCTGCTGCAGGTCTGCTGGAGTTTGCTGGAGGTCCACTCCAGACATTGCTTGCCTGGGTATCACCAGTGGAGGCTGCAGAACAGCAAAGATTGCTGCCTGTTCCTTCCTCTGGAAGCTTCATCCCAAAGGGGTACCTGGCAGATGCCAGCCAGAGCTCTCCTGTATGAGGTGTCTGTCGACCCCTGCTGTGAGGTGTCTCCCAGTCAGGGTACACGGGGCTCAGAGACCCACTTGAAAAAGCAGTCTGTCCCTTATCAGAGCTTGACCACTTTGCTGGGAAATCTGCTGCTCTCTTCCGAGCTGTCATGCAGGGACATTTAAGTCTGCTGAAGCTGCGCCCATAGCCACCCCTTCCCCCAGTTGCTCCATCCTAGGGTGATGGGGGTTTTATCTATAAGTCCCTGACTGGGGCTGCTGCTTTTTTTTCAGAGATGCCCTGCCCAGAGGGCAGGAATCTTGAGAAGGATTCTGGCCACAGTGGCCCTGCTGAGCTGTGGTGGGCTCCACCCAGTTTGAACTTCCCTGTGGCTTTTTTTAAACTGTGAGTGTAAAACCGTCTACTCAAGCCTCAGCAATGGCAGATGCCCCTTGCCCCACCAAGCTCAGCATCCCAGGTCAACCTCAGGCTGCTGTGTTGGCAGTGAGAATTTCACACCAGTGGATCTTAGCTTGCTGGGCTCCATGGAGGTGGAACTCACTGAGCCAGAACACTTGGCTCCCTGACATCAGCCCCCTTTCCAGGGGAGTGAATGGTTCTCTCTCTCTGGCATTCCAGGTGCCACTGGGGTATGAAAAAACAACAACAACAACAACAACAACAACAACAACAAACTACTGCAGATAGCTTGGTGTCTGTCCAAATGGCCGCCCAGATTTGTGCTCGAAACCCAGGGTCCTGGTGGCGTAAGCACAGGAGGGAATCTCTCGGTCTGTCGGTTATGAAGACCATGGAAAGAGTGCAGTATCTGGACCAGAGTGCACCATTCCTCCTGGTACAGTCCCTCATGGCTTCTCTTGGCTAGGGGAGGGACATCTCCCGACCCCTTGCACATCCCAGGTGAGGTGACACCCCACCCTGCTTTGGCTCACACTCCGTGGGCCACACCCACTGTCCAACCAGACCCAATGAGATGAACCAGGTACCTCAGTTTTAAATACAGAAATCACCAACCTTCTGCATTGATCTCGCTTGGAGCTGCTTACCAGAGCTGTTCCTATTCGGCCATCTTGCAGCAAATCCCCTTCTTCTATTTTCTAATTTTGAGTTTGGTTTGCTTTTGCTTTTCTTGTTGTTAAGACGCATCATTAGATTGTTCATTTGAAGTTTTTCCTCTCTTTTATGCAGGCACTGATAGCTATAAACATCCCTATTTGTATTTCTTTTGCTGTATTTATAGGGTTTGGTATGTTGTTTTTCTACTATTATTTGTTTCAAAACATTTATCTATTTATTTTTTAATTTCTTCATGACCCCACTGGTTATTGAGGAGCATATTGCTTAATTTTCATGTATTTGTATAGTTTTCAAAATTCCTCTTTATTAACTTATAATTTTATTCCATTGTGGTCAAAAAAGTTATTTAGTGTTACTTTATTTTTTTTGAATTTTATTTTATTTTAATTTAATTTATTTTTTGAGATGGAGTCTTTACTGTCACCAAGGCTGAAGTGCAGTGGTGTGATCTTGGCTCTAGCAACCTCTAGCTCCCAGGTTCAAGTGATTCTTGTGCCACAGCCTCCTGAGTAGCTGGGACTAAAGGCACATGCCAAAAAGCCTGGCTAATTTTTGTATTTTTAGTAGAGATGTGGTTTCACCATGTTGGTCAGGTTGGTCTCAAACTTCTGACCTCAAGTGATCCACCCACCTCAGGCTCCCAAAATGCTGGGATTACAGTGCCTGACCTGTCTTGAATGTTTTAAGACCTGTTTTGTAACCTAACATATAGTCTATACTTGAGAATGATCCACGTGCTGAGAAAATGATATGTATTTTAAAGCTCTTAGATGAAATCTTCTGTAAATATATACTTGATCTATTTGGTCTATCATGGAAATTAAGTCTGAGGTTTCTTTGTTAATTTTCTGTCTGGGAGATATGTCCAGTGCTGACAGTGGAATGTTGATGTCTCCAGTTATTGTACTGGAGCCTATCTCTCTCTTTAGCTCTAATAATATTTTCTTTATATATCTGGGTGCTCTTGTGTTGGGTGCATATATCTTTAAAATTGTTATATCCTTTTGCTGAATTGATCCCTTTATTATTATATAGTGACCTTCTTTGTCTCTTCTTATAGGTTTTGTCTTGAAATCTATATTGTCTGATATAAGTAAAGAGACTTCTTGTGTTCTTTGGTTTCCATTGGCTTGAAATATATTTTTTCATCCCTTTGATTTTGGCGTATGTGTGTCTTTATAGGTGAAGTGTGTTTCTTGTAGGCAATACCTCCATAGGTCTTAATTTTTCTTCCATTCAAGTAGTCTATAACTTTTGATTGGAGAGTTTAGTCCATTTACATGCAATGTCATTATTGATAAGTAAGGACGTACCCCTGCCACCTTGCTATTTGTTTTCTGGTTGTTTTGTAACTTCTCTTCTTTCTTTTTTATTCCTTTCTTTAGGAATGAAGGAAGACTCCGTTTTCAAGTGAAAATAATTTTCTCTGGTGATATGATAGCATTTCTTGCTTTTTCTTTTTTGTATCTGCATTGTATGTTTTTTAGTTTGAAGTTACCATGAAATTTGCAAATACTATTTTATAACCCATTATTTTAACATAACTACTTAACACTATTTGCATAAACAAATTTCAAAAACAAGCAAAAAGAAAATGAATAAAATATTACTTTAAGTTTATTTCCATACCTTTTAATTTTTGTTGTTTTATTTATATCTTATTGTACTCAATATGCCTTTAAAAGTTGTAGCAGATATTATTTTTGATTTAGTCTTTCTACTTAGGATAAGAGTAGTTTACACACCACAGTTACAGTGTTATATTCTGTGTTTCTCTGTGTACTTACTATTACCAGTGAGTTTTGTACCTTCAGGTAATTATTTATTGTTCATGTACTCCCTTTAGCATTTCTTGTACGATGGGTCTGGTATAATGAAATTCCCCAACTTTTGTGGTCTGGGAAGATCTTTATATCTCCTTTATATTTGAAGAATATTTTCACTCAATATAGTATCCTGGGGAAAGTTTCTTTTCTTTCAATACTGTAAATATCTCATGCCACTTTCTTCTGGCTTGTAAAGTTTCAACTGAAAGTCTGCTGCCAGAAATATTGGAACTTCATTTTAAGTTATTTTCATTTTCTTGCTACTTTTAGAATTTTTTCTTTCTCCTTGACCTTTGGAAGTTTTGCTATTAAATGCCTAGGTGTAGTCTTGTTTGTGTTAAGTCTGCTTGATGTTCTTTAACCCTCATGTACTTGGATACTGATATTTTTCTCTGGGTTTGGGAAGTTCTCTGTTATTATCACTTTGAATACAGTTTCTATCCCTAGCTCTTTCTTTACCTCATTTTTAAGGCCAATAGCTCTTAGATTTGCCTTTTTGAGGCGATTTTCTATATCTCGAAGATGTGCTTTATTGTTTTTTATTCTTTTTTCTTGTGTCTCCTCTGTGTATTTACAAATATCTTGTCTTCAAGCTCACTATTTTTTTTTCTTTTCCTCAGTTCATTCTGCTGTCAAAGGACTCGGATGCATTCTTCTTTATGTCAATTTCATTTTTCCATTCCAGAATTTTTCCTCCATTTTTTCTATTATTTCAGTACCTTTGTTAAATTTATCAGATAAAATTCTAAATTCATTATCTGTGGTATCGAATTTCTTTGAGTTTCCTAAACATAGCTATTTTAAATTCTTTGTCTGAATGGTCAGTTATCTCTGTTTCTCTAGAATTGGTCACTGGTGCTTTATTTAGTTCATTTGGTGAGGTCATAACTTCCTGGATAATGTTGATGCTAGTAGATGTTCTCCAGTGTCCAGGCATTGAAGAGTTAGGTTTTCATTGTAGCCTTCACTGTCTGGGCTTATTTGCAGTCATCCTTCTTGGGAAGGCTTTCCAGATATTTGAAAATACTTGAGTGTTGTGATCTAAGCTGTTTCTGCTTTAAGGTTATCCCAAACTCTCAGTAAAGCTGTGTTTTTGCAGACTGGTAGAGTTACTACATTGTTGGTCTTAGACAATATCCAGGAGAATGATCTGGATTACCAGGCAGAGACTCTTGCTCTTTACCCTTACTTTTTCCCAAACAAACTAAGTTTCTGTCTCTGTTCTGAGCCACCTAAAGCTGGAGGTGAAGTGACACCAGCACCCCTGTGTCCACCACCACTAGGACTCTGTTGGATCAGACCTTAAGCCAGCCCAGTGCTGGGTATCATCCAAGGCCTCCTGTAACCACTTTCTAGCTACTGCCAATGTTTGCTGCTCAATGCCCTGAGGCTCTATAATCAGCAGGTGGCAAAGCCAGCTAAGCTTATGTTCTTCTCTTCAGGGAAATGAGGTCACCAGGCCTTAGGTGGGTCCAACAGTGCCATCTAAAAGTCAGGGACTACAGTCCAAAACTTTAGATGTCTACCTGGTATTTTATTGTATTGTGGCTGAGCTGATATTCAAACCACAAGATGCAGTCCTTCCCACTCTTCCCACCCCTTTCAAAGGCAGAGGGATTTTCTCCCATAGCCACTGCCAGCCCAGGCCATGAGGAGTACTGCCAGATTACCATCAGTGTTCCCTTAAGGCTCAAAGTTTCTTAAGTCCCAGGCCAGGCAGCTTTGTGATGAATGCTGCCTAGCCTGGGAGTCACCCTTTAGGGCAGAGGGATCCTCTCTGGCCCAGGGCAGGTCCATAAATGCCATCCAAGAGTCAAGTCCTGAAATCGGGAACCCAATAGTTTGCTTGGTGCTTTACCCCCTGTGGTGGTGTCAGTATATATGGTTCAAGACAAAGTCCCCTTTAATTTTTTATTTTCTTTTTTTCCTGCAGAAGGAGTTTTTCCCAATAGCCATCAGAGCTGGTAATGTGCTGAATCTCACCTGAAGCCAGCGAGTCTCAGAGGCTCACCAAGGCCCTTGATGTAGTACCTGGTTATAACTACTGGTTATGCAATGCCCAAGGGTACTTTAGTTAGCAGTTAATAAATGCTGGCAGGACTGGTTTCTTGCCTTCAAGGTAGCTGGTTTTCTTCTGGCCCAGGGTGTTTCTAGAAGTGTTTTCTGGGAAATAGGGCCTGGAATGGAGGCCTCATGATTGTGAGTGGTGCCCGTTCCTGCTGTGGCTCAGCTGGTATCCAAGTTTCAAGACAAAGTCCTTCCACTCTTCCCTCTCCTCTCTTCAGAAGGAAGGTAGGGGTCTCCTTTGGAGCCCTGAGCTGTGCAGCCTGGGGCTAAGAGAGAGATAATGCCAGCACTCCCTTGGCTGTCCCAGCTGGTGTCTCAGGTTTCAGTATGTTGCATACTCCCCCGACCCCATCACCAAATCCACTGTCTGTGGACCTAGTTCATTCCTAGAACTTGCCATGAGTTGCTGTCCTCATGGCCTAGACTGCTTGTCAAGTTTATTTAAAGGCTGAAAGCACTTTGTCTCTTGGTGGTGAGGTTTGTGGGCACTCAAGTTTGGACTGCTGAGGTTGGTGATTCACCTCTGGCTAAGACTAATTTAATGCTTCCTCCATGGACAGGCTTCAGTTGAGGTGGTTCTGGTTTTCCTTTCTGGTCTAACAGGACAACACTGTGTTCAATGTCTCACTATTGCTGTTAAACCTCCCCCAGTGCCCAGAGACATTCTGCACCATACTGCTGATGTCTGAGCTAGAGGGGTGGCATCAATGATTTAGGTCTGTTTTTTTCTATCTCTTCAGTGCCTCTTTTAGCGATATGAAGTTAGAACCAGGTACTGTGAGTGCTCACCTGATTTTACAAAGGTTCTCAGTTCGTAGAAGAGAAGAAATAATCAAAATCAGAACGAAACTGAAGAAGACAGAAACATAAAAAACCCTTCAAAAGATCAATGAATCCAGAGCTGTTTTTTTGAAAAATAAAATAGACCACCAGCTAGACTAATAAAGAAAAAAAGAGAGAAGATTGAAATAAACACTATCAGAAATGATAAGGGGAATATTACCTTTCACCCCACAGAAAGACAAATTACCATCAGATAACATTATAAACACCTCTATGTACATAAGCTAGAAAATCTAGAAGACATGGATATATTCCTAGACACATACACTCTTCAAAGATTGAACCAGGAAGAAATTGAATCCATGAATAGACAAATAACAAGCTCTGAAATTGAGGCAGTAATAAATAGCATACCAACAAAAAAATCCAGGACCAGATGGATTCCCAACTGAATTCTACCAGAGGTATATAGGAAAGTTGATACCATACCTACTAAAACTATTCCAAAAAATTGAGGAGGAGGGACTCCTCTCTAACTCATTTTATGAGGTTTTAGTATCATGCTGATACTAAAACCTGGCAGAAATACAACAAAAAAGGAAAACTTCAGGCCAATATCCGTGATAATCACTGATGCAAAAATCCTCAATAAAATACTGGCAAACTGAATCTACCAGCACATGAAAAAGCTTATCCACCACGATCAAGTAGGCTTTATCCCTGGGATGCAAGGTTGGTTTAACACGTGCAAATCAATAAATGTGATTCATTACATGAACAGAACTAAAGACATAAACCACATGATTATCTCAATAGATGCAGAAAAGGCCTTTGATAAAATTCAACATGACTTCATGTTAAAAACTTTCAGTAAGCTAGGTACTGAAGGAACATATGTCAAAACGATAAGAGCCATATTTGACAAACCCACAACCAATATAATAATGAATGCTCAAAAGCTGGAAGCATTGCCCTTGAAAACTGGCACAAGACCAGTTTTCACTCTCTCAACACTCCTATTCAACATACTATTGGAAGTTCTGCCTAGGGCAATCAGGCATAAGAAAGAAATAAAGCATATTCAAATAGGAAGAGACGAAGTCAAACTATCCTTGATTGCAGATGACATAATCCTACGTCTAGAAAACCCTGCGATCTCAACTCAAAAGCTTCTTAAGCTGATAAGCAACTTTAGAAAACTCTCAGGATACAATGTCAATGTGCAAAATATGTTATCATTTTCATACACCACCAACAGGCAAGCCGAGAGCCAAATCACAAATCAAGTCCCATTCACAATTGCAACTAAAAGAATAAAATACCTAAGAATACAGCTAACAAGAGAAGTGAATTACCTTTTCAAGGAGAACTACAAACCACTGCTCAAAGATATCAGAGATGAAACAAACCAGTGAGAAATCATTCCATGCTCATGGATAGGAAAAATCAATGTCATGAAAATGGACATATTGCTCAAAGCAGTTTATAGATTCAATGCTATTCCCAGTAAACCACCATTGATATTCTTCGCAGAATTAGAAAAAAACTATTTTTAAATTCATATGGCAGAAGAAGACCCTGAATAGCCAAGACACTCCTAAACATAAAGAACAAAGACAGAGGCATCACACTACCTGTCTTCAAACTATACTACAAAATTACAGTAATCAAAATAGCATGGTACTTGCACAAGAACAGACACATAGACCAATGAAACAGAATAGAGAACCCAGAAATAAGATTGCACAACTGTGACCATCTGATCTTTGACAAACTTCATGAAAACAAGCAATGCAAAAAGAATTTCCTATTTAATAAATGCTACCAGAAGAACAGGCCAGTCATATGCAGAAAATTGAAACTGGACCCCTTCCTTACAACATACACAAAAATCAACTCAGGATGAATTAAAGACTTAAATGTAAAACCCAAATTTATAAAAACCTTGGAAGAAAACCTAGACAATATCATTTATTACATAGGCATAAGCAAAGATTTTATGACAAAGACACCAAAAGAAATTGCATCAAAAGCAAAAATTGATAAATAGGATCTGATTAAACTAAAGAGCTTCAGCACAGCAAAAGAAACTATCAGCAGAGTAAACAGACAATCTGCAGAATGCAATTTTTCAATCTATCAATCAGACAAAGGTCAAATATCCTGCATCTATAAGGAACTTATACAAATTTACAAGAACAAAAGAACCTCATTAAAATGTGGGCGAAGAATGTGATCAAACATTTCTCAAAAGAAGACATATATGAGGCAATAAACATGTGAAAAAAGCTTAACATCACTGATCATTAGAGTAATGCAAATCAAAGTCACAATGAGATACCATCTCACACCAGTCAGAATGGTTATTATTAAAAAGTCAAAAAACAAATGCTGGCAAAGTTGTGGATAAAAAGGAATGCTTTTTACACTGTTGGTGGGAGGGTAAGTTAGTTCAACCATTTTGGAAGATAGTGTGTTGATGTTTTAAAAACCTAGAGGCAGAAATATCATTCAACCCAGAAATTCCATTTCTGGATATATACCCAAAAGAATATAAATAATTCTCTTATAAAGAAGCATGCAAGTTTATGCTCATTGCAGCACTATCCACAATAGCAAACACATGGAATCAACCTAAATGCCCAGCAATAATAGCCTGGATAAAGTAAATGTGGTACATATACACCATGGAATACTATGCAGCCATAAAAAGAAATGAGATAATGTTCTTTGCAGAAACATGGATGGAGGTGGAGGACATTATTCTTAGCAAACTAAGAATAATATTAATAGGCTAAAGAATGAAATCACATTCTAAAATAAATTTGTGCAGAAAAGAAGCATTTGACAAAATTTAACACCTTTTTATAATAATAACTCTCAGAAAAAAATAGGGATATAGGTGAACTTACTCAACTTGATAAATAACTTCTACAAACTATCTGCCACTAATTTAATGGTGAAAGATTGAATTCATTCCCCATAAGACTGTGAATGAGGTAATAATATCTGCTTTCACCACCCTTATTAAACATAGTGACAGAAGTCTAAAATAGTCCAATAAGGCAGCACAAAGAAATAAAAAGCATAATATTTTTAAAGAAAAACTGATAATTGTGACTTCATTTTCTGGTGATACGATTACCTGTGGACAAAATTCCAAGGAATCCCTAAAAGTCTTCCAAAAATTAATACATGAATTCAGCAGAGTCACACCATTAAAGAAAAACATACAAAAATAATTTTTGTTTTTATATACTGGCAATTATTATGTAGACATGGAACTAAAAATTACAATAATGTTTACAATTGCTCAAATGAAAGCAAAACTTAGACATAGATCTAAAAAATATAGAGAGCACTTGTTTACTTATAATGTCACAATGTTGATAAAAATATCACAGAAGATTTAAATTCATCGAGAGATATACCATGTACATTGGCTGAAGAAATATTATGGTAAAAATGTAAACTCTATTAAAATTAATATATAGGTTTAACACAATTTTTCACAATGTTTAACAAGAATCTTAAAGACAAGATAAACCTAAGATTTATATTGGAAAGAAATTTACATAACTAAAACCACCTTGAAAATAAAGTAAAAGGAATTAGTTTCCCTAATTTTAAGGTCTATTATACATTTATGGTAATAAATATTGTGTGGCATTGTTTCGTGGATACATACATCAGCCACTGGAATAGAATAGAGCAGTCAGAAACAGACCCATACAAATATGCTCAACTGATTTTTTCACAAACTTGTGAAAATTATTCTTTGGAGGGGGGATAGCTTCTTCAACAAATTGCACCAAAATAATTAGAAATCCACAGGCAAATAAATAAACTTTAAGCAATGTCCCAACCCTTTTACCCAAATAAATTCAAAAGTAAGTATGGATTTAAGTAAAAAACATTAACAAAAACACTTTTAGAAAAAATAGAAGAAACATTTGGTAGATATATGCATAAACAAAATGTTTTTAGACTTGGTATCAAAAACAGAGTGATAAAAATGATAAATTGGGTTTAATCATTGAGATCAAAGACTTTTGTTCAGTGACAGACACTCTTAAAATAATAAATGGATGAGCTACAGACTGGAAGAAAATATTTGCAAGCTGCATGCTTAAAAAAGACAAGTATATAGCAGATAAAACAATTAAAACAACAGAAAATAAAAATATCAATTTAATTAGAAAATAAATAATTTCACAGATCAGAAAATACAGATTAAAAATAAGTACATAAAAAACTAGCTTATTATCATCATTAGCCATTCAAGAAACATAAATTACAATCAAAATAAGCTATCACTACATACATAAGAATAGCTAAAGACATAAAAGCTTAATAAAGGGTACATGTGACCAGCCATTAGTTAACATAATACCTAACAAAGAAAATTTGAAAGCTTTTTCCCTAAGATCAAAAAATAAGATAAAGATTCCCACTCTTGCCAATTTTGTTCAACCTAGTACTGGATGTTCTAACTAGAAAAAAAAAAGTAGGGAAGCAAAAAAGAGACATTCAATTGGAAATGAAGAAGATAAATTGTTTCTATTTGCAGATAACATCATCTTATATATGTAAAACCCTAAAAACTCTACCAAAATACTTATAGAAATGATCAACAAATTCAGTAAAGTTGGAGAGCACAAAATCAACAAACAAAATTTGCTAGTGTTTCTATACACTAAAAATAAACGATCTGAAAAACAATGAAAAAACCCATTCAAAATAGCAAAAAAATAAAAATAAAAACAATACTTAGGAATAAATTTAACCAAGAAGTTGAAAAATCTATACATTTAAAATTATAAAGCATTGATAAAAGAAATTGAAATATACTTTTTATTATTGACTATAGGCCCCCTGTTTTGCTATAAAAAATACACAAATACATGGAAAGATCTCACTTATTTATTAAATAAAAAGTTTAATATTGTTAAAATGTCCATACCATCCAAAGCAACCTACATATTCAATGCAATCCCCATCAAAGTCCACACGACATTGTTCACAGAAATTGAAAAAAAAATCTAAAATTCATATATATCCAGAAAAGACTCCAAATATCTGAAGTAATTTTGACCATAAAGAACAAAGCCCTAGGCATCTCATTGCCTGGACTGAAATCTATTACAAAATAATAGTAATCTAAATAGGGTGGTACTGGCATTAAAAAAAAAAGGAACAGAATAGAGAGCCCAGAAATAAATCCATGCTCTTAAGGTCAATTGAGTTTCAACAAAGAGGCCAGAAACACACAGTGGGAAAAGAACAGTCTCTTGAACAAATGATGCTGAGAAAACTGGATATCCACATGAAGAAAACCTAATTTCAAAACACACACACACACACACACACACACACACACACACACACACCCCTCAAATTGGATTTAAAAGACTTAAATGTAAGGCCTGAAACTCTAAAACTCCTGGAAGAAAACAGGAAAAAATCTTCATGGCATTGATCTTGGCAATGACCTTTTTGAATGAGACCTGGAAAACACAGGCACCAAAAGCAAATATAGACAAATAAGATTGAATTAAACTAAAAACTGATAAGTATGTGAATTACCTCATATGTTGATAAACATCACATTGTGTTCCACAAATAAATACAATAATTTTAATAAATTCAAAAATAAATAAACAAATAAAAAGTTAGTGACACTTCCTGCTGGAGAAGTAGTGCTTTGACAGAGGGGCTCCATCTACCTCTTTCAGCCACAGTGATTCCCTGCTGCTAGAGGACTGAGCTGAAGCAGTGCACTTCCTCCTGAAGAAACAGTACTTTGACAGGATGCCTTCAATTTGCCTCTTTGGGCTAAGCTAAAGCTGCACATTTCTTTCTGTTGAAATGATGCCTTGGCAAGGCAGCTCCTAAAACATATCTCAGTTGCTGCTGCACCCTTCACCCTTGTGTCAGAGCTGAAGCAACACTAAAAATCCCAAAGAAATTGTGCCTTGGCTATCAAGAGCAGTCACACCTCTCTGTATCTAAGCTAAAGTACTACACTGTCTCCTTGGAAAACAGTACCTTGGCCACCCAGAGGAGTTATTCTTCCCTAGTGCCCAAGTACCTCTCAGAAAAGGGTGCCTTTGCCATCCAATGTGGTCATGCACCACAGTACTTAAAGTAAGTGGTGCCCAACATACCAGGGAAATGGTGTCTGAGTCACCTGGAACAGGTATGCACTCTGGGCCTGAGATGAGAAGGTGTGTTGTGCCCTGGGGAAATGGTGTCTTGAACAAGCTAAACAGTAACATATCATAGGGTGAACTGATGTAGTACTCCATGTCTCAGGGAAATAGAAAAGTGGTGCAGCTGAGATACCCCACCCTACAGGCCAAAGAATTCTAGTATCCTGCTTCCCTGAAGCTACACTAACCTCATGCAGTCTTAGCTGTTGAGACACTTCTCTCCACAGAGAGTGTCATTATTTCTGTACTTCTCCCTACCCCTCAGGAGACAATCAACAGCCATGATCTGCCATTCTGGAGTACTTGTTGCAGCTGGGAACAAGTACTTGTTGGCTTTGATGGCCTTACAGAGTCTGAGGTACAGCAGAGCCCCACTAACCCAAGATTGAGAGTAACCACTACATGGTGCCTTATTCCTTGGGGTCCAAGTTGCTACTGAGCCTTGTTGGATCAGGCTACCAAGTTGCAGCAGTAAACGTCTTTCCAGGCGCAAACCTCCAGAGAGCCCCTTCATCTTTGAAGTAGCACGAATTTTGTGTTCTGTCCCCTAGGAATAGATCCACAGCCACAACCCACCCCTGGGCCTGAGCTGCTAAAGAGTGCCTCAGAGTTACAGATTGTGGCACTGTGGACAACCTAAATATAATAATGTCACAGAGAGAAAACTTACAAACCAAGATCCAGGTGCCTAAGTAGGTTCACAAGAACACAAGCCTAGGACCCCAACCCTAAAACTGCTCTGATCACTGCATCTGGAATCAAGCACTGCTGAAGTAGCTTGTAGGCCATGTAAGACCTGACACTAAAAGAAATCCCCTTGTGTTACAGGATCTTTAAGGTGTCAGTTTTCTGCTCACAAACCTCTGTGGCCAGTGGTGCCTTTGCCCAAGTTCTTGTCTGCATCCTGGAAGACTGAGGCATGCAGACAAGTGAAGGGTGAACAAGACTAAGAGGAGGTTTATTAAGTGTTGGAACAGCTCAGAGGAGACCCACAGTGTGTAGCTCCTCTCTGTAGGCAGGTCATCCCATCAAGTATTCAGCTCTCAGCAGAGAGGAGGCACTGGAGATGGTAACTCCTCTCTGCTAGTGGTCAAATCAACATCTGCTGCTCTCAGCAAAGAGGAGACCCTGGAGAGGATTGCTTCTCTCTGCAGCTGGTAGTCCCCATGTCTCTGCAGTTCTCTGAAGCTCTCAGTAGAGAGGGTAACTCCTCTCTGCAGCTGATCATTCCATTGTGTCTCCATCCTTTCTGTCCTCTCAGTCCTCTGCACTGCTTAGGCTGAGCCTAGGGCATTTATGGACCTCAGAAGGGAGGAAGTGCATGCTCATTGGTACATCAGTGGCCACTGGCAGGCCCAGAAACAAAGCACCATAAGCTCCCCCATCTGGTCCACAGGACTGGCAGTCTGTCCTGAAGGTGAGGCTTCACTGGAGACCCTCCCTCTTCCACTCAGGAGCCTGTCTGCCTCCTGTAATCATCCATGGTGCCCAGGCTACTGACACCAAGGGGCACCTGCAGGCCAGTGCCCAGCCCCCCTCAGTCTCCCACTTAGCTTCCCATCTCATGTTCATCAGGGCCTAACTTCTGGAGGGGGACAAGAGGGCAGGGAGAGAGCATGTCAATATTTCCCTGAGCATGTGCACACCTGCCAGGCTGTGACAGTGCCCTGTTTTGACCTCAACCCCACACTCAGATAAGAGCAGATCCTGGGAGCAGAGAGAGGCCAGGCAGCAGGAGCAGATAACCCCAAGCCTTTTGGAACATGGATGGGGGCCTTTCCAGGCCATGAGGATGCACCAGGTTGTGCACCTGGCATGGAGAATGCAGCTGCACCTGGGTAGCTCCCACCCTGCCAACTGGGAAAGGGTGGGGCTCCTGCTCATCCCAACTCCTGCCAGCTTAGTGGAGCAGGAGACCTAGGTCTGCAGCTGTGGGTTGGGCAAATGGGCCTGTACCCAAGGGGCAGAGATTCTGCCTACTCCTGGGCCCCACCAATAGCACAGGGAGGCTTGGATCTACAGCTGCAAATGGGATAGCTGCAGCCCAACCCAGGAGGGAGGGGTTTTTGCCTGCTCCATGGAGTGAGATGCCTGGGTTTACAGCCATGATTTGGGTGGCTGCAGCTGAACATGAGGAGCTCCCATCCCAACTTAGAAGGGGCAAAGCTACTGCTGGTCCTTGGCTCCCACTGGCTCCATGGAGTATGCAGCCCCAGACATACCTCCCTGCTGCAGCCAGCATGATGGCAGTGGCTGCTGCCATCACTTGGTTGCATCTCCTTATTTTGGGAAAAATGAGAATAAGAGGACTCAAATGCTCTTACCAACAAGGACATTAACAAACTACACTACTGCTGCTGCTGCTGCTGCTGCTACAAACTTCTACAGCCCCAGTCACCAAGGTAATCACAGTTATTGTCAAATTGAACACAGCTGAAGAAGTTGTATGAAGAGTATACCAATGAATCTACCATTAAACAGAGTAACCACACCCTTCCCAACTGGCACACTAAAACCCCCAAAAGGTGAAATTCTTTCTCTCTGAAAGACACTTTTAAAATTTTGGAAATGCAGTTGTCCTATCAGTTTCACAAACATCAATGCAAACACACAAGAAACAAACAGAAAAACAAAAAACCCAAGAAATATGACACCAACAAAGACACACTGTTACTCTCTAATAACATGCTGCTATAAAAGGGAAATCTACAAATTGCCAGAGAAAGAATTCAAAACAAGAATATTAAAAGAATTTCATGAGATGCAAGAAAGTACAGTGAGAAAATTCAGCAAAATCAGGAAAACAATTTACAATATAAACAATAATTATTTTTCAAAAAATAAATACCATAAAAAAGAAGAAGACAGAAATCTTACATCTGAAGAATTAAATGAACAAAATAAAAAACACAACAGGAAGGAGAGCTTCAATGGAAGACTTAATCACGATGAGAAAAAAGAACCTCTGAACTACAATGTTGGTTATTTGAAATTACCCAGTCAGAGGGAAAAAAAAGCAATGAAAATAAAAAAGAGTGAAGACAGACTGCAAGATTTATGGGACACCATTAGTGAATAAATATTTGTATGACAGGAGTTTTTGAAAAAGAAGGGATGGGGAAAGGCATAGAAAACACATTTAGTAAGTGAATAGCTGAAACATTTCCAAGTTGTGAGGGAGATATAAACATTTAGATCCAGGAAGCTCAAAGATTGCAAAACATATTCAACCCAAGAAGGTGCTCTCAGGGGTAACATTATGGTCAAACTGTCAGAAGTCAAAAGACTAAGAGATAATTATTAAAACAACAAGATAAAAAACAGTCACATACAACAGTATCCTCATTAGAATAATCTCAGATTTCTTGGCAGAAATCTTAAAAGCCAATAGAGAATAAGTTAATATATTCAGACAGTGAAAAGAAAAAAAAAAAACTGTCGGCCAAGAATACTATACCCAGCCAGGCCATCCTCCAATATAAAAAAAGAAAGATAATCTTTCCCATATAAGCAAAAACTGAAGACATTCTTCACCACTAGGTCTGCCTCACAAAAAATGCTTGAGAGAGTCCTACATCTGGAAACAAAAGGGCAATATCTACCATTATGAAAACACAAAAGTATAAAAGTTACTGGTAGAACAGACACAAAAATAAGAAAGAGAAAGGATGCAAATGTTACCACTACAGAAAACCACCAAACTGCAATGATGATAAGAGAGGAAGAAAGGGACAAATGATATACAAAAAACCCAAAACACAATGAAATAGCAATATTAAGTAATGTCTATCACAGCATTAAATGTAAATGGATTAAATTGTCCACTTAATAATACTGACTGGAAAAATGAATATAATTAAAATCACGACTACAATATCAGCTACCTAAAAAGGAACTTTTAATGACACACATAAAATAAAAGTGAAGAGATGGGAAAAGATATTTCACACAACAGAAATAAAAAACAAGCAAGAATAGCTATACTTATATCAGATAAAACAGACTTTAAGGCAAAAACTGTAAAAAGAGATAAATACAGTTAATATATATAATAATGTGATCAATTCAGAAAGCAGATATAACAATGGTAAATATATATACATTCAACACTAGAACTTCCAGTATATAAAGCATATATTATCAGATCTTATTAGATCTAAAGGGAGAGATTTTTCTAGAATAATGATTGGGAGCCTGGGCAAAATAATGAGACCATGTCTTTACAAAAAATAAAAAATATAGCTCAGCATACTTATGCACACCTGTAGTCCCAGCTATTTGGGAGGCTGAGGCTGGAGCATGACTTGAGCCTGGAAAGTCAAGGCTGCAGTGAGCCATGATTGTGCCATTGCACTCCAGCCTGGGCTACAGAGTAAGACCCTGTCTCTAAGTAAATAAATAAAAATAATGACTGGAGAACTTAACACTCAACTATTAGCTTTGGACAAATCATCTGGGCAGAAAATACACAAAGAATCATTAGATTTAAACTGCCCTTTAGACCAAATGGAACTTGGTGATATTTACAAAATTTTTTATCCAACAACTACAGAATACATATTGTTCTCATCAGTATATGAAACATTCTCCAGTATAGATTACATGTTTAGCCAAAAAACAAGTCTCAACAAATTTTAAAGAATTGAAATAACTTCAAGTACAAAATTGAATAAAACTAAAAGCTAAAAACAGAAGGAATATTCAAAACTATACAAACACATGGAAATTAAATATTCCTGAACAACAAATGAATCAGTGAATAAAGTAGAAAAAAATTAAAATTCTCTTAAAGATATGAAAAAAACATGCCATACCAAAAAAAATGGGATATGACAAAAGCAGTTTAAAGCAGGAGGTTTATAGTAATAAACATCTACATGAATGTAAAAAATATCTCAAATAAACAACCTAACATTGCATGTCAAGGAATTATAAAATTAGGATTGAATCAAATACAAAATAAGTAAAAGAAAAGTTTTTTTTCTGAGCTATCTGAGGTTTTATTTTGGAAAAAGGAAAGAAAGAAAGAAAAAGAAAGAAGAAAGAAAGGAAAGAAAGAAAGTAAAAAGAAAAGAAAGAAAGAAAAGAGAAGAAAGAACAGAGAAAGAAAGAAGAAAGAAAGAAAGAGAAAGAAAGAAGGAAGGAAGGAAGGAAAGAAGGAAGGAAGGAAGGAAGGAAGCAAGGAAGGAAGGAAGGAAGAAATTGAATTGTTTTGTAGCTGGAGGCATGGGCAAGGGGCATCCCCAGGCCGTGAACTCCCCCGCGGGTGGGCTGAGGGCTAGGGCTGAGGCTCAGGTGTGTCTCCTGTTCCCTGTGCTTCCCTGCACAGCAGCCTGCCTCTGGGCTCTGAGGCAGCCGCAGGAGGGGCAGGCTGGGAGGGGCTGCCACCGCTGTTCACTTGGGCAGGACGTCAGAGGACTTGGACACGAGCTTCCCATTCTGGGCCTCAATCTTCTTCACAACCGCGGCCCTGGTGGAGCTGGTGTGGCTGAAGGAGCTGGAGCCAGCGCCAGAGCCAAAGCTGGAGCCCAGGCTGTAGCTGAGGCTGGGGCTTGTGAGGCCCCCATAGGCCGAGCTCAGACTACCTGCATAGCCACTGGTGGTCTTCATATGGATACTCATGCTCTGCATCCCAGACTCCAGCCAGCTCCCCTCGCTCTCCAGCAGCTTCCTGTAGGTGGTGATCACGATGTCCTGAGCCAACTTGAAGTTCATCAGCTCCTGGTACTCATGCAGCTGCAGTGCCATGTCCTGCTTGGCCCGCTGCAGGGCAGCCTCCAGCTGGGAAAGCTTGGCATTGGCATCCTTAATGACCAGCTCCCCACGTTGTTCCACATCTGTTATGGTGGACTCCAGGAAGCCCTCTGGCCTTTGAGGCCCTCAATCTCAGCCTGGAGCCAGCTGATGTTCTGGTTTATCGTGGAGATCTCAGTCTTTGTACTAAGTAGGTCATCCCCGTGCTCCCCAGCCAGCATCTGCAGTTCCTCATACTAGTTCTGGTACATTCTCTCAGCCTCAGCCCAGCTGCGGTTAGCGATCTCCTCGTACTGCACCTTGACCTCAGCAATGATGCTGTCCATGTCCAGGGAGTGGCTGTTGTCCATGGACAGCACCACAGACATGTCCAGGATCTGGGACTGCAGCTCCCGGATCTCTTGTTCATACAACTTCCTGAGGAAGTTGATCTCATCAGTCGGCCCTTCCAGGCGATACTCCAGCTCTACCTTGTTCATGTAAGCTTCATCCACATCCTTCTTGATGAGGACAAATTCATTCTCCATCTCTGTATACTTATTGATCTCATCCTCATACTTGTTCTTGAAATCCTCCACCAGCCCCTGCATGTTGCCAAGCTCTGCCTCCAGCTTCAGCTTCTTCCGGCCCAGAGTCTCCAGCTGCCACCTAAGGTTGTTGATGTAGCTCTCGAACATGTTGTCTAGGTTGCTCTGAGCCATCTTCTGCTGCTGCAGGAGGCTCCACTTGTTCTCCAGCATCTTGTTCTGCTGCTCCAGGAACTGTACCTTGTCAATGAAGGAGGCAAACTTGTTGAGGGTCTTGATCTGCTCCTTCTCTTAGGTGTGCATGGCCTGGATGTTGAGGTCCACCTCCAGGTTAATGGGGCTCAGCAGGCTCTGGTTGACCATTACAGCAGTGATGACTTCCATGCCGCTGGCCCCACCATAGCCTCTGCCCAGGCCACCCTGGAAGCTGCTGCTGCCCGCTCGGGAGAAGCTCAAGGAGCTGATGTGGGCACTGGGCCCACTCAAGTAGGAGCAGCTGCTGAAGAACCAGGGGCCAGAGGTGGACACCTTGTAGGACTTCTGGGTCACCCTGATGGACATGGTGGAAGCAGGAGTGGAGGCAGGTGGGCTGAACCAGGTGGAGATTCCAGAAGGGGCAGAGAAGCTGCTTCTTGGTCAAGAAAATAAAATTTTAAAATAGAGCAAAAATAAACAAAATTGACACTGAAATAACAATAAAAAAATGAAAAAAAAAGCTGTTTTTTGAAAAAATAAAACACAATTGACAAAGCATAAACTAGACTAATCAGGAAACAAAAAGAAAACCAAATAAAATCAGAAACAGAAAAGAAAACCTTACACTTGATACCACAAAAATAAAAAGGATCATTAGATGCTGGGCGTGGTGGCTCATGCCTGTAATCCCAGCACTTTGGGAGGCTAAGGCAGGTGGAACATGAAGTCAGGAGATCGAGACCATTGTGGCTAACATGGTGAAACCCCGTCTCTACTAAAAAATAAAAATTTAGCTGGGCGTGGTGGTGGGGGCCTGCAGTCCCAGCTACTTTGGAGGCTGAGGGAGGAGAATGGTGTGAACCCAGGAGGCAGAGCTGGCAGTGAGCCGAGATCACCCCACTGCACTCCAGCCTGGGCGACAGAGCGAGACTCCTTCAAAAAAAAAAAAAAAGGACCATTAGAGAATATTACAGACAGCTGTAAGAGAATACAAGAATATTCTCACTAGAATAATCTCAGATAAATTAAGAGAACAAATTAGAAAACCAGAAAAAAATAAATTTCTGGACACAAAAAGCTACCAAGATTGAACCAAGAAAAAATAGAAAGCCTGAGCATACAATTATAAGTAAGGAGATTAAAATAATAAGAAAAAAATCTCCCATTAAAGAAAAGTCCAGGAACTGATGGTTTCACTAGAGAATCCTGCCAAATATTTTTAGAAAGACAATAATGACTGTTCTCAAAATTCTTTAAAAAATTTTATAAGGAGGAAATACTTCCAAACTAATTCTATGAGACTAGCAATACACTGATACCAAAGCCATAAATAACACAACAATAAAAACTGTAGTCTAATATCCCTGTTGAATGTAGATGCAAAAATCTTCAAAAACTGAATTCAGAAGCACATTAAAAAATCATTCACAATGATCAGGTGAGTTTATCCCAGAGGTGAAAAGATGGTTTAACACACACAAATCAATAAATGTGATACATCACATAAGCAGAATGTAGAACACTCATTATATAATCACCTCAATAGACAAAGAGAAAGCACGTGATAACATGCGACATTCTTCAGATAAAAAATAAAGTAGGTTTAGAAGGAAGGCCACATCAATACAATAAAGGACACATTTTCACAAACGGACATCTAACAACATACTGTATGAGGCAAAGCTGAAAGCTTTCCTCTAATATCAGGAAGAACACAAAAATACCCACTTTTCTGCCTTTATTAAACAAAATACTTGAAGTACTACCCAGAGCAATTAGGCAACAGAAATGAATAAACATTAGGCACCACACGGGGTGTGTCTAATGAACAAATATTAGACAGATCAATGAGACAGAAAGTTAACAAGGATACCCAGGAATTGAACACAGCTCTGCACCAAGCAGACCTAATAGACATCTACAGAACTCTCCACCACAAATCAACAGAACATACATTTTTTTTCAGCACCACACCATACCTATTCCAAAACTGACCACATAGTTGGAAGTAAAGCACTCCTCAGCAAATGTAAAAGAACAGAAATTATAACAAACTGTCTCTCAGACCACAGTGCAATCAAACTAAAACTCAAGATTAAGAAACTCACTCAAAACTGCTCAAATACATGGAAACTGAACAACCTGCTCCTGAATGACTACTGGGTACATAAGGAAATGAAAGCAGAAATAAAGATGTTCTTTGAAAGCAATGAGAATAAAGACACAACATACCAGAATCTCTGGGACACATTCAAAGCAGTGTGTAGAGCGAAATTTATAGCACTAAATGCCCACAAGAGAAAGCAGGAAAGATACAAAATTGACACCCTAACATCACAATTAAAAGAACGAGAAAAGCAAGAGCAAACACATTCAAAAGTTAGCAGAAGGCAAGAAATAACTAAAATCAGAACAGGACTGAAGGAAATAGAAACACAAAAAAACCCTTCAAAAAATTGATGAATCCAGGAGCTGGTTTTTTTTTTTTAAAGATCAACAAAATTGATAGACTGCTTGCAAGACTAATAAAGAAGAAAAGAGAGAAGAATCAAATAGATGCAATAAAAAATGATAAATGGGATATCACCACCAATCCCACAGAAATACAAACTATCATCAGAGAATACTACAAACACCTCTACGCAAATAAACTAGAAAATATAGAAAAAATGGATAAATTCCTCGACACATACACCTTCCCAAGACTAAACAAGGACGAAGTTAAATCTCTTAATAGACCAATAACAGCCTTTGAAATTGTGGCAATAATCAATAGCTTACCAATCAAAAAAAGTCCAGGACCAGATGGATTCACAGCCCAATTCTACCAGAGGTACAAGGAGGAGATGATACCATTCCTTCTGAAATTATTCCAATCAATAGAAAAAGAGGGACTCCTCCCTAACTCATTTTATGAGGCCAACATCATCCTGATACCGAAGTCTGGCAGAGACAAAACAAAAAAAGAGAATTTTAGACAAATATCCTTGGTGAACATTGATGCAAAAATCTTAAATAAAATACTGGCAAACCGAATCCAGCAGCACATCGAAAAGCTTATCCAACATGATCAAGTCGGCTTCATCCCTGGGATGCAAGGCTGGTTCAACATACACAAATCAATAAATGTAATCCAGCATATAAACATAACCAAAGACAAAAACCACATGATTATTTCGATAGATGCAGAAAAGGCCTTTGATAAAATTCAACAGCCCTTCATGCTAAAAACTCTCAATAATTAGGTATTGAAGGGACTTATCTCAAAATAATAAGAGCTATCTATGACAAATCCACAGCCAATATCCTACTGAATGGGCAAAAACTGGAAGCATTCCCTTTGAAAACTGGCACAAGACAGGGATGCCTTCTTTCACCACTCCTATTCAACATAGTGTTGGAAGTTCTAGCCAGGGCAATTAGGCAGGAGAAGGAAATAAAGGGTATTCAATTAGGAAAAGAGGAAGTCAAATTGTCCCTGTTTGCAGATGACATGATTGTATATCTAGAAAACCCCATTGTCTCAGCCCAAAATCTCCTTAAGCTGATAAGCAACTTCAGAAAGTCTCAGGATACAAAATCAATGTGCAAAAATCACAAGCATTCTTATACACCAATAACAGACAAACAGAGAGCCAAATCACGAGTGAACTCCCATTCACAATTGCTTCAAAGAGAATAAAATACCTAGGAATCCAACTTACAAGGGATGTGAAGGACCTCTTCAAAGAGAAATACAAACCACTGCTCAATGAAATAAAAGAGCATACAAACAAATGGAAGAACATTCCATGCTCATGGGTAGGAAGAATCAATATTGCGAAAATGGCCACACTGCCCAAGGTAATGGATAGATTCAATGCCATCCCCATCAAGCTACCAATGACTTTCTTCACAGAATTGGAAAAAACTACTTTAAAGTTCATATGGAACCAAAAAAGAGCCCGCAAAGCCAAGTCAATCCTAAGCCAAAAGAACAAAGCTGGAGGCATCACGCTACCTGATTTCAAACTATACTACAAGGCTACAATAACCAAAACATTATGGTACTGGTACCAAAACAGAGATATAGATCAATGGAACAGAACAGAGCCCTCAGAAATAATACCACATATCTACAACCATCTGATCTTTGACAAACCTGACAAAAACAAGCAATGGGGAAAGGATTCCCTATTTTATAAATGGTGCTGGGAAAACTGACTAGCCATATGTACAAAGCTGAAACTGGATCCCTTCCTTAAACCTTATACAAAAATTAATTCAAGATGGATTAAAGACTTACATGTTAGACCTAAAACCATAAATACCCTAGAAGAAAACCTAGGCAATACCATTCAGGACATAGGCATGGGCAAGGACTTCATGTCTAAAACACCAAAAGCAATGGCAACAAAAGCCAAAATTGACAAATGGGATCTAATTAAACTAAAGAGCTTCTGCACAGCAAAAGAAACTGCCATCAGAGTGAACAGACAACCTAAAGAATGGGAGAAAATTTTTACAATCTACTCATCTGACAAAAGGCTAATATCCAGAATCTACAAAGAACTTAAACAAATTTACAAGAAAAAAATCAAACAACCCCATCAAAAACTGGGCAAAGGCTATGAACAGACACTTCTCAAAAGAAGAAATTTATGCAGCCAGCAGACACATGAAAAAATGCTCAACATCACTGGCCATCAGAGAAATGCAAACCCAAACTACAATGAGATACCATCTCACACCAGTTAGAATGGTGATCATTAAAAATTAAGCAACAGGTGCTGGAGAGGATGTGGAGAAATAGGAACACTTTTACACTGTTGGTGGGACTGTAAACTAGTTCATCCATTGTGGAAGACAGTGTGGTGATTCCTCAAGGATCTAGAACTAGAAATACCATTTGACCCAGCCATCCCATTACTGGGTATATGCCCAAAGGATTATAAATCATGCTGCTATAAAGACACATGCACATGTATGTTTATTGCAGCACTATTCACAATAGCAAAGACTTGGAACCAACCCAAATGTCCAACAATGATAGACTGGATTAAGAAAATGTGGCACATATACCGCAAGGAATACTATGCAGCCATAAAAAATGATGAGTTCATGTCCTTTGTAGGGACATGGATGAAACTGGAAACCATCATTCTCAGCAAAATATCGCAAGGACAAAAAACCAAACACCACATGTTCTCACTCATAGGTGGGAATTGAAGAATGAGAACACATGAACACAGGAAGGGGAACATCACACTCCGGGGACTGTTGTGGGGTGGGGGGACAGGGGAGGGATAGCATGTGGAGATATACCTAATGCTAAATGACGAGTTAATGGGTGCAGCACAGCAACATGGCACATGTGTAAATATGTAACAAACCTGCACATTGTGCATATGTACCCTAAAACTTAAAGTATAATAATAATAAAATAAAAATTTTTAAAAAAATTATATAAACCCAGATTGGTAAATATTTATTTTGAATATATAATATGTACATGGGACTATGTTAACTATTTTGAATTCATTTAAAATTACTACAGATGTTACAAACAAATTCCTATCAAAAATTTTAATAATTTTTAGTGTTAAACTCATCTTTATAAATTAAAAAAAAATAGCAAGCTGAATTCACAGCACACTAAAAATAAAATATACCGTGATCATACAGGATTTACTCCAGGGATGCAAGGATCCTTCAACATATGCAAATCAAAAGACTGATCTGAGTAATAATAAAATTCTGGTCTCCTGCACAGAACACTCAGTGTGAATTACTCTTTCGCTATTGCATTTCCCCTGTTTTGATAAATGGGCTTTTCTAGGCACTGTGTAAGGTGAACCCCTTGGGTGGTTACAAATTTGGGAGCTTGTCTGGGATTGCCCTTCTGGCTATGTACTTGGGGTTCAGTAGTCTCTCTCTGGTGATGAGGCCAGAGAGTCTAGAGGCCAGCCCAAATGGCCACCTAGCTCTCTTGGACTTGGAGATGACTGTGGTACTTTCTCTACCAATGGGGATCTGCTGACTCAATGTGCAGGGATTTAATTGCAATAGAAAAATAGTCCTGGGGAGATATTCCATAACTGTAGCTCTATGGTCAGGCATCTGTCTGTATACCCATTGCAAGATGTCTGTCTGTAGCTCCACCACAAGATGTCTGTAACTGTAGCCCTACCACATTTTGGCTAAATGAATGACTTATGTGACCTGGAATTCTATTTTGTGATATTCAGTGTTTTAAACCTCTTATATTTAATAAAAAAGTTTTTCAAAATCAAATTATAAAGTATTTCTATTTCTGACCTAATTAATCATTTATATATTAGGGTTCCTATCATCCAAAAATGATGTATTTGGCTTATTTGGTATAGCAATCATATAGGAAGCATTGTCAAATGTGAAATGGTTTTTCGGTTTCTTTGGGCTGTTTTGTATAAATACATTCCAAAATTGTGGGAAACTTCTATAAATCTGATATAATTTAGTGTACCTCATTAATAATTATAATTGTTATGTAAAATTGTTGTATGCCACCGAACTAACTAAAATTCCTAGTCAATTCTAGCTTTAGTAATGCCTATCTTAACTTCTGTCATTCATTCTCCCACTTTGGGAGGCAGATGAGGGAGGGCGTCTGTCTACACAGGGTTGTAATTTTATACACATACTTGGCTTTTGGTTGTTTCCCCATACCTTAACAGGTGGGTACGTGCTAAAATAAAGCACAGAAGCATCTGGGTTTTTGTGAGGCTGAGCATGGCATTTTTAAAGACTGTGGTGCTTTGGATGTGGGCTCAAGAGTATATACCCTGGCTCTCCCACTCTGTAGAACCTGTAGAAATTGATCCTTCGTTAATACTGCCCTCTTATGGGCTCTCCTGAAAATACTACTTCCCTTTACAGAGATTGTAAGCCTTGGCATTCCCTGTGATTCTCAATGTACCCCTTAAGCCGCCCTGTATTCTGAGAAGAAATGATAAAGTAATCCCTTTCACCCCAACTCAGTCATTCTGACACATGGACCCCAACTGCCACAAATCCTCGACCGGAAACAGCCCCTTTTCGTAGTCAGCTGCCCTTCTTTCACTAGAAGACAGAGTCTCTGGGAGCCCTGTGGGAAGGAGACACCACTTCCCTGTGGGAAGTCTCACCATCGCTGTCGTGCCAGGAGCCCTTGGAGTGTCCCCTTCTCTAAAGCCATGTCAAGCACAGTAAGAATAAACAGAGGGGAAGTGGAACCGTGAAAACATGCTCTTAAACCCTATTTTACAGTATTCCTTTGTTAAACGAAATGAAAGCAATTACAAGAGAAAAAGTAGGCCAGGCACGGTGGCTCACACCTGTAATCCTAGCAATTTGGGAGGCCGAGGCGGGTGAATCACTTGAGGTCAGGAGGTCGAGACCAGCCTAGCTAACATGGTGAAACCCTCTCTCTACTAAAAATACAAAAAATTATCTGGGTATGGTGGCGTGTGCCTGTAATCCCAGGTACTCGGGAAGATGAGGCAGGAGAATCACTTGAACTTGGGAGGCAGAGGTTGCAGTGAGCCGAGATCGCACATCTGCACGCCAGCCTGGCTGGGCGACAGAGTGAGACTCCATCAAAAAAAAAAAGAAAAGAAAAAGAAAAAAAGGAAAAAGCAAGAGTGACGAAAACTTACATAAAAACACAAAGTGTGAGGAGTTTGAAGGCAGTAAAAGATCTTTAAATACCATCCTATCTAAGATGACTTCCTGGGTTCCCTCAGCTAAAATTAATTTCTCCCTCTCCCATATTTTCTTTGATATTTTATTTTAATTTTAGCACTTGATTATTATTGTCAGGTTGGGTCAGAATTACTTATGATAGCAGATTGTGAGTTTCTGAAGGACAGGGACTCAAGGCTTTGAACCTGTCAGGTGTCTTACGGTATTTAATTAAATGAGATAGGAAAATGATATAAAAATGCTTTGATGGAAACAATCTAGGTATGTTTTCTGTGGCTGCAGTAAAAAATTACTAGAAACTGGGTGGCTTAAAACCACAAAAATATATTCTCTCACAGTCCTGGGGACCAGAGATCCAAAATCAGTATCACTGGACTGAAATCAAGGTGTCAACTGGACTGCACTCCTTCAAAGGATTTAGAGGAGAATCTGTTGCTTAACTCTTTCAACTCAACTCCCAGTGGTTGCCGGCTTCCCTTGCCTTGTGACTGCATCACTCTCACCTTCGCCTCTGTCTTCATATTGCCTTCTCCTCTGCATGTGTGTGCAAAATTTCCCTCTGTTTCTCTCTCATAAAGACGCTTGGGATGGCATTCAGGTCACACCCAAGTAATCCGGCATAGTCTTCCCCATCTCAGCCTCCTTGATTTAACCACACATGCAAAAATATTTTTTTTCCTTGTAAGGTAACATTTAAAGTTTCCAGGGATTAGGAACTGATATTTTGGGGAGACACACTTTTCATCCCAGTACAGTCTACAATGAGATGGAATAAACCATAAGATCAGCATACACAGAAAAGGTATTGCCAAGAGAATATGGGCAGGGTACCAATGGTTTTGCCCTCAATCATGATGATCTAGATAATTCTGACCATCCATCCTAGTGAGAGCAGCTAGGAAAGCTGAATACAATTTTTTTAAAAATCTGTTTACATTCAAATCAGTGAAAGATTATAGGGCCAAAATCCAAAAGAAGGAGGAAATTTAGAGAGATGAGCCCAGCATTTTTGGCTGCTTTTCTCTTGGAAGCACCTGCCAATTTAAAAAAACAAAACAAAACAAAACAAAAAACAAACAAACAAACAAACAAAAGGCAGTTAAGAGGCAGAGAAGCTGAGCAGAGCTTTTGGTAGATTAATGGGGTAAGCGAGACATCAATTGTAGTTCAGGTTCTAACAATGAAAGGGGCCCTGGCAAATCCCTCTGTCGTTTTTTTTTTTTTCTTTTTAACAGAGTCTTGCTTTGTTGCCCAGGCTGGAGTGCAATGGCACGATCTCGGCTCACTGCAACCTCCGCCTCCCGGTTTCAAGCAATTCTTCTGCCCCAGCCTCCCAAGTAGCTGGGATTACAGGTATCCACCATCATGTGCCACTAATTTTTTGTATTTTTGTAGAGATGGGGTTTCACCATCTTGGCCAGGCTGGTCTTGAATTCCTGACCTCAGGTAATCCGCCTGCCTCGGCCTCCCATAGTGCTGGGATTACAGGCATGAGCCACTGCGCCTGGCCATCCCTCTGTCTTTAGGTTGGAACCCAGAAGCAATGCACCCTAGGAACAGAGGTAAATTAAAATAAGCCAGCTGTCCTTGAGTCATCCCAGTCCTTCACTTAAATCAAATTCTCTGTATTACCAATGCCCCTAACCTAGTCCTTGGCCCTAAGCACATGTAAATCCTTTTTGGAGGAAGATAACATACCCAGTGAAAATATTTCCAAAATTAAGAAGAAATAGTAACATTGTCAACAAACCAACACTAAGAATATTGTCACCAGATGATATATACTAAATGCAATACTAAAGGGAATCCTTCAGGTATAGTGTAAATTGTTGCCTTGTTCATAATCACACAGAGAACTCTGATGGTACTAAGGAATGCAGGTCTCTGATAAACTTAGAAATTGTTCTATTGGGATAGAAGGAATAAGGCAAACTTCTAGGACTCTCATTGAGAGCTGATGTGTTAAACATTGCTAAATTTTGGTGTTTCAGAGTCAAGAAAACTTTTTCTTTTAAATTATTTACAAGATTTAGTGATTGAGTAATGTATACTCCTGTGAATAAAATTTGAGGCATATTGATTTCTATCTACCTGATTTTTCCAGAATTTAGAAACTATTTGTAAGTATTGGTTCCTGAACTGTGGTAAGTAAAGAATGTCATTTTCTGACAGCCCCAGGAGCTCCAAGTTATGTTGGGATATCAAGGTGAGAAACTCATAGGTATTTGAGGGTACAAACCCATGGCCTGGCTTCAAGGCTTTAAAAAGTACAATCTGAGATTCCTTGTAGAAAAAAAGTTCCAGCACAGCCGACTTTAAAAAAGAGTAAAATGTATTTTGCAAGTAAATTTGACCTACTATAATTTATCTTTAATAAAAATGGGGACTGGAAAGGGAAAAAATATGTTTCAAAAACAACTATAGTCCACCTATTGCTAGTTATTCTTAAGTGTTTTTTCATGAAATTTGAATTACATCCTAAATTCTTTATGGCCTACAAGTCCCCAAACTAATGCTTTTCAATCTTTACTTTTAAAACTAGGAATTGCATTCTTTATCCTAGAACTCATTGTTTACCAAGTAGCATGCTGTTCTCTTAAATGCTGTGCTAAAACTACTAATGAGAATACTAATGCCTTTGTCATACAAGCTTTGGAAACCCAGCCCAGCCTGCCAGAGTATGTTCATATGCTCAAAACAGTTGCAAAGTGGTTCCACTCCTCTCACTTGGGGGTTAACGGCAACCTGCACTATACCCCTGGTCTACAGAAATAAGTTAGAGTGGTTGTCACCCTTTTCCCGTCTTCATTAGCCAAAACCTTGATTAAGGTGTTATAAAACCCAAAGGGAGAGATTGAAACCATCAGTGCATAATTATAACTGAGACAGTGAAAGAGATCTGACCTAACCAACTCCACCTTGCTTCTAACCTCCAAACTGTCCTTGTTTATTCCTGGAAGTAGGTTGAAATAACTTTGGGAAGAATTTATTATAGTTTATAGTCTTAAAGATAGACAATAAGAGCCCTTTCTCAAAAGAAATCTCCTTCTTGCCTGGGAGCTAGACTGCCTTTTTAAGACTAACAAATTAGCCACAAGATTAGAAATTATGGTTTAGGAGTTATTTAGCTGGAGGCTACAAGATTCTGACCTTCCCCAAATTGCTCCTGGGGATAACATCACCATTGTAAAACTGCAGAGCAGTGCTTGAGATATTTTGCAGACCCTGTACTTGATGGATCAGCTGCCACCACCCTGAATGATAAACTGGCTCATCTGATCTTGGGGACCCCACTCAGAAACTGAATCAGCTCAGGAAGACAACTTTGACTCTCTGTGATTTTATCTCTGACACAACTAATTAGTACTTCCAACTCACTGCCCCCAACACCAAATTATCCTTAAAAATGCTGATTCCCGAATGCTTGGAAAGACTGATTTGAGTGATAATAAACCTCTGGTTTCCAACACAAAGAAAAAAGGAAATCAATAAATATGTTACATCACATCAAAAAATGAAAAACAAAAGCTATATGTTCATCTCAATAGATGAAGAAAAAGTATTTTATAAAATTCAGCATTCCTTAATGACAAAAACTCTTAAAACACTAGTCACAGAAATAACATAACTTGAAATAAAAAAGGCCCTGTATTACCAATCCATGGTTAACATAATACTATATGGGCAAAAGCTGAAAGCCTTTCCTGTAAAAACTGGAACAAGACAAGTATGCCCACTTTCACCATTCCTATTCAACATACTACCGGAAGTGCTAGCCAGAGCAACCAGGCAAGAGAAAGAAATAAAAAGCATCCAAATTGGAAAATAGGAATTAAAATTGTCCTTCTTTGTCCTTTAAATGATCTTATATTTGGAAAACCTAAAAACTAAACTGTAGAAACCTCTTAGAGCTGATAAACAAATTTAGTAAAGTTGCAAGACACAAAAGAAACATACAAATATCACTGTTTTAAATACAGTAATAATAACTAGCTAAAAAAAATCAGCAAGGTAATCCCATTTACAATAGCTACAATAACATAAAAGACCTAGGCATAAATTTAACCAAGAGGGCAAAAGACCTCAACAAGGAATACAAATGGAAAGACATTTCATGCTCATGAGCTAATATTGAAATTAATATTTTTAAAATGATAATGCTCAGGAATTAACATTGTTAAAATGATTATACTATCCAAAGGAATCTACGGATTCAATAAAATCCCTATCAAAATACTAATGCCATTTTTTATAGAATTAGACAAAAACAACCCTAGTATTACTATGGAAGCAAATAAAAAAACAAAAAGCAAAACACCCAAATACTCAAAAATAAATCTGAGCAAAAAGAAGAAATTTAAGGGCATCATACTATCGAACTTAGAACGACAAGGTTATATAACCAAAACAGCATGGTATTGGTAGAAAACTAGACAGAAAGACTAATGGAGCAGAAGAGAGAACCCAGAAATTCAATCAAGTATTTATAACCAACTAATTTTCAACAAAGGCACCAAGAACATGTATTTGAAAAATGAAATATTTTTTCATAATTTTTTCTAGAAAATTTGGATATTCATATGCAGAAAAATAAAACTAGTCCCCCCATTTCTCTCCATATCAACAAACTCAACTGAAATGCACTAAAGACTCAAACATAATGCAAAAATCTATAAAAGTACTAAAAAAAAACCACAAGAAACACCCCAGGTCACCAGTAGGCAAAGATGTTATGGCTAAGAACTCAAAACCACAGGCAACAAAAACAAAATAGAAAAATAAAACTAAATCAAACTAAACACTTCTGCACAGCAAAGGAAACAATCTGCAAAATGAAGAGACATCCTGCTGAATGAGAGAAAATATTTACAAATTTTATCTAACAAGAGGTTAATATCCAGAATTTATAATAAACTGAAGCAACACAACAGCAAAAATAAATTCACTTAAAAATTAAGAAAAGACTAAATTCTACCAGATGTATAAAAAAGAGCTAGTAACAATACTATTGAAGCTATTTATTTATTTATTCCAAATAAATTGAGAAGAAGGGACTCCTCCTTAACTTGTTTCGTAAGGGCAGCATCATCCTGATACCAGAACCTGGCAAAGACACAGCAAAAAAAGAAAACTTCAGGCCAATATCCTTGATGAGCAAACATACTCAACAAACTACTAGTGAACTGGACCCAGCAGCATATCAAGTAGGCTTCATTTCTGGGATACAAGGTTATTCAACATATGCCAATCAATAAATGCGATTCATCACATAAACAGAATTAAAAACAGCAACTATATGATCATCTCAATAGATGTAAAGAATATTTCAGTAAAAGCCAACATCCCTTCAAGACAAGAAAAAATCAAAATCTAAGCATCAAAGGAACATATCCCAAAATAATAATAAGTGCCCTCTGTGGCAAATCAGCAGCCAACATCATACTGAATGGGTGAAAGCTGGAAGCATTCTCTTGAAAAACAGAGCAAGAAAAGGATGCCCTTTCTCACTATTCAACATAGTACTGGAAGTCATGGCCAGAAGAATTAGGCAAGACAAAAAATAAAAAGCATCCAAATAGTAAGAGAAAAGGTCAAACTATACCTTTTTCACGTGACATGATTCTATATCTAGAAAAACTCATAATCTCTGCCCAGAAGCTACTCGACCTAATAAACAACTTCAGCAACATCTCAGGTGACAAAATTAGGGTACGAAAATCGGTAACGTTTTTTTACATCAACAGTATCCAAGCTGAGAGCCAAATCAGAAATACAATTCCATTCATAATACCCACACACAAAAATAAAATACCTAGGAATAATGCTAACAAGAGAGATGAAATATTTCTACAATGAGAATTACAAAACACTGCTCAAAGAATTCAGAGATGACACAAACAAGTAGAAAAATATTCCATATTCATGAATAGAAAGAATGAATATCATTCAAATGGCCCTACAGCTCAAAGCAATTTACAGATTCAAAGCTATTCCTCGGCCAGACACGGTGGTGGCTCACACTAGTAATCCCAGCACTTTGGGAGGCCGAGGCAAGCAGATAACCTGAAGTCAGGAGTTCAAGACCAGCCTGGCCAACATTGTGAAATCCCATCTCTACAAAGATACAAAATTTAGCCAGCTGTGATGGCGGTACCCTGTAATCCCAGCTACTCATGAGGCTGAGGCGGGAGAATCACTTGGACTCAGGAGGTGGAGGTTGCAGTGAGCCAAGATAGGGCCATTGCACTGCAGCCTGGGTGAAAGAGCAAGACTCTGTCAAAAAAGAAAAAAAAAAGCTATTTTTATTAAACTACCAAAGACATTCTTCACAAAACTAGAAAAATTTATTTTAAAATTCGTAGGGAACAACAACAACAAAAAGACCAAATAGAAAAAACAAGCTTAATATAAAGGAAGAAAGCTTTAGGCATTGCATTGCCTAACTTCAAACCATACTACAAGGCTAGAGTAAACAATACAGCATGACACTGGTAAAGAAACAGAGACATAGACAAACCATCTGATCTTTGACAAAGTTGACAGAAACAAGCAAAGGGGAAATTACTCGCTGTTAAAATATTGGTGCTGAAATAACAGGCTAGCTATCTGAGGAGACTGAAACTGAACCTCTTCCTTATATTATATACAAAAATTTACTCAATATGGATTAACAACTTAAATTTTAAACCCCAAACTATAAAAACTCTGGGGATAAACCTAGGAAATACAATTCAGAACATAAAATCCGGCAAAGATTTTATGACAAAGATGCCAAAAGCAATTACAACAAAAGCAAATATTGACAAATGGAAACTAATCAAACTAAAGAGCTTCTGCACAGCAAAAGAAACTATCAACAGAGTAAACAGACAACCTGCAGAATGGGAGAAAATATTAGCAAACTATGCATCCCACAAATGTTTGATATCCAGAGTTTATCAGTTAACTATTTACAAGTAAAAAAAAAACCCATCAAAAAGTGGGCAAAGGATGGAAACAGACACTTTTCCAAAGAAGACATACATGTGGCCAGCGGTCATATAAAATAAGATGCTTAACATTACTAACCATTTGAGAAATGCAAATCAAAACCACAGTGAGATACCATCTCACATCAGTCAGAATGGCTATGATCAAAAAGTCAAAAAATAACAGATTCTGGTGAGGTTTCAGACAAAAGGGAATGCGTATGCACTGCTGGTGGCAGTGTAAATCCGTTCGAACATTGTGGAAAATATTGTGGCGATTCCTCAAAGAACTTGAAACAGAATTACCATTGGACTCAGAAATTTCATCACTGGGTATATACCCAAAGGAATATAAATCATTTAACCATAACAACACATGCCACACATATGTTCATTGCAGCACAATTCACAGTAGCAACGACATGGAATCATCTTAAAAGCCCATCAACAGTAGACTAGATAGATAAAGAAAATGTGGCACACAAACACCATGGATTACTATGCAGCCATAAGGCAGAATGAGTTTACGTCCTTTAAAGCAATATGAATGGAGCTGGAGACTATTATGCTAAGCAAACTAGTGCAGAAACAGAAAACCAAATATCATACATTCTCACTTATCAGAGGGAGCTAAAAAATGAGAACACATGGACAGCAAGAGGGGAATAACAGACACCAGGACCTACTTGAGGGTGGAGGGTGGAAGTAGGAAGGAAATAAAAAATATACCTATTGGGTACTATACTTATTATGTGGGTGACTAAATAATCTGTACACCAAACCCTCATGACATGCAGTTTACCTGTATAACAATCCTGCACATGTACCCCTAAACCTAAAATAAAAGTTAAATAAATAAATAAATAATTGGGTAAACATATGGATAGATATTTATGAAAAGAGGACATTCAAACTGCCAATAAATATATGAAGAGATTTCCAATATTATGAATCATTTCAACCACCATAAAATATCATTTTACCCGTTAGAAAGGCCATTATTAAAATGTCAAAAAATAGCAGATGCTGGCAAGGATGAAAGGAAAATTGAAGTATTATACACTATGGGTGGTAATGTAAATTACTACAACCATTATGGAAAACAGTATGGAGATCTCTCACAAAACTAAAACTATATGATCTAGCACTCCCACTAATGGGTTTATATTCAAAGGAAAGAAAATCAGTTTATAAAAGGAGTACCTGCATCCTCATGTTTATTGCAGCACTATTCCCAGTAGTAAAGCAATGGAATAAATTTAAGTGTCCATCAAGAGATAAACGGATAAAGAAATACTGTATATATACACAATGAACTATGAATCACCAAAAAAATTGAAATCCTGTCATTTGCAGAAACGTGGATGGAACTGAAGGTCATTATGTTAAGTGAAATAAGCCATGCACAGAAATACAAATGTCACTTGTCTCACTCATATGTAGGGCCTTTAAAAAAGTTGATCTCATAGAAGTAGCCAATAGAATGATAGTTACTAGAAGCTGGGAAGGATGGGTGTGTGAAAGGGGATAAAAAGAGGTTGGTTAATGGGTACAAATATACGGTTAGATAGAAGGAACATGTTCTAATTTTTACAGTGATGTACACATATTTCAAATAGCTAGAAAAGAGGACTTAAACGGTTTTCAGCACATAGAAATAATAAATACTTGAGGTGATGAATACCCTAAGTACCTTGATTTGACCATTACACATTCTATACATATAAAAAAACGCATGTACCATATATATATGTACAAATATTATGTTGATAAAAAACTAAAAGTAATAAAGAATAAAATATGTTAGGCATGCAGAAAACAAAAAATAAAATGTCAGATTGAATCTCTTCAGAAGTAACTAAATGTAAATGAATTTAATACTTCTATCAAAAATAAAATATTGGCAAAATTGACATAACATGATCTATGGTAAATTTTATGTTATGTGATTTTATTACAATAAAATTTAAAATATGTTAGCTAACTATCTTCTTTTAAGAAGAGACACCCTTTAGAGTAAAAGACACAAATAATTTAAAGTAAAAAAAATGGAAAAGTTATACACTGCAAGCAACAACTATAAGACAGTTGAGCAGCTATAGTATCACGAGATAAAATAGACATTAAAAGAAAAAATGTTACTAGTGACTATGAAGCATGTTTTATGATGATGTAAATATAAATTCTTCAAGAAGACATAATAATTATAAATCTATGTACACATAATAAAATAGCCTCATAATACATAAATCAAAACTAACAGAATTGAGGGAGATACTTTAAAAATTGCACAATAATAGTTGGAGTCATCAAAGTGACACATGATAGTTAATATAATAACTAATCAGAAGATTACCAAGGATAGAACAACAGTGTAATCTAGACAAATTAGACCTAACATATATCTGTAGAGCACAGGACCCCCAAAAAGCAGAATGCATACTCTTCTCATGTGCTCTTACAGAAAAATGTTTAAAATACTTTAGAATATCTTTAAAAAATAGTGTTTACTTATCTCATTCTATCATGCCAGTACTACATTAATCCCCAAAATAATTAAATATATCACATGAAGAGAAAATTATAGAACAGTGTTCTTTGTAGCTGCAGACACAAACAAGCCTGACCAAAAAACTAGCAACATAATCCAGCAACATATAAGGAATATTATACATCATGACCAAGTGGGATTTATCATGGTCAGTTTAACATATGAAAATCAATGGATAAACTTGATAAAGTATGAATACCACATGATTATGTCAATCAACGCAGAAAAAGCATTTCACAAAACCCAATACCTTTTCTTTTATAGGCACAGGCAAAGATTTCATGATGAAGACGCAAAAAGCAACTACAACAAAAGTGAATATTGACAAATAGAATCTAGTTAAACTAAAGAGCTTCTGTACAGCAAAATAAACTATCAACAGAGTAAATAGATAACCTACTAAATGAGAGAAAATATTTGCAAATTATTCATTCAACAAAGGGCTAATATCCAGCACCTATAAGAAACTTAAACAAATTTAAAAGAAAAAACAAACAACCCCATAAAAAAAGCAAGCAAAGGATATGAAAAGACACATTTCAAAAGGAGCATATATGTGGTCAACAATCATATAAAAAAAAAAAACTTAACATCACTGAGCATTAGAGAAATGTGAACCAAAACCACAATAAACCATTAATGGCCATTATTAGAAAGTCAAAAATAAAAGATACTAGTGAGTTTGTGGAGAAAAGGGAACACTTATACACTGTTGGTGGGAGCATAAATTAGTTCAGCCATGGTGGAAGACAGTGAGGCAATTCCTCAAAGACCAAAAGACAGAAATACCATTTAATCCAGCAATCAAATTACTGGGTATATACCCGAAGGAATATAAATCCTTCTATTATAAAGACACATGCACGTGTATGTTTATTGCAGCATTATTCACAAGAGCAAAGACATGGAATCAACCTAAATACCCATTAATGATAGACTGGATAAAGAAAATCTGGTATATACACACCATGGAATACTACGCACCCATAAAAAAGAATGAGATGATGTCCCTTGCACCCTTGCAAGGACATGGAGGTAGCTGGAGGTCTTTATCCTTAGCTAAGTAACATGGGAACAAGAAACAAATACTGCATGCTCTCACTTATAAGTGGGAGCTAAGTGATAAAAACACATGGACACATTGAAAGGAACAATACACACTGGGGTCTTTTGGAGGTTGGAGGGTGGGAGAAGGAAGAGGAATGGGAAAAATAACTAATGGGTACTAGTATTAATACCTGGGTGATGAATAATCTGCACAACAAACCTTCATGGCACAAGTTTGTCTATGTAACAAACCTGCACTTGTACCCTGAACTTAACATTTTTAAAAAAATACTCAAAAACTAGAAATAAGAGGAAACTTCTTCAACCTGATAAAGGACGTTTATACATATAAACAGTAAACATCACTCTTAATTGTGAAAGACTGAATGTTTTCCTCCTGAGATCAAATAAAACAAACCAAATTCAAACAAAATGAACAGGACAGGTATGTCTGCTCTCACCATTTCTGTTTAACATTATCCTAGATGTTCTATCAAGAACAATTAGACAAGGAAATCAACTGAAGGGACCTGGACACAAAGAAGAGATAAAATGATCTCTATTGGCAGATTACATAACCTTGTTTAAAAAAAACTCAAAGGATCCACTATAAAAACTAGAATGAATAAAATTACAGCATGGTGATATAAGATCAATAGAAAAATCAATCATATCTATACATTAGCAACAAACAATCTGCAGATGAAATTGGCTGCTCTGCTTATGGAGTAGCCATTCTTTTATTCCTTTACTTTCTTAACAAACTTGTTTTCACTTTCAGAATTTGCCTCAAATACTTTCTTGCATGAGATCCAAGAATGATCTCTTGGGATCTGGATAATAGTCCCTTTCTGGTAACATCTTCCTGGTGAATGATGAAGGGATGATACTGAGGAGACCCCTGATCCAAAGGAAATAGACAGAAATACCAATTGTCTGACATTGTGTAAAGTGGTGGAGTATTTGGGTAAAGGATGGAATTGAGTTAGCGGCCCAATTTAGGGGAGTTGGAGCCTCTCCTAACACAGAGTGGGTTAAAGGTTCCTCTTAATAAAAGACAAGGACACAACTAAACTTGGGTTTGTGGCCCAACTTAGGAAAGTTAAAGTCCTTTCTAAGACTTAAGGGGTTAGAGGCCGCTCTGTGAAGTCTCTCTTAGGTAAAAATAGATTACCCACTACAGATGTTAACTGCTATTCTCTTTGGATTAATCTGCACTCTTTCCTGATGGCCATGAGTGACAGGATTAGGCATGTACAGGATAATGGGAAATAGGGAGCTTTGTCCTCCCCAAAAGGGGAAGCTTGAGAGCTGATGGGACTGCTGGAATCCCTTTACTACTGACAAGTGTCCACATGAACTTTTGATTCAGAATTGCTTGGATGGGTGGGCCTTCCTCTGGCCTCCCTGTGCTCCTCTCAGTCCCCACCCCACCACAGGCAATGCTTTTCTCCCTTCCCGTTCCTTTTTCTCTGTGAAAACTGGTGGAATGAAACAACTTTCAGGGCTCTTGTAAAAAGCTGGAATGTTCATGAATACCAAGAAGGACAAGTGTTAACTGCATGGACTGGACTAGTAGAAGACTGCAGTAATCTTTTTGACTTTTTGCTTAAAATGTTTCTCATTCTTTGTTTTCTTTTTCATAGTCAAGGAAACTTTTCTTTTGAGCTATTGACAGATTTTAACAATTGAGTAAAGCATACTTATGTGAACAAAATTTGGACCATATTTGTTTCTCTTACCTGATTTCTCCAGAATTTGAAGACTATTTGTGAGTATTCTAAACTTATGGCAATAGAAATTTGCATAAGTGCAATAAGAATCTGTTTCTTTTGTAACAAGACACAATTGGAGAACCTGGTTACTTTACCAAGTGTTTGACTGGAATAGCATGCTTTCCTTTAAGGAATCAAACTTGATTTATAGAGTGCTAATAAAAGCCCCTTGGGAAAACTGGCCGCATACCTTGTCTACACAGTCCCTGTACAGGGTTCCTGACCTGTGGTAAGTAAAAAAATGTTATTTCCTGACAGGCCCAGGATCCTCAAGTTATCTTGGGACCTCAAGAGGAGAGGAATTTACCCAACATATACAGGTATTTGACAGTACAAAGGCATGACTGGGCTCAGCTTTTTTAAAAAAAAGTCTTATCTGAGATTCCATATGGAACAGAGTTCCATCAAAGCCAATGTGGAAAATAATTAAAAGTAAAAACAGGCTTTTACACACAGAGTTTTTAATTGGCTTTGATGGAACTCTGTTCCATAAGGAATCTCAGAGATGGCTTTTACTGCACTTTATACAAATAATCAGGCCAAGTATAATTAGGCAAATCAGTCTTACCATGATTTGTCTTTAGTAAAAAATGGGAGACTGGAGAGAGAAAATATTGTTTCAGTTATTATGGTACACCTGTTATTAGTTTTTAGTCTCATTAGTTGTTTTGAACTTTTCATTTAGTGCAATTTAGACTAACCCTAATTACTCCTGCGAACCAACCAGTAATCTCTGACTGCTGCTCAGAAAAAAACCAAGAGGAATGGGTAATGTAAAATTCTGAATCAATATTCTAATTCTGGGAATGAATTGAAATCAGCCAGCAACCTCATATCAGCTTGGAGCAGATGCCCAGTTCATGGAAAGCCTTTTAGATTTGTTTACTTTGGATAGTTTAACTCATTTTGCTTTACTCTTGTGAAATATATTGCTGTTGCACTCTATGTGTAGGAAGGCATGGTAAGTTTACTCAATGTTTTCTTAATTTGAACACTAATTAATCTTCCAGATATCACCTTTTGTCAAAACTCAGAGTTATTAATGGCCCTCAACAAACCAATGCTCCTTGCTATATTAAATATAAGAGACCCTAATAGTTACACAGGAATATCATCGCCACTAATCAGCCTGGAGAACGTACAGAAGATGGATCTTCATTTCTCTACAACCCTTAGGATTAGGGTTCTCTTATAAAAGGAAGGTGGAAAATATGTCAGTGATGTTTGAACCAGAGTGACTCTATCTTGAATAGAGGCTGAATAAAATAAGGCTGAGACCTACTGGTCTGCATTCACAGGAGGTTAAGGCATTCTAATTCATAGGATGAGATAGGATGTCTGCACAAAATACAGGCCACAAAGACCTTGCTGATAAAACAGCATGTGATAAAGAAGCCAGCCAAAACCTACCAAAACCAAGATAGCAAGAAAAGTGACCTGTGGTTGTCCTCACTGCTGATTATCACTAATTATAATGTATTAGCATGCTAAAAGACACTCCCACCAGTGCCATAACAGTTTACAAATGTCATGGCAATGTCAGAAAGTTTCCCTATGTGGTCTAAAAAAAGGAGAAACCCTTAGTTCTGGGAATTGTTCATCCCTTGTTTAGCATATAATCAAGAAGTAATGGTAAGTAGCCTTAGTCCAGCAGACCATTCCACTGTTCTGCCTATAGAGTGGCCATTCTTTTATTTTCTTACTTTCTTAATAAGCTTGTTTTCACTTTAAAAAAAGAAACTGAAATTAAGAAAATAATTTTATAAAAAATTGCATAATATTACGATAATTATAAAAGAAATACAAGGCTTGTACACTGAAAACTACAAAATACTTTAGAAATAAATTAAAAAGATTGAAATGAATTGGAAAACATCACATATTAATGGATTGGAAAGAAGACTCTGTAATGGACCAAAAATTGGTCTACAGATTTAAGACAATCTCTGTCAAAATGCCATTTTTGCCAAAATGAACAGATGAGTCTAAATTTTATATCCAGTTGCAAATGTTTTGTTTGTTTGTTTGTTTGTTAAGACAAGGTCTCACTCTGTCCTCCCAGGCTGGAGTGAAGTGGCATAATCTTGGCTCACTGCAACCTTCACCTCCCAGATTCAAGTAATTCTCATCCCTCAGCCTCCCAAGCAGCTGGGATTACAGGTGTGCACCACCATGCCCAGATAACTTTTGTATTTTTAATATAGGCAGGATTTCACCATGTTGGCCAGGCTGGTCTTGAACTCCTAGCCTCAGATGATCCACCCACCTCAGCCTCCCAAAGTGCTGGGATTATAGGCATGAGCCACCATGCCTGGCCTCCAGTTACTAATGATCCAGAATATTCATAGCAATCTTGAATGAAAAGAGCAAAGTTGGAGAATCCACATTTCTTTATTTCAAAACTTACTACAAACCTATTGCTTTCAAGACAGAGTGACACTGGCATAAGTATAGGCAAATATATCAATGGAATATAACTGAAAGCCCAGAAGTAGACTGTCACATTTGTAGTCAACTGACTTTCAAGAAGACTGATGAAAGAATTTAATGAAAAAATAGTCATTTCAACAAATAGTGTTGGGGCAAGTGAGTATCCACGTGATGACTCCTATTTACTACTATACACAAAAATTAACTCAAAGTGTATTATAGACCTCAGTGTGAAAGCTAAAATAATAACACTTTAAAATAAAAGCAAATGAGTAAATCATTGTTGTCCTTTGCTAGTTAATGCTTCCTTAGATATGACACCCACAACACAAGCAACAATAATATAATTTGACTAAATGATAACTAACAAATTTTATTATGAAAAAAGATATCAAAAATAAATAAAAAAGATACAGAAGAAGTGTTTGAAAATCATGAACCTATCAAAGGCTTGCATCCAGAATATGTTTTTTAAAAAACCTCTTACAACACAATAAAAAAATAATCAAATTAACACAATTAAAAATTAGGCAAAAGATCTGAATAGACATTTCCCAAAATAAGATATACTAACAGCCAATAAGCACATGAAATGGTGCTCAACATTATTAGTTATAAGGGAAATGTAAATCAAAGTCAATCAAAGTCACAATGAGATAACACTTCACACATCCTAAAATGGCTAGAGTTAAAAAGACTAACAATAACAAGTTTTTGTGAGGATGGGGAGAAATTGGAACCTTCAAGTATTACTGGCAATAATATAAGATGATGTAGCCACTCTTGAAAATATTTTGGCAGTATTCATATTGTTCATCACAGAGTTGTCATATGTCCAACAATTTTACTCCTAAGTATATATTCAAGAGAAATGAAAGTATATATCCATATAGAAACTTGTACTGTATACGAATGTTCTTAGCAGCATTTTTCTTAATGATGAAAGTGTGGAAACAACTAATATTCATCAATCGATGAATGGGTAAGGAAAATATACAGTCTTATACACTCTTTTAAAGCAACATCAAGGATTGAAATATGGATACATATGATAATACTGATTAATCTTGAAATTAGATTAAAACATGTTTAAAAACATTGAGCTAGTGAGCCGAGATCATGCCACTGCACTCCAGCCTGGGCAACAGTGTGAGACTCCGTCAAAAAAAAAAAATTGAGCTGTGCACTTTAAATAGGTGAATTTTAAGTATGTATGTGAATTCTAGCTGTATGAAGCTGTAACAAAAATAATTGCTTCTAGTCATTTTTTGGAGGAACTGCCTGAAGGCAGTTAATGTAATCTATCTTGTTTGTCCAAACCATCAGTTAGTGGCATTTTTGGCCCCATAAATTAATTAAGAATGGGGGTCAGAAGGACTTTTGGAGGTATTTTATATGGGAGATGCAGAAGTTGGAATGCTCCCCTCCTGCTTCTGAAATAATTATTGATAAAGTTAAGGAGAATGATGATCAAATTTTTGTAAGAGCATATCAGGAGAGGAATAGCAGATAGGAAGTTAGTTAAATTTGAGGCACTTGTTGTAAGTTTGAAAGCTACACCACAGTGGGGTTTTTTTGGTGATGAAGAATCCAAGGATAATTTTGAAAGACATAAGTGTAGTAACATCCCTCTTTCTCCCTGTATCTTCAGGGATTTAAGGTATTCTCTCTCCAGATGCTGATTTGCTCCTCTCTTTTCACCTCTATACAATTTGGATATCACTTTCCAGTAACTATAACTCCAACTTTTTCCCATTCTCTACTCACACCAAGATCTTTCATTCTGTAGAGTCAAGTGCAAGAGAGACAAGTTCATCTTGACAAAATCTTAAACACTGGGAAGTGACAATAGCAATATGGTGGAATAAGAAATAACCCACTCATATCCCTGCACAACAACAACAATTCTACACCAATTCCCAGACAAAAGTTTCTCAGTAGGAGCCTCAGGATTCAAGTAGGATGTTGTGAAACCCCACTGGACCCCAAGACTTAGGAGGGTTATTTTGAGAGTGCACAGTTGCATCCACATAGCTAATACCCAGATTGTGCTTCTGAGTTAAAGATCAGAAATAATCCAGTTTCCCAAGGGGCTTGGCTACATCCCTGATTGGCCTTGAGACTACAACCAAAACCATCTGCCAAGTAGTGCAGAAAGAATCCCACACACTAGTGCTTGGGTGAGAAGCTTGTCTGCCTGCTAACATCAGTCTGGAAAATGAACATGAATGTTTCCCTGTGGCTCAGCTCCAGGCCCCCTTTGCTTAGAGTTCAGTCCAGAAATGCTCCCACAAGGACCCAGTAGGAGAATCGCCCATATCTCACAGTTTGAGAGTCTGCCCTTTTTGATGGGCTTACCAAACTCAGTCCCACAGCAGATCTTTTAATTTTTTTCTCTTATTATTATTTTTAATTGACACATAATAATAGTAAATATTTATGGGGTACAGTGTGATATTCTGATACTAGTATACAATGTGAAGTAATCAAATCAGAGTAATTAGCCATCACTACAAATGCTTATAATTTCTTTGTGTTGGGAATATTCAAAATCCAGTCTTCTACCTATTTGAAAATGTGCAATAAATTGTTGTTAATTATAGTTACCCTATGGTGCTATAGAATATTACAATTTATTTCTCCTTTCTAGTTATAATTTTATATTTGTTAACCAATCTCTGAGTATCCCCTCCCACTTCCTAGCCTCCACTAAACATTACTCTACTCTCTACTTCTACAAGATCTACTCTTTTAGGTTCTACATATAAGTGATACAAGGCAGTATCTCTCTGTACCCAGCTTATTTTACTTAACATAATGTCTTTCAATTCCATTGATGTTGCTGAAAATAACAGAATTTCATTCTTTGTTATGGCTTGATAGTATTCCATTGTGCCTGTATACCACATTTTCTCTATTCATTCCTCTGTTGATGAATGTTTGGGTTGATTCCATATCTTTGCTTTTGTAAATAGTGCTGCAATAACAATGTAAGTGCAGGTTTCTGTTGACATATTGACATCCTTTATTTTAGATATATACCCAGTAGTGGGGTTGTTGTATCTCATGGTAGTTCTATTTTTAGTTTTCTGAGGGACCTCTGTAGTATTTAGTATATATGAGTTTCCTATTCTCACACAGCTCTAGTACCCTATTTGTGTCTTCCCCAGGTCTATTCATCCCTTAGAACTGCATCAAACTCATAGCCCTCCTGAGGCTCATGGAAAGCCTGGGCTTAGAGGCCTCTCTAGTGCTGAGACAACTTTAGTGTCACAGGCTGTACAGTCAGTCTGCTTAGAATCTCTGCAAGGCTCTCTGAAAGACAGGCACAAACAAACTCAGACTGTGGAGATTGAAACAAATACCTGATCCCTCAATATACAGACATTGTCACAGATCCACCAACATCAAGAACATTCAGGGAAATATGGCCCATTCAAAAGGACAAAATAAGATGCCAGAAACTGACCCAAAATTTATAGACATATTTGATGTCTCAGACATTAAATTCAAAATAGTTGTTTTAAGGAGGAACAATAAACTTCAATAAAGCACAGAAAATTAATTCAAAAATTTATCACATAAATCTAACACAGAGATTGAAATAATAAAAAATCAAACAGAAATTCTGGAACCAAAAAATACAAGGAAAGAAAGAAAAAAGCAATAGAGAGCATCAGTAGAAGAATTAATCAAACAGAAGAAAGAATAAATGAGCTTGAAGACAGGCTGTTTGGAAAATACGCAGACAGAGGATAAATAAGAATTAAAAATAAAAAAGGATTAAGAGAGCTGACAGGATGTGTAGGAAAACATGAAAAGAGCAAATATTTAGTTTATTATAGTTAAAGAAAAAATTGAGGAAAAAAGTACAAAAGCTTTTCAAAAAGTAATAACAGAAATTTTTTGAATGAGGAGAAGCACATAAATATCCATGTACAGGAAGGTGAAAAGTCACTAATCTGATTCAATCCAAATAAGACAACTCCATCACATATTATAATCAAACTCTGAAAGGTCTAAGACAAAGAAAGGATTCTGAAAACAGCAAGAGATAGGAAGAAAATAACATACAATGGAGATCAAACATGACTGGTAGTAGACTTCTCTGCAGAAACTTTAGAGGACAGGAGACGTGAGACTATGTATTCAGAGTGCAAAGGAAGAAAGCTGTCAACCAAGAATACTTTACCCAGTAAAGCTATCCTTCAGAAATAAAGACGAGATAATGACTTTTACAGACAAACAATAGCTGGCGGCATTTATCACTAACGGATCTGTCCTATAAGAAATTTTAAAGGGAGTTTCTCAAACCAAAAGAAAAGAATGTTACATAATTGTAATTCTACTACTGAAATTATGGGATGTAAACCACTTAAAACTTTAATATGGAAACTAAAATAGAAACTATTAAAAACAATAATGTTACTTCAGTAATTTGTTGAGACGGGTAATATAAACATGGAAATTTTAATACCAAATTCAAAACATGTGGGGCAGAATGGAGTCAAAATGTGTAGCATATTTGTTAATTTTTTTATTTGTGATAAGAAAAGAAAGCTTTTCCTCTGTGATAAGTTGTTCTGTGACAGTTTTTCTTCTGTGATGTTATCAGCTTAAAATAACTCCTTATAAGACATTTTTTGTAAGCCTCGTGGTAACTATGAAGCAAAAAAACTATAGTAATGACACCAAAAATAAAATGCAAGAAATCAAAACATACTACTAAAGGAAAGTATTTAAACACAAATAAAAATCATAAGAGAAAAAGAAATAACCTACAAAACAAATAGAAAACAACAAAACGGCAGTAGTAAGCCCTTACTTATCAATAATTACCTTGAATATGAATTAACGAAATTCTCCAATTAAAAGACATGGAGTGGCTGAATTGGGAAAAAAGAAAAAACAGGACCCAAGACCCAAATATATAGTGCTACAAGAGCCTCACTTCATCTGTAAGAAAATGCACAAACTAAAGGCGAAGGGATGAAAATAAATATTCCATGCAAATAAAACCAAAAAAGAGCAGGAGTAGGTATACTTATGTCAGATAAAATAGCCCTTAACCAAAAAGCTGTATAAGGAAACAGAAAAGGCCATTATAGAATGATAAAGATGTCAATAGAGCAGGAGGATATAGCAATTACAAATATATATGCACCCCAAATAAAAGCAGCTGAATTTATAAAGCAAATATTAATAGACTTAAAGGCAGAGACATACACTATACAATAATAGTAGGGGCTTTCAACACCTCCACATTCAACAATGAACAGTATTTGTTTTGTTCAAGTTTTCAAATAAATAACCTAGCATTCTACTTCAAGGAGCTAGAAAAACAAACAAAAGGAAAACCAAGCCAAAAGTCAGCAAAAGGAAAGAAATTATAAGAATCACAACAGAAATTTAAAAAAGTACAGACTAAAGAAACCATACAAAAGATCAACAAGAAGAATAGTTCTTTTTTTGAAAATATAACATAATTTTAAAAATCCTTTAACTACACTACAATAGAAATAAATAAAATCAGAGATGAAGGACACACCATAACTAATATCACAGAAATAAAAAGCATCATTAGAGACTACATGCTAACAAACTAGAAAACGCTGAAGAAATGAATTCCTGGAAGCATACAGCCTATCAAGATTTAATCATGAAGAAATTGAAAACCTGAAGAAAACGATAATGAGTACTAAGATTGAAACAGTAACAAAAAGACTCTCGTTAGACAAAGGGCAAGTACATGATTATTTCACTACTAAATTCTACCAAATATTTATGCAGAAACTAATACCAGTTTTTTTTTAATTTTTTTTTTACACTTTAAGTTTTAGGGTGCATGTGCACAATGTGCAGGTTTGTTACATATGTACACATGTGCCATGATGGTATGCTGCACCCATTAACTTGTCATTTAGCATTAGGTTTAGCTCCTAATGCTATCCCTCCCTACGCCCACCCCACAACAAGCCCTGGTGTGTGATGTTTCCCTTCCTGTGTCCATGTGTTCTCATTGTTCAATTCCCACCAATGAGTGAGAACATGTGGTGTTTGGATTTTTGTCCTTGGGATAGTTTGCTGAGAATGATGGTTTCCAGCTTCATCCATGTCCTTACAAAGGACATGAACTCATCATTTTTTATGGCTGCATAGTATTCCATGGTGTATATGTGCCACATTTTCTTAATCCAGTCTATCATTGTTGGACATTTTGGTTGGATCCAAGTCTTTACTACTGTGAATAGTGCCGCAATAAACATATGTGTCCACGTGTCTTTATAGCAGCATGATTTATAACCTTTTCGGTATATACCCAGTAATGGGATGGCTGGGTCAAATGGCATTTCTAGTTTTAGATCCCTGAGGAATCGCCACACTAATTTCCACAATGGTTGAACTAGTTTACAGTCCCACCAACAGTGTAAAAGTGTTCGTCTTTCTCCACATCCTCTCCAGCATCTGTTATTTCCTGACGTTTTAATGATCACCATTCTAACTGGTGTGAGATGATGTCTCATTGCGGTTTTGATTTCCATTTCTCTGATGGCCAGTGATGATGAGCATTTTTTCATGTGTCTTTTGGCTGCATAAATGTCTTCTTTTGAGAAGTGTCTGTTCATATCCTTTGCCCGCATTTTGATGAGGTTGTTCGTTTCTTTCTTGTAAATTTGTTTGAGTTCATTGTAGATTCTGAATATTAGCCCTTTGTCAGAGGAGTAGATCACAAAAATTTTGTCCCATTCTGTAGGTTGCCTGTTCACTCTGATGGTAGTTTCTTCTGCTGTGCAGAAGTTCTTTAGTTTGATTAGATCCCATTTGTCAATTTTGGCTTTTGTTGCCATTGCTTTTGGTGTTTTTGACATGAAGTCCTTACCCATGCCTAGGTCCTCAATGGTATTGCCTAGGTTTTCTTCTAGGGTTTTTATGGTTTTAGGTCTAACATTTAAGTCTTTAATCCATCTTGAATTAATTTTTGTATAAGGTGTAAAGAAGGGACCCAGTTTCGTCTTTCTACATATGGCTAGCCTGTTTCCCAACACCATTTATTAAATAGGGAATCCTTTCCCCATTTCTTGGTTTTGTCAGGTTTGTCAAAGATCAGATGGTTGTAGATATGCAGCATTATTTCTGAGGGCTGTGTTCTGTTCTATTGGTCTATATCTCTGTTTTGGTACCAGTACCATGCTGTTTTGGTTACTGTAGCCTTGTAGTGTAGTTTGAAGTCAGGTAGCATGATGCCTCCAGCTTTGTTCTTTTGGCTTAGGACTGACTTGGCAATGTGGGCTCTTTTTTGGTTCCATATGAACTTTAAAGTAGTTTTTTTCCAATTCTGTGAAGAAAGTCTTTGGTAGCTTGAGGGGGATGACACTGAATCTATAAATTATCTTGGGCAGTATGGCCATTTTCATGATATTGATTCTTCCTATCCACGAGCATGGAATGTTCTTCCATTTGTTTGTGTCCTCTTTTTTACTTCATTGAGCAGTGGTTTGTATTTCTTCTTGAAGTGGTCCTTCACATCCCTTGTAAGTTGGATTCCTAGGTATTTTATTCTCTTTGAAGCAATTGTGAATGGGAGTTCACTCAGGATTTGGCTCTCTGTTTGTCTGTTATTGTTGTATAAGAATGCTTGTGATTTTTGCACATTGATTTTGTATCCTGAGACTTTGCTGAAGTTGCTTATCAGCTTAAGGAGATTTGGGGTTGAGACGATGGGGCTTTCTAAATATACAGTCACGTCATCTGCAAACAGGGACAATTTGACTTCCCCTTTTCCTAATTGAATACCCTTTATTTCCTTCTGCTGCCGAGAGACGGCATCCCTGTCTTGTGCCAGTTTTCAAAGGGAATGCTTCCAGTTTGTGCCATTCAGTATGATATTGGCTGTGGGTTTGTCATAGATAGCTCTTGTTATTTTGAGATACTTCCCATCAATACCTAATTTATTGAGAGTTTTTAGCATGAAGCGTTGTTGAATTTTGTCAAAGACCTTTTCTGCATCTACTGAGATAATCATGTGGTTTTTGTCTTTGGTTCTCTTTATATGCTGGATTACATTTATTGATTTGCATATGTTGAACCATCCTTGCATCCCAGGGATGAAGCCCACTTGATCATGGTGGATAAGCTTTTTGATGTGCTGCTGGATTCGGTTTGCCAGTACTTTATTGAAGTTTTTTGCATCGATGTTCATCAGGGATATTGGTTTAAAATTCTCTTTTTTTGTTGTGTCTCTGCCAGGCTTTGGTATCAGGATGATGCTGGCCTCATAAAATGAGTTAGGGAGGATTCTCTCTTTTTCTATTGATTGGAATAGTTTCAAAAGGAATGGTACCAGCTCCTCCTTGTACCTCTGGAAGAATTCGGCTGTGAATCCTTCTGGTCCTGGACTTCTTTTAGTTGCTAAGCTATTAATTATTGCCTCAATTTCAGAGCCTGTTATTGGTCTATTAAGAGATTCAACTTCTTCCTTGTTTAGTCTTGGGAGGCTGTATGTGTTGAGGAATTTATCCATTTCTTCTAGATTTTCTAGTTTATTTGCATAGAGGTGTTTATAGTATTCTCTGATGGTAGTTTGTATTTCTGTGGGATCAGTGGTGATATCCCCTTTATCATTTTTTATTGCATCTATTTGATTCTTCTCTCTTTTCTTCTTTATTAGTCTCGTTAGCGGTCTATCAATTTTGTTGATCTTTTCAAAAATCCAGTTCCTGGATTCATTGATTTTTTGAAGGGTTTTCTGTGTCTCTATCTCCTTCAGTTCTGCTCTGATCTTCGTTATTTCTTGCCGTCTGCTAGCTTTTGAATGTGTTTGCTCTTGCTTCTCTTTTTCTTTTGTGATGTTAGGGTGTCAATTTTAGATCTTTCCTGCTTTCTCCTGTGGGCATTTAGTGCTATAAATTTCCCTCTACACACTGCTTTGAATGTGTCCCAGAGATTCTGGTATGTTGTGTCTTTGTTCTTGTTGGTTTCAAAGAACATCTTTATTTCTGCCTTCATTTCGTTATGTACCCAGTAGTCATTCAGGAGCAGGTTATTCAGTTTCCATGTAGTTGAGCGGTTTTGAGTGAGTTTCTTAATCCTGAGTTCTAGTTTGATTGCACTGTTGTCTGAGAGACAGCTTAGCTGTTTCAAACAATTGATGTGGAGGAAAATTTTCCAAACTCATTCTCCAATTACAGCATCATCCTCTTCACCAAGTTCTTCAAAAACACAGCAAAAACTACATGCCAATATCCTCAATGACCATAGATGCAAAATTTCTCATGCAAACACCATAAAAGCAAATTTAACAGCACATCAAAAAGTATTTCACCATGACCATATGGTATTCATCCCAAGGATATAAGGATAGTTCAACATATGCAAATCAGAATACATGATACATTACATTAATAGAATGAAGGGAAAAATTTATGTTGTTCTCAATAGATACAGAAAGAACATTCAATACAATTTTATATCCTGTTTTAAGAGAAATACAAAACAAATTAGGTCTAGAAAGAACATACTTCATTGCAGTAAAGGCCATAAATGACAAAGTCAGAGGCATGGCTAAGATGATGGATAACAAGCATCTCATTTGTGCTACCGTCATGGAGAGTAAACAAAAGGGGTAGTGCACATAGACTTTGCAGACCACTCATCTGAGTAACTATGTCAGGATCCATCAGGGCAGCAGGGGAACACAGAGAACACAGAGGAGTGAAGCTCGGCACCAGCCTGTCTGGGCTCAGTAGGGAGCCAAAGGAACCTCCCCAACATGGGAAAGAATGAGTGAGAGCCCCCAGGGGGATTCACACTCCCCACAGGGACTGTGAAAGACTGGGAAAGTGAGAATAACCCTGAACACCCTGTACCCCCCCAACACACTTCTAGACTCAGACAGAGAGCCACCCTAAAATTTTAAGGAGGCAATTCCCAAGTCCAAGGGGATGCCCAGAAGCCTTGGGTCCCAGAGCAGACCAGCATAAGTGCCACAGCCACAATAAAGGCTCCAGTTGCAGTGCTGGAGAGCACTGACATTGCTTCAACACAGCTTCCTGGCCAGGGCTCAGTGCCAGCTTCTGGACCAGTAGTCCTGATTCAGCATGAACTCAGCCAGCCACGTCTTCCACCTCTGGCACTGGTAGCCAGCCAGCCAGCAGTCCCACATTTGTGTGAACTCAGCTGGAGGGCACAACTTCCTGTTGCCATGGGAAACACACCCTGAACATCAGAGCCTGAGACCCTAGCCACTCCTGCCATTAGTAACCAGGTGGCTGATATATGTTAAAGCCTCTGGCCAAGCAGCTCCACTGCTGTGTGAGCCCACCTGGAGGATGCAGCTTCCTGTTTTTGCATGAAACTCTCAGATGGCAGAGCATAAGACCACATCCACCCTCACCACTGGTAGCCAGATGGGCAAAGCCTACTAGACCCTCTGGCCCAGTGGACTGGCTGCTGTGTGAGCTCAGCTGGAGGTCATAGCTTCCTGTTGTAACAGGAAGCACCTGGACAGCAAAGCACAAGACTACTTGCCCTTGACCCTGGTAGCCAGCGGGGGCAATGCCTGCTAGACCTTCTGGTCCAGAAGCCTTGCTTCTATGTGAGCTCAGCTGGAGGGAGCAGCTTCCTGTTGTCATGGGAAAAACCTGGAGATCAGAGCACATGACCTCATCTGTGTCTGCCACTTGTAGCCAGGCTGGCGGGCCTGCTAGAGTCTCTGGCCCAGCTTCCCTGTTTCTGTGTGAATTCAGCAGGAGGGTGCAGTTTCCTGTATCACAGGAAACACCAGATGGCAGAGGGAGAGACCTCACCCACTCCCACCACTAGTAGCCAGGCAGGCAATTCTTGCTAGAGCTTCCAGCCCAGTGGCCTTGCTGCTTTGTGAACTCAGCTGGAGGGTGCAGCTTCCTATTGTCACAGGAAACACCCTGACAGCAGGCTGTTTGGGCTTAGCAGGGAGCAGAGCAAGTGACCCCACCTGCCCCCACTACTGATAGCCAGGTAGGCAATGCCTGCTGAAGCTTCTAGCAGCCTTGTTTCCGTGTGAACTCAGCTGTTTGGTGGGGGAGAGGGTGCAGCTCCCTGTTGTCACAGTAAACACCCCGAAATCAGCACAAGATGCCACCCACCCCCACCACTGATAGCCAGGCAGATAATACCTGCTAGACTATCTAGGCCAGAAGCCTTGTTTGGTGGGAGCTCAGCTGCAAGGTGCAGCTTTCTGTATTCCCAGGAAACACCCAGACAGTGGAGCACAAGTTTCCACCTTCCCCCACCTCCGGTAGCGAGGTGGGGAACACTTGCTGCAGCTTGCCACTAAATGGCCCTAATTCTGTATGAACTCAGGTGGGGGACATGGCCTCCTGTTATTCTGGGAAACATCTAGATGGCAGGGCGGATGACCCTTCCCACTCCTGCCACTGATAGTCATGCAGGGAAAAACTGTTAGAGCTTCTAGCACAGCAGTCTGCCTTAATTTGCCAAGGGGCACTGTCTCCTCTTGGCCTGGAAACATCCAGACAGCAGGACTGGCAACCCCACCCACCCCATCCCCTGTAGCCAGATGGATCACACTCTCTAGAATTCCCAACCCAGCCATCCCGCTACCACCTGAACTCCATGGATGGATGCAACCCTATACTTTCCCAGAAAGCACACAGACAGCAGATTAGGGCCAACCTGGTGAGGACACATCTTCTTGGCCAACTGCAGCCTCAGCCTAACGGAGCCTTGTGGACCACAATACCCAGCAAAATAAACATGGATACAGAGATAGTAATTGGAGGGGGCTTCTCAAAGACCCAGGAGAAGACTAGAATCGTAGCCAGTCAAAATTCCCGCCTTATATCATAATCAATCACCAAGGGCATCAAATAAGAAAGAATTAAAACAATTCATCTAACGGACAGCAATTTCAAAGACAAGAAACATCAGTCCACAGAAATGGAAAAAAAAAACAGCACAAAAACTCTGGCAACTCAAAAAGACAGAGTACCTTCTCTTCTCCGAATGATCCTACTAATTCTCCAATGAGGCTTTGTAACTGGGCTGATACAACTAAAATGGCAGAAATAGAATTCAGAATATGGATAGGAACAAAGATTATCAAGATTCAGAACATTAAAACCCAGTCCAAGGAAGCTAAGAATCACAATAAAGGGAAACAAGAGCTCACAGGCAAAACAACCAGTAGAGAAAAGAAAATAACTGACCTGGTAGAGCTGAAAAAACACAAGAAGAATTTCATAATGCAACCACAAGTATTATCAGCAGAATAGACCAGGCTGAGTAAAGGCTCTCAGAGCTTGAAGAGTGGTTTTCTGAAATAAGACAGTCAGACAAGAATAAAGAAAAAAAGAAAGAAAAGGAATGAACAAAACTTTCCAGAAATATAGAAGTATGTATAGAGACCAAATACAGGAATCACTGGCATTGCTGAAAGAGATGGGGATAAGGGTAGCAACTTTGAATACATATTACAGGACATCATCCTTGAGAACTTTCCCAACCTAAATAAAGAGACCAACATTCAAATTCGGAAAATGCAGAGAATCCCCACAAGACACTTCACAAAAAGATCATTCGCAAGACACATAATCATCATATTCTTCAAATTAGAAATTAAAAAAAAATGTTAAAGACAGCTAGAGAGAAAAGAAAGGTTACCTACAAAGCACATCAGAATAACAGTGGACCACTGAGCAAAAACATTACAGGCCATAGGAGATTGAGGGCCTATATTGAACATTGTTAACTGAAAGAAATTTCAAGTAAGAATTTCTTTTTTTTCTTTTTTTTATTAATATACTTTAATTTCTAGGGTACATGTGCACAACGTGCAGGTTTGTTACATATGTGTAAATGTGCCATGTTGGTGTGCTGCAACCATTACCTCGCCATTTACATTATGTATATCTCTTAATGCTATCTCTCCCCTCTCCCCTCACCCCACAACAGGCCCCGGTGTGTGATGTTCCCCTTCCTGTGTCCAAGTGTTCTCATTGTTCAATTCCTACCTATGAGTGAGAACATGTGGTGTTTGATTTCTTGTCCTTGCGATAGTTTGTTGAGAATTATGGTTTCCAGCTTCACCCACGTCCCTACAAAGGACATGAACTCATCATTTTTTATGGCTGCATACTATTCCATGGTGTATATGTGCCACATTTTCTTAATCTATTCTATCATTGATGGACATTTGGGTTGGTTCCAAGTCCTTGCTATTGTGAATAGTACCACAACAAACATACCTATGCACGTGTTTTTATAGCAGCATGACTTATAATCCTTTGGGTATATACCCAGTAATGGGATGGCTGGGTCAAATGGTATTTCCAGTTCTAGATCCTTGAGAAATCACCACACTAACTTCCACAATGATTGAACTAGTTTACAGTCCCACCAACAGTGTAAAAGTGTTCCTCTTTCTCCACATCCTCTCCAGCACCTGTTGTTTCCTGACTTTTTAATCATTGCCATTCTAACTGGTGTGAGATAGTATCTCATTGTGGTTTTGATTTGCATTTCTCTGATGGCCAGTGATGATGAGCATTCTTTCTTGTGTCTTTTGGCTGCATAAATGTCTTCTTTTGAGAAGTGTCTGTTCATATCCTTCGCCCACTTGTTGATGGGGTTGTTTGTTTTTTTCTTGTAAATTTGTTTGAGTTCTTTGCAGATTCTGGATATAAGCCATTTGTCAGATTAGTAGGTTGCAAAGATTTTCTCCCATTCTGTAGGTTGCCTGTTCACTCTGATGGTAGTTTCTTTGGCTGTGCAGAAGCTCTCTAGTTCAATTAGATCCCATTTGCCAATTTTTTGAAAAGATCAACAAAATTGATAGACTGCTGGCAAGACAAATAAAGAAGAAAAGAAAGAAGAATCAAATAGATGCAATAAAAATGATAAAGGGGATATCACCACCAATCCCACAGAAATACAAACTACCATCAGAGAATACTATAAACACCTCTACAGAAATAAACTAGAAATTCTAGAAGAAATGGATAAATTCCTGGACACCTACAGCCTCCCAAAACTAAACCAGGAAGAAGTTGAATCTCTTAATAGACCAATAACAGGCTCTGAAATTGAGGCAACAATTAATAGCTTACCAACCAAAAAAATTCCAGAACCAGACGGATTCACAGCCAAAATCTACCAGAGGTACAAGGAGGAGCTGGTACCATTCATTCTGAAACTATTCCAATCAATAGAAAAAGAGAGAATCCTCCCTAACTCATTTTATGAGGCCAGCATCATCCTGATACCAAAGCCTGGCAGAGACACAACAAAAAAAAGAGAATTTTAGACCAATATCCCTGACGAACATCAATGCAAAATTCCTCAATAAAATACTGGCAAATTGAATCCTGCAGCACATCAAAAAGCTTATCCACCATGATCAAGTGGGCTTTATCCCTAGGATGCAAGTCTGGTTCAACATACGCAAATCAATAGATGCAATCCAGCATATAAAGAGAACCAAAGACAAAAAACACGATTATCTCAATAGATGCAGAAAAGGCCTTTGACAAAATTCAATAGCCCTTCATGCTAAAAACTCTCAATAAATTAGGTATTGATGGGATGTATCTCAAAATAATAAGAGCTATTTATGACAAACCCACAGCCAATATCATACTGAATGGGCAAAAACTGGAAGCATTCTCTTTGAAAACTGGCACAAGACAGGGATGCCCTCTCTCACCACTCCTATTCAACATAGTGTTGGAAGTTCTCGCCAAGGCAATCAAGCAGGAGAAACAAATAAAGGGTATTCAATTAGGAAAAGAGGAAGTCAAATTGTCCCTGTTTGCAGATGACATTATTGTATATTTAGAAAACCCCATCGTCTCAGCCCAAAATCTCCTTAAGCTGATAGGCAACTTCAGCATGGTCTCAGGATACAAAATCAATGTGTAAAAATCACAAGCATTCTTATACAACAATAACAGATAAACAGAAAGCCAAATCATGAGTGAACTCCCATTCACAAGTGCTTCAAAGAGAATAAAATACCTAGGAATCCAACTTACAAGGAATGTGAAGGACCTCTTCAAGGAGAACTACAAACCACTGCTCAACGAAATAAAAGAGGACACAAACAAATGGAAGAACATTCCATGCTCATGGATAGGAAGAATCAATATCATGAAAATGGCCATGCTGCCAAGGTAATTTATCGATTCAATGCCATCCCCATCAAGCTACTAATGATTTTCTGCACAGAATTGGAAAAAACTACTTTAAAGTTCATATGGAACCAAAAAAGAGCCCACATTGCCAAGTCAATCCTAAGCCAAAAGAACAAAGCTGGAGGCATCACGCTACCTGACTTCAAACTATACTACAAGGTTACAGTAACCAAAACAGCATGGTACTGGTACCAAAACAGAGATATAGACCAATGGAACAGAACAGAGCCCTCAGAAATAATGCCGCATATCTACAACCATCTGATCTTTGACAAACCTGACAAAACCAAGAAATGGGGAAAGGATTCCCTATAAATCATGCTGGGAAAACTAGCTAGCCATATGTAGAAAGCTGAAACTGGATCCCTTCCTTAAACCTTATACAAAAATTAATTTGAGATGGATTAAAGACTTAAACGTTAGACCTAAAACCATAAAAACCCTAGAAGAAAACCTAGGCAATACCATTGAGGACCTAGGCATGGGCAAGGACTTCATGTCTAAAACACCAAAAGCAATGGCATCAAGCAAGAATTTCTTATTTAGCCAAACTAAGCTTCATAACTGAAGGTGAAATAAGATCCTTTTTTTTTGTTTGTTTTTCTTTTTTTGGAGAGGGTGTCTGTCTCTGTTGCCCAGGCTGGAGTGCACTGGCGTGATCTCAGCTCACTACAAGCTCCACCTCCTGGGTTCACGCCATTATCATGCCTCAGCCTCCCTAGTAGCTGGGACTACAGGCACCCACCACTATGCCCAGGTAATTTTTTTGTATTTTTAGTAGAGACGGGGTTTCACTCTGTTAGCCAGGGTGGTCTCCATCTCCTGACTTCGTGGTCCGCCCACCTCAGCCTCCCAAAGTGCTGGGATTACAGGCATGAGCCACCACACCCACCAAATTAAATACTTTTCAGGCAAGCAAATGTTGAGGGAATTCATTACCGTCAGACCTGCACTGTAAGAGCTCCTGAAAGAAGGTCTAATTGTGGAAAGGAAAGAGCATTACCAGCCACTACATAAACACACTTAAGTACACAGACCAGAGACACTATAAAGTAATCATCCAAACAAGTCTTCATAATAAGAAGCTAACAACATGATGACAGGATCAAATCCACACATATCAATACTAACCTTGAATAAAAATGGGCCAAATGTCCTAATTAAAAGGCACAAGGCATCAAGCCAAATAAAGAAGCAATACCCAATGATATGCTGTCTTCAAAAGACCCATCTCACATGCAATGACACCCATAAGCTCAAAATAAAGAGATAGAGAAAAATCTACTGAACAAATGGATAACAGAAAAAAAAAACAGGGGTTGCAATCTTAATTTCAGACCAAACAGATTTGAAACCAACAAAGATTATAAAAGGCAAATAAGGGCTATATATATATATACCCAACACAGGTGTACCCAGATTCATAAAACAAACTCTTTGGGATCTATGAAGAAACTTAGATTCACACACAATAATAGCGGGAGACTTCAACAGCCCACAGACAGTAACTGGTAGATCATTGGGGCAGGAAATTAACAAAGAGATTCAGGACCTGAACTTAACACTTGACCAAATGGACCTGATAGACACATACAGAAATATCTGAAAAGACAACAGAATATACATTCTCTTCATGGCAACATGGTATATACTCTAAAATCAGCCATGCAATTGGACATAACACAATCCTCAGCAAATTAAAAAACAAACAAAAATCAAATCATACCAACCACACTGTCAGATCACAGTGCAATGAAAATAAAAATCAAGGCCAAAAGTAAGATACAAATCATACAATTACATGGAAATTAAGCAACCTGCTCCTGAACGACTCTTGGTTAAATAATGAAAGTAAGGTGGAGATCAAGATGTTCTTTGAAAGTAATGAGAACAAAGGCACAACACACCAGAATCTCTGGGACACAGCTAAAGCAGTGTTAAGATGTAAATTTATAGCACTAAATGCCCACATCAAAAATTTAGAAAGATCTCAAATTCACAACTTAACATCACAACTAGCAGAACTAGAGAACAAGAGGAAACCAACCCCAAAGTCAGCAAAAGATAAGACATAACCAAAATCAGAGCTGAACTAAAGGAGATAGAGATATGAAAAACTATACAAAAGAATAATGAATCCAGGGGTTGGTGTTTTTGAAAAAAAAATGAAATAAATGGCCACTAGCTAGACTAATAAAGAAGAAAAGAGAGAAGATTCAAATAAACACAGTTAAAAATTACAAAGGTGACATTACCACTGACCCCACAGATGTACAAATAAACACCAGAGACTATAATAAACACCTCTATGCACACAAACTTGAAAATCTAGAAGAAATGTATACATTTCTGGACACATATATCCTCACAAGACTAAACCAGGAAGAAACTGAATCCCTGAAAAGACCAAGAATGATCTCTGAAATTGAATCAGTAATAAATGGCCTACCAACCAAAAAAAAAAAAAGCCTAGGACCAAATAGATACACAGCCAAATTCTACCACATGTACAAAGAAGAGCTCATAACATTCCTACTGAAGCTATTCAAAATAATTTTGAGGAGGAGTGACTCCTCCCCAACTCATTCTATGAGGCCAGCATCATCCTGATACCAAAACCTAGCAGAGACACAACAAAAAAGACAACTTCAGGCTGACAATCTTGATGAATATAGATGCGAAAATCTTCAACATAATACTAGCAACCGAATCTAGCAGTGCATCAGAAAGTTAATCCACCATCATCAGGTAGTCTTTACCCCTGAGCATGCAAGATTGGTTCACCATATGCACATCATTAAATATGATTCATCACATAAACAGGACTAAAAACAAAACCAAATGATTATCTCAATAGTTTCAGAAAAGGTTTTTGATAAAAATTCAACATCCCTTCATATTTAAAAGCCCAAATAAACTAAGCTTTGAAGGAACACACTCTAAAATAATAAGAGCCACCTACAACAAACCCACAGCCAACATCATACTGAACGGGGAATAGTTGGAAGTATTTTCCTTGAAAACTGGAACAAGACAAGGATGCCTACTCCCACCACACCTATTCAACATAGTATTGGATTCCCTGGCCAGAACAATTAGGCATGAGAGAGAAACAACAGGCATCCAAACAAGAAGAGAGAAGGTCAAATTATCCCTGTTTGCAGACAATATGATTCTGCATCTAGAAAACTCCATAGCCTCTGCCCCGAAACTCCTTGAGTTGATAATCAACTTCAGCAAAGTTTCAGGATACAAGATCAATGTACAAAAATTAGTAGCACTCCTATACACTAACATCACCCAAGCCAAGAGGCAAATCAGGAACACAATCCCATTCACAATTGCCACAAAATAATAAAAAGCTTAGGAATACAGTTAACTAGCGAGGTGAAAGATCTCTACTATGAGAATTAAAAAACACTCTTCAAAGAAATCAGAGATGACCCAAACAATTGGAAGAACATTCCATGTTCATGGAAGGGAAGAATCAATATTGGTAAACTGGCCATACACCTCAAAACAATTTACAGATTCAATTTTATTCCTATCAAACTACCAATGACATTCTACACAGAAATGGAAATAACTACTCAAAAATTCATATGGAGCTAATAAAAGAGTCTAAATACACAAGGCAATCCTAGGCAAAAAGAGCAAAGCTGAAGGAATCACATTGACCAACTTCAAATTGTACTACAAGGATGTAGTAATCAAAACAGCATGGAACTGATACCAAAACAGACACATAGACCAATGGAACAAAATAGTGAGCACAGAAATAAAGCCACATACCTACAACCATTGGATCTTTGACAAATCTGACAGAAACAAGCAAGAGGGAAAAGACTCCCTATTAAATTAATGGTGCTGTGATTACTGGTTAGCCATATGAAGAAAACTGAAACTAGACTTATGCCATATATAAAATCCATATGCCGGAAAGCTGAGGCAGGAGAATCACTTGAACCCGGGAGGTGGAGGTTGCAGTGAGCCGAGATCACACTACTGCACTGCAGCCTAGCGACAGAGTGAGACTCCGTTGCAAAAATAAATAAATAAATAAATAAATAAATAAATAAATAAATATCAACTCAAGGTGGATTAAAGACCAAAATGTAAAACTCTAAAACTATAAAAACCCTGGAAGATACCCTAGGAAATACCATTTTGGACATAGGAGCTGACAACGATTTTTTGAAAAAAACACCAAAAGCAAAAGTTGACAAATAAGACCTAATTAAACTAAAGAACTTCTGCACAGCAAAAGAAACTATCAACAGAGTAAATAGGCAACCTGCAGAATGGAGGAAAATATTGACAAACTATATATGTGACAAAGGCCTAATATACAAAATCTACGAGGAACTTAAACATACAAGGAAAAATCAAACAACCCACCTCACTAAAAAGTGGGAAAAGGACATAAACCGACACGTTTCAAAAGAAGACATACAAGCATATACATACAAGCCAACAAGCATATGAAAAAATGCTCATCATGACTAATCATTAGAGAAATGCAAATCAAAGCAGCAATAAGATACCATCTCACACTAGTCAGAATAGCTATTATTAAAAAGTTAAAAAATCACAGATGCTGGTGAGGTTGTGGACAAAAGGGAACGCTTATACACTGCTGGTGGGAGTGTAAATTAGTTCAACCATTGTGGAAAGCAGTGTGGTGATTCCTCAAGTAATTAAAAACAGAACTACCATTTGACCCAGCAATCCCACTACTGGATATAAACCCAAATAAATATAAATCTTTCCACCACGAAAACACATGCAAGCATGTGTTCATTGTAGCTCTATTCACAATAGCAAAGGCATGAAATCAGCCTAAATGCTCAACTACTGCAGACTGGATAAAGAAAATGTGGTACATACACACGATGCAATACTAAGCATCCATTAAAAAAAAAAAAGAAATCATGTCCTTTTCAGGAACATGAATGGAATCAGAGGCCATTATCCTTAGCAAACTACCACAGGAACAGAAAACCAAACCTATGTTTTCACTTATAATTGGGAGCTAAATAATGATAACCCATGGGCAGAAAGAGGCCTCACACTGTGAGGCCTGCGTGAAGGAGGAGGATGGGAGGAGAAAGAAGTCCAGGGGAAAAAAACTTCGGGTACTGTGCTTAGTACCCAGACAGCAAAATAATCTGTACACATTGATGGGACGTATCTCAAAATAATAAGAGCTATCTATGACAAACACACAGCCAATATCATACTGAATGGGCAAAAACTGGAAGCATTCCCTTTGAAAACTGGCACAAGACAAGGATGCCTTCTCTCACCACTCCTATTCAACATAGTGTTGGAAGTTCTGGCCAGGGCAATCAGGCAGGAGAAAGAAATAAAGGGTATTCAATTAGGAAAAGAGGAAGTCAAATTGTCCTTGTTTGCAGATGACATGATTGTATATTTAGAAAACCCCATCGTCTCAGCCCCAAATATCCTTAAGCTGATAAGCAACTTCAGCAAAGTCTCAGGATACAAAATCAATGTGCAAAAATCGCAAGCATTCTTATACAACAATAACAGACAGAGAGCCAAATCCTGAGTGAACTCCCATTCACAATTGCTTCAAAGAGAATAAAATACCTAGGAATCCAACTTACAAGGGATGTGAAGGACCTCTTCAAGGAGAACTACAAAACACTGTTCAATGAAATAAAAGAGGACACAAACAAATGGAAGAACATTCCATGCTCGTGAATAGGAAGAATCAATATCGTGAAAACGGCCATATTGCCCAAGGTAATTTATAGATTCAATGCCATCCCCATCAAGCTACCAATGACTTTCTTCACAGAATTGGAAATAACTACTTTAAAGTTCATATGGAACCAAAAGAGAGCCCGCATTGCCAAGTCAATCCTAAGCCAAAAGAACAAAGCTGGAGGCATCACGCTACCTGACTTCAAACTATACTACAAGGCTACAGTAACCAAAACAGCATGGTACTGGTACCAAAACAGAGATATAGACCAAAGGAAGAGAACAGAGCCCTCAGAAATAATGCTGCATATCTACAACCATCTTACCTTTGACAAACCTGACAAAACCAAGAAATGGGGAAAGGATTCCCTATTTAATAAATGGTGTTGGAAAACTGGCTAGCCATATGTACAAAGCTGAAACTGGGTCCCTTCCTTACACCTTATACAAAAATTAATTCAAGATGGATTAAAGACTTAAATGTTAGACCTGAAACCATAAAAACCCTAGAAGAAAACCTAGGCAATACCACTCAGGACATAGGCATGAGCAAGGACTTCATGTCAAAAACACCAAAAGCAATGGCGACAAAAGCCAAAATTGACAAATGGGATCTAATTAAACTAAAGAGCTTCTGCACAGCAAAAGAAACTACCATCAGAGTGAACAGGCAACCTAAAGAATGGGAGAAAATTTTTGCAATCTACTCATCTGACAAAGGGCTAATATCCAGAATCTACAATGAACTCAAACAAATTTACAAGAAAAAAACAAACAACCCCATCAAAAAGTGGGTGAAGGATATGAACAGACACTTCTCAGAAGAAGATATTTATGCAGCCAAAAGACACATGAAAAAATGCTCATCATCACTGGCCATCAGAGAAATGCAAATCAAAACCACAATGAGATACCATTTCACACCAGTTAGAATGGTGATCATTAAAATGTCAGGAAACAACAGGTGCTGGAGAGGATGTGGAGAAACAGGAACACTTTTACGCTGTTGGTGGGACTGCAAACAAGTTCAACCATTGTGGAAGTCAGTGTGGCGATTCCTCAGGGATCTAGAACTAGAAATACCATTTGACCCAGCCATCCCATTACTGGGTATATACCCAAAAGATTGTAAGTCATGCTGCTATAAAGACATGTGCGCACGTATGTTTATTGCGGCACTATTCACAATAGCAAAGACTTGGAACCAACTGAAATGTCCATCAATGATAGACTGGATTAAGAAAATGTGGCACATATACACCATGGAATACTATGCAGCCATAAAAAATGATGACTTCATGTCCTTTGTAGGGACATGGATGAAGCTGGAAACCATCATTCTCAGCACACTATCTCAAGGACAAAAAACCATACACCACATGTTCTCACTCATAGGTGAGAATTAAACAATGAGAACAGATGGACACAGGAAGGGAAACATCACACACCGGGGCCTGTTGTGGGGTAGGGGGAGGGGGGATGGATAGGATTAGGAGATATATCTAATATTAAATGACGAATTAATGAGTGCGGCACACCAACATGGCACATGTATACATATGTAACAAACCTGCACATTGTGCACATATACCCTAAAACTTAAAGTATAATAAAAAAAATCTGTACACTAAAACTCCAAGTCATGAGTTTACCCATATAAAAAACCTGAACCTAAAATAAAAGTTAAAATATTCAAATATAAATAAGTAAATAAATAAAATGACAAACCCATGGCTAACATCATGTTGAATAAGGAAAAGTTGAATGCTTTTTTTTCTAAAATCCAGGAGAAGACAAGGATGTCCATTCTCTCTTCTACTCAACATGGTACTGGGAGTCTTAGGTAGAACAATTACACAAGAGAATGAAATAAAGGTCATTCAAATTGGACAGGAGGAAGTCCTTTTCTGCAGTAACATGATCTTATAGGTATAAAACCCTATAGACTCAACCAAAGAAAAATAACTGGTAGTATTGATAAATGAATTCAGTAAAACTTCAAGTTACAAATTTAATGTACAATAATTAGTAGTGTTTCTACACAGCAACAGCAAACTATCTGAAAAAGAAATCAAGAAATCTATCTCTTTTACAATAGCTACAAAAATTTCAAAAAATTTCAAAAAATACCTAGAAATAAATTTAACCAAGGAGGTGAAAGATCTCTACAGTAAAAAATAATAAAATATGGATGAAAGAAATTGAAGAGGATACTAATAAATGTAAAGTTAACCCATGCTCATAGATTTGTAGAGTTAATGTTGTTAAAATGTCCATACTACCCAAACCAATGTACAGATACAATGCAATCTCTATCAAAATACTAAGGACTTTCCTCACAGAAGTAAAATATATATATTTTTTAATATATAAAATGTATATATAAATATAATATATAATATGAATATTATATATGATTATAATATTATATGATTATATACTATTAATATTATTAATAATATATATTATTATATATATTATATATATTATTATATATTGTATATAAATATATATTATATACTATATTATTATATATTGTATATAAATATATATTATATATACTATATATTTATATACTATATATATAGTGTATATATATATTTATATAGTATATATAATATATACACTATATATTTATATAGTATGTATATATATATACTATATATAATACATAAAATATATATACATATATAGTATATATATGAAATATATATATACTAAATTTGCACAGAACCACATGATTCCAAACAGCCAAAGCAATCTGGAGCACAAAGAACAAAGCTAGATGCATTACACTACCTGGCTTTTAAATTTTCTACAAAGCAATAGTAAACAAAATAGCATAGTACTAACATGAAAACAGATCCATAGACTGATGGAGGAGAATAGAGACCCCAAAAATGAATCCATACAATTATAGCCAACTAGTTTTTGACATATGTACCAAGAAAACACATTGGGGAATGGAAAGTCTCTGCAATAAATGGTGCTGGATAAACTGAATATCCACAAGCAGAAGAAAGAAACTAGGTGCTTCTCTCTCCCAACATATAAAAATCAACTCAAAATGGATTAAAGACTTGAATATAAAACATGAAACTAAGAAGATCCTTGAAGAAAACACAGGGGAAACAATTCATGATATTGGTCTGGGAAAGAATTTTTCAAATAAGACCTCAAAAGCACAAACAACCAAAGCTAAAATAGATGAATGGGATAATATCAAGCCAAAAAGCTTTTACATCTTAAAGGAAACAACAGAATGAAGAAATGACCTACAGAATGAAGAAATATTCACATACTATGCATCTGACAAGAGGTTAATATGAAACTATGTAATCAATGCAAGCAACTCAATAGGAAACACACAAATAATCCAATCAAAACTTGGGCAAAGGATTCGAATAGATATTTCTTAAAAGGAGTCACACAAATGGGCAGCAAGTATATGAAAAAAGGCTCAACATCACTAAGAACCAGGGAAATGCAAATCAACACCACAGTGAGCTATCCACTCATCCCAGTTAGAATAGTTATTATTTAAAAAAATAAAATAAAAAGACAAGAAAATGGCCAGTCATGGTGGCTCATGCCTGTAATCCCAGCATTTTGGAGGCCAAGGAGGGCAGATCACTTAATGCCAGGAGTTCAAGAACAGCCTGGCCAACGTGACGAAACCCCATCTCTACTAAAAATACAAAAAATTAGCTGGGCATGGTGGCACATGCCTGTGGTCCCAGCTACTCAGGAGGCTGAGGCACGAGAATTGCTTGAACTGGGGAGGCAGAGGTTGCAGTGAGCTGAGTTCGCACCACTGCACTCCAGCCTGGGTGCCAGAGCAAGGATCTGCCAAAAAAAAAAAAAAAAAAAAAAAAAAAAAGACAAGAAATAACATATGCTGGTAAGGATGTGGAGAAAAGTGAACTGTTATACAATGCTATACACTTGGTGTACTACTATATTATCCAGCAATCCCACTGCTGGATCCCCCTCCCCCCCAAAAATGAAATCAACATATCAAAGAGTTCAGATCCCCATGTTTATTGCAACACTATTTGCAATAGCCAAAATATGGAATCAACTTAAGTGCTCATCAACAGATGAAACAGGAATGAAAATATGGTATATATACACAATGGAATGCTATTCAATCTTTAAAAAAGAATGAAACCCTCAAAAAGTGGGTGAAGGACATGAACAGACACTTCTCAAAAGAAGACATTTATGCAGCCAAAAAACACATGAAAAAATGCTCACCATCACTGGCCATCAGAGAAATGCAAATCAAAACCACAATGAGATACCATCTCACACCAGTTAGAATGGCAATCATTAAAAAGTCAGGAAACAACAGGTGCTGGAGAGGATGTGGAGAAATAGGAACACTTTTACACTGTTGGAGGGACTGTAAACTAGTTCAACCATTGTGGAAGTCAGTGTGGCGATTCCTCAGGGATCTAGAACTAGAAATACCATTTGACACAGCCATCCCATTACTGGGTATATACCCAAAGGACTATAAATCATGCTGCTATAAAGACACATGCACACGTATGTTTATTGCGGCACTATTCACAATAGCAAAGACTTGGAACCAACCCAAATGTCCAACAATGATAGACCGGATTAAGAAAATGTGACACATATACACCATGGAGTACTATGCAGCCATAAAAAATGATGAGTTCATGTCTTTGGAGGGACATGGATGAAATTGGAAGTCATCATTCTCAGTAAACTATCGCAAGAACAAAAAACCAAACACCACATGTTCTCACTCATAGGTGGGAATTGAACAATGAGAACACATGGACACAGGAAGGAGAACATCACACTCTGGGGACTGTTGTGGGGTGGGGGGAGGGGGGAGGGATAGCTTTAGGAGATATACCTAATGCTAAATGACAAGTTAATGGGTGCAGCACACCAGCATGGCACATGTATACATATGTAACTAACCTGCACATTGTGCACATGTACCCTAAAACTAAAAGTATAATAATAATAATAAAAAAGTAAAAATGATTAAGGACTATAATAGGATAAGAACTCTAGGAAGATGATAAAGTATGCCCAAAAGAAAGCAATGCTATAATAAAAACAAAATAAAACAAAACAACAACAACAAAAAGAATGAAACCCTGTCATTTGCAACAATGTGGACAAACCTAGAGGACTTTATGTTAAGTGAAATAAACCAAGCACAGAACGAGAACTACCACATGATCTCAGGCATATGTGGCATCTAAAAAAGTTGACCTCAAAGAGAGTTTAGTAGTGGCTATCGGAAACTGAGGAGAGTAGTTGCGAGGGGGAGGGGAACAGGTTGCTCAACAGCTACAAAGTTACACTTATATAGGACAAATAATTTCTGATAATCGACTGCACAGTAGGTTGAGTGTAGTCAACAATAATGTATTGTGTACTTTAAAATAGTTAGACGAGAGGATTTTGGACGTTCTCACCACCAAGAAATGACAAATGTTTCAGGTGATAGACATATGCTAATTATGCTGATTTGATCATTACACAATATATATGTATCAAAACATCACACTGTATCCCATTAATATGTACAATTATACATCAATTTAAAACAAAATAAAATGTATTTTATAAAAATTTTAAAACTTCAACCAGCAAGTTTGAATCTCCTATTCCCAGTTTTGGTCAGCCCTACAGTGTATACCAACCAGGCTGGCCTGGGGCTGCTGTTAGAGGAAAGAAAGAAACATCTGGACTTGGAATGAACAGATCTGGAAGGAATCCTAAATTTTCCAATAAAGTCTCTGTATTCCTTTCATCCTGGTCCCTACCCAGGAAGCAGTCTAGAGGAGATGATCCTTTTCTAAGAACAGCAACATTCAGTAAACAAACTTCCTTACTAATGTGTGTGGATCAAGAGATGGTGAGGAAAGTAGAGTCAGTGATATTTTTGAATCAATTATGAGAAGGCCACCATGCTATTGCTCAGTAATATTAGATGCCCATGGACAGTAAGATTCATCGATGGTCCGTCTTTATTATTAGGTCATTACTGAGTGGCTTTTGCAATAAAATACACCATTGGCAGAATAAAAATATTCTCTAATGCAAAAACATAGCATGGATTGTTTTTAAGGGGCACAATAGTGTGCTTGATCAGACTGGAATAGCAACATTGTAATCTGAAAAAAGCTCAACAGTGGTGAGGCATATTCAAAAGCCCCAAGAGGAGAGTCAACAGTCAGATCCATCAGAGTTGAGAGGTTGCCACAACTTATGTAATGACGTCTCCACGCCATGAAACACATGTGTCAGCTTTTGTCAGGAGTCACAGATCTGGCATGCAGCAGGAGATTCTGCATTAGATATATAAAGTCAGGCCCAATCATCCCCTTGATTAGTTAGTCTCATCAGAGAATGAGCCCTTGCCATGGGTCTGTATATGAGGAATCCAGGCAGTTCAGTAAGTAGTCAAGATTTGTTTCCACATGCGGTCCCAAAGAAGTCTTTAATCTGACAGACTAGTTTTCCAAGTGGCATACCAAAAGGCTGGACCATTGGTAGTGTCCCAAGAATTGGGTTCTGACCATTGAGCAGAGAAACCAAGTCCTCTTTTTATTTCTGCATAGCTGGTTCAGAGGCTGAACAGACACAGGAGCCAGTGAACACCATCAGTTTTCAGCTTAGCCAATCCTTCACTGAGGCAAGCCCAGATATTTGGGGAAACCTCTGTAAACAGGGTCCAATTGAACTAGTAGTGTTGTTTCAAGCAGGAGAATAAAAGGTTAAGTTTCCCCCAGAGAGACAGTTGCCACTCTTACATATAAAGCAGAGATGCAGAAGAAATTCGAGTTGATGCCATCGCCCACCCACCAACCCACCCCCGCATTTCCGCCCTGAGACTAGGATCCCAGCGCCAGGGACCCAGACCCTGGGATTGATCGCACAGAGCCGTGATCCGGAGAGTGCGCCGGGGATGAGACGGAATCTCGGGGCCACTCGAGAGCTTGGGGCAGGAACCATGCATCCATTGTCCATCGTGACTGCATGTGGAGCAGCTATTTGGCCTGGGAACAGCTGTAGAGAGCGGGGAGCGACTGGCTCGCCACTGGCGCGCCCTGGGGGAACCCGCCCAAGGTGCCCTCCTCCCCAGACTGCCCTCCCAGCCTCGAAGACGGCAATCCAGCGCCCACTGCTCCCTGGACTCTGGGCAAGGCCAAGACTCAGGCCTGCTCCAGATTTGAGAACCCAAACAACTCAGAGGGTGAGGAAATTGACCTTGTGACAGCAAAGAAAAGGCAGATTGGGTTTACAGAAGTCGATCACCATCATGGTTCGAGTAGACCGTCTGAACCCCTGCATGAAACACTTCCATACCTCCATCCACCAGCAACAACACAACTGCGCTGCCCATATTTCTCCAGAAAGCTGCTCCCAAGAAGAGGCTCCAGAGAGAGGTCTCCAAGAAGAGGTTCTGGAGGGAGATGCTCCAGGGGAAACGGAAGATGAGGAGGATGAGGGGATTGTGAGCCCCTCACCTATAGAAAGCAAGGCTGCCCAGTGCTGCCAGTTCTGACACTGAGGATGTGACCAAGAGGAAGGGCCACAGCTTCCTGCAGCACAAGAGGTGGAATGACCTGCGCGTTCTCAGTTCTTGGCCCTGAGGGACCAGGTACCCACCTTGGCCAGCTGCTCTAAGGTCCCCACGGTAGTGATCCTAAGCAAGGCCTTGGGATACTTGCAAGACCTGGCGTGAACCGAGAAAAAGATGTCTATGGAGAAAACGCAGCTCCAACGCCAGCAACAGCAATTGCAGAAATGAATTGCGTACCTCAGTGGCTACTAACTGACCAAAAAGCCTGACTGTTCTATCTTACAAAGACACAAGTTTATTTTTTGACCTCCCCTTCCCCTTTAGTAATTTTCACATTTTGGTTATGACGGGACAGTCTTTGCAGTAGGTCCCAGAATGCATTGCAGCCAGTACACACAGAATAAGGGCTTGCATTCTTGGAAACCTTGAAACCCAGCTCTTTCTCTCCCCTGACTCATGCTGTGTCTTCTCTGGCGCCTTTGGCTTCTCAGCAGATAGCTGACTGAGGAGATTTGGGGTCTGTTTACCTCACTAGCTCCGAAGAAAAGGCTGACAGATACTATGCAACAGGTGGTGTATGTTGTCGGGGACTCCAGCCTGCATGAAATCTCACACTCCGCGTGAGCCTTAGACTAGGAAAGAATGCTCCCTGGTATCTCTGGGGTGATGCTAGAATGCTCCCTGGTATGTCTGGGGTCATGCAAGGACAGCTGGGCCTGGACAGCACTCTCGCTGTGGCTTTTTTTTCCAGGAGACACACAAGCTGTCTTGGGTGATGACAAGCTTGAAGATTTGATCAACATGACCATTGCTTCACTGTCAGACACTTTACAGTATCTGAGGAGTTGGAAACCTTTAACGTATATATTGTGATATTAGCTGACACCTCTCCTTCCAGTTTCAATGCTGAGACCCTGAGAACATTTAAAGAGCTTGCACTCTAGGTTCGTTGTCTCAGAGCTCTCTGGGCCTTCTCTGATGAAGGGACCTTTCTGTCCTCATGAGAGACTTTTGTTTCATTTTGCCTTTGTTGTGCAATGGGCTTTACAGCATCCTTTCCCACAGGTTAGAAATGTTTCCCCAAGTTACAGGGAAGTGGGGATCCTAGCCTGGGGCCTGAGGAAATCTTGGAGTCCTGGCTCCTGAACTTGTTCCCTGTCCGAGTGGCACTTGAGGCCACCCATCTTATAATCTCTTCTCAAGGCAGATGTAAGTCACCTCAGAAGGGAGAACTGTACCGCTTCCTCTTTTCCATGAAGCTCTCATCTCAATCTTTGACTGATGAGTGTGAAATTCTACCGGAACCATGCAAACACGTCCACCTTGGGCATCTCCAAGGAACTTGTGGGGTCTGCAGCATACTTGGCTCCCTACCAGCCTGCCATGAGTCATATTTCTTTTCCAGAAGGTGGACTTGCTTCCTGGTATGTTTTAAAGGAGCCTGCAGGAGCTCTGCTTAGCCAATCATGATGGATTTTTGCCCCAGCTGGACTCTGCATGTCCAAGGAGAATCCAGGTACAGCCTCCATTCCGGGAAAGACATCCAGCCCAGCAGTTGTCATGTGGGTAACCTCAGGAACCCCTAACCCTGTCCTGGAAAAAGGACAAGCCCCTCCAGAACTCTGCCCAAAATAGCAGGTGCTTGATGGTTCTGAATTTGGAAAGGGATGGGGGGTGATAAGTACTATCTGTGGCTCTGGAAAACCAGCTGCTACATTCAAATCTATTTTCCATAATGGTTTCTTTCTGAGGTTGCTTCGTGGCCTCAGAGAATCCCAGAGGATGTTTTGAAATAGCCTCTCTACCCTTCAGGAGCATGGTAGTTTACAGGAACCAACTGACTTCTGGAACTGTCTATGGAGGGAGAACAGGCCAGGTGTAGGTTACTAATGTCCTACATGAATAGCTTGGTTTTATAAGCTGCTGTTGGGTATTATGTTGGGGCAGTCTTTTTAATATATTGTATTTTTGTACGCATTTTGCAAAGTGGAGTTAACTGTTTTGTAAAAGAAAAAAAAGAAACCCTTGGGTGCTTCTTCTGTTTCAAGGGTCTGATTTATTTGGAAAGGCAAGTTTATCTGAAATTTTGTATTATTGATTGCCCAATTTTAAAATGTTGCCTTCTGGGACATCTTGACAAAAAATATTTCTCAAACATGAAGAAAATAAATATAATAAAAAAGAAATGTCTGTGGGATCAGATGACTGTTCTTGATTTTACCGTTTCCATTTCATAAGCCAAGCTTATTGACCCCTTCCTACCTGCTAGTCATTGAGTCTGAGTTGACCAACTCAAAGATGGAAATATCGAGCCAGATGGTAACAAATTCTCCATGAATCGATTGTTCAGTTTTGACAGAATCCCAATTGCAAGCCATTAGCTGCTTTTCAAAAGGGATGTACCCTGTAGCCATATTAGGGAGGCAACAAGTCCAGTTCCCCAAGGGATCTCTCTGGGTGTTGACTGCTTCCCCTTGCCAGGTGCCCCCATCGGCAAAATCATCAGTTACACAGATTTGTCCTGTATGTAATATTCAAGGAGTTGATTGAGGTTCTGAGCCTCTTTTTCGGTGGCAGGTTGTATGAAGAGACGTCAATTTTTTCCTGTTAGAGGGATCTAATGTTGTGAATTTGCCTGCTTAGTCCCAAGAGATTACTTGGCAAGCAGGCCCCTGTATTTGGGAGCATAAATCAGCCACCCTTGCTGACAGATATGTAATAACACTGCATTGAGGACCCTTGAGACTGAGACTTCTAGCCGGCCAGCTGACACAATTATTATGTATATAGTGAAAATATTGAACATTAGAAGGTAGAGACACTAATGCTAAATCCTGAGCCAACCACTGCTGACAAATCTCATTGGAGTTTGTTCCACTAACACTTCCCTCTACCTCTGTCTCTCTGTGATGGGGATGACTTTATATGAGACCTGTAGAATGAGAAATTACAAGCATATGACCCATCAAATCCTGCCATTTATAAGTAGAAGCAACAAGAACAGTTTATTCAACTTTCCCAAAGGCGTCCCTGTACAAAGTCATATTGGCTTCCAAACCCCACTGTGAACCATGCCCAAACCCCAACAATTGCTTTTCTGGACTTTTTTCCCTTAAATGAACTCAGACCTAGAGTTCACTACAGGAATTTCAGGGGTTACAGCAAGAGCTGTTAGGGGATTTCCCTATGTCCAGGCCAGAATGTAGGGATTGCAGGGGAGTCTTGGGATGAGGCGAGGGGTGGGGACTGTAAGCCTTTTTTGTAATCCCTCTGGCTCTTTGCCCCAGCTTGTATGCTAAATCCTCTCCTGTGTACCTCCATTTGTGCAGAACTGTAAGGGCTCAGGGATTCTTCCATTCTGTCCCTTGATTTCCCCAGCAGCTCTGCTCCACAGTCTTGGTGCTTTCATCTACCTCATACCTATTACCCCTTCCCTCCACTCCCCAGAAAATCAGATAAGATAGTGTCATGGGAGATTATATGTAACAGTTCTGTGAACATGTGAGTCCGTCCCTTTCCTGAAGTACCCTACCATGCATATGCCTTTTAGTCTGTCTTGAGGACAGAGAGACTTCTGGCTCACCACTAATCATCTTTCTTCTTATAGCACCTGAAGTGAGAAAAGGAAGAGAACCAGGAGTTAGGAAATGCAGAGAGAGAGAGAGAAAAGACTCTGTCTATACTAGTAAGCAAGGCATGTTTGCATTTGGTTTCCAGTAGCCAGCAGTGTGGTTCAACCAAACAAACTTCAGATGGTTTTTTTTCCACTGAAAACTCTATATCTTCACTGCTGACGCCACTTATTCAGGTTTGGCAAGTCATTGACTCAGCACCATGACATCATCCCTTCTTCCTCCCATGCAGAGGAGAGTGAACAACAACCAAACCATGATTCAAACAGCTTGGTTTAATTCTGCATCCTGCCCCTCAGCTTCATTAATAGGTAGGAGAGTGAGTGGGGAAGGGCCTTTAATGCACTTAGTGCCAATCCATTCGGGAAAAAGCATTTGCTCTCCAATCCCGAGGAGTCTTCTCATATCCCCTAACCAGGCCAGTGAAGCACCCTTGTTTTATCACTTTCCAGAATGCTATGTTTCATCTTCATTACCAAAATTGGCAAGAAATGTGAAGAGTTTGAGACTGTACCCTACTTGCAAGCTCACAAACTAGCATACCTCAGTTTCACAGATGTTGGCAGAATATATGAGATTCTTGGGTCAGAGTTTGTTTTGGTTCATGTTTGCATTAATTCCCCTTGCCCTCTGCCCCAAATCACACAGGAGAAATGAGGAGCAGCCAGTCAAATGTTGACATACAAGTATTCTTCAAACTATAGTTAGAGACAAAAGCTGTTACAATAAATGTAGAAAGGCCATGGACAATTATCTCAACAATATCTGACCATTGTTTCTCCACTATCTTGGCTTCTGACAAAGTTTGCCATTAAGTATGTGTGTTGATTTTCTGGATATCAGGGCTGAGCAAGGAAAAAGTCATGACCATTAGATGGCAGTAGCACACAACATGCTTTATTTGGTTGGCCCTTTGAAAGGTTTCAGGAGAGTGGAACTTCCCTCACAGCAGGAGACCTTCCAGAGGCAGCAGCAAGAGGCCACCACCCAGAAGAGGAAGAGTTCAAGGCAACTTCCAAAGGAGAGAAGAATTGGACAGGAGGCTCATGTGTCTATGGGATGTTACTCAGCAGCCAGGTGTGGAGTCTCTGTGTCAGAGAGTTCCCATGGGCATCAGAGGCTTGGGGCTTTTGTCCAGCCCCAGAGTATGTCCTATCTACGGCTAGCAGATGGTGTGTCTGGTTTTACAGAGGGTGCAATGTGGGTGGGTTCTAAAGGGCCAAAAATGTGCTTACTGGGGGCCATATTTAAAGCAATTGGGTGTGTAAACATTTGATTTTAGTTCCAATGAGCTTTGAGCTAATGGTCTTAGCTGTCTCTGAATATAGGGAACAAGATACAAGGCACCATCTAAAGATATTAATCCACTTATTTAACAGTCCATGCCTTGGCCCCATGTTGTTTTACAATCTAAGTTGTATGCTATTTCATGGAGTCTCAGTTGGGAGCCAGCGATGAAGCATCCTCAAGACCCAGAATGCTATAAGGCTACAAATTAGGATTTTAAAAGCCAGTTCTCAGCCAATCTGCCCACTTGGGCAGCCAGTAGAATAAATTTGAAAGGAGACAATTTTGTTTTGACCAGTCCGTTTAGTCAATAGAGTGGCATTTATATCCCCTTTGGTACATGACCCCAGCTATCTGTAAAACTTGGTGTTATCTACGCACATGCAGGAAGATAATTTTAGCAAGCACACAGCCCCTGTGCCCTGTGACCCCTCCAGCAGCCTGACCTAGGGCTATGCAGTTATCTCACACCATGGCCACTAAAGTACAGTGAGATTCAGCAAAGAGTTTCAGTCCTTGGGCTGTTTATCTAATTTCTGTGGGTAATTCCTGCAACATGGCTATGTGTTTCTCTTAATTGTGGTGTGCTGTTCCACACATATGCTGTTCCTACTGCCTCCAAAATTAGTGATCCTAGGGAAGTTAGTACCATGAGGAACTATTTGGAAAGCTCATTTGTGACATTGGGGAGTCACATCTAGTGTGGTTTGGTGGCGGAAAGTACTTGAGGGAGGGGGTTCCACTGTTGAATAAAATTCTACTGGAATTTTGCACCAATCCCAAGTGCAGGAAATATTCTTCAGGGTTGGATGAGGAGAAGATTGTGATAGGGAAGCCATCTGATTCCTTTACAGGACCTCCAGGCTCCCTCTGCTGCCTGAATTCTCTGTTCCACTGAAGGGAAGTTCACATGGCTTTGTGAAGTTCCAGAAGTTCCAGGTTGTGTTAATAGGAGCAGAAAATGGTATAGTCAAACAAGCTTGTGTTATCCACCTTGCATTCAGCACCTGGGTTAACTAAATTTGTCATGGGCTCAGCCCACCATTGTCTATACATTTACGTGAGATAAGTCTCTGGATAAGGTTATTGAATGTCAACGGTTAGGAGAATCGGCTCATCTAAATAAGTGAGGTATATGATGCAGCGTTGCCAGGGAAGAAGTATTACACTATATTTTCTAAAATCAGGTTGGCAGAAGCAAGCCCTGCATTAGGTTAGATTTACCATTTTATATGTTGCTGTGGCTAAGGCTATAGGCACGTTTGGTGTAGTTGGCAATTGCATGTTCCTCCTTGCTGTGACTGTTGTGCATTGTGCTTGAGTTTCCTGTTGATTGCCAATAATAAATAGCATTGATGTGTTCCCATGAGTGTGGGATAGGTTTTGCAGGTGTTATTGGCAGTCCAAGAAGAACGTTGTTAGTCTAGCCACACACCAAATTAGATTCTGAATTATGAGGCACTCGCATATGAGTGAACAAAACAGGTAAACCAAGTATTTTTTAAAAAAATAGATATCAGCTGGGCACAGTGGCTCATGCCTGAAATCCCAGCACTTTGGGAGGCCGAAGTGGGCAGATCACGAGGTCAGGAGTTCCAGACCAGCCTGGCCAATATGGTGAAACCCCGTCTCTACTAAAAATACGAAAAAAAAAAAAAGATTACCCGGGTGTGGTGGCATGCTCCTGTAGTCCCAGCTACTTGGGGGCTGAGGCAGGAGAATCACTTGAACCCAGGAGGCAGAGGTTTCAGTGAGCCGAGATCACGTTACTGCACTCCAGCCTGGGCGACAGATCCAGACTCTGTCTCAAAAAAAAAAAAAAAAAAAGATATCAATTGTATCAAGGCATAGGTCCCTTTTATGTTCCCTTGTATTGCAACATTATTGTGTTTCAGTGGGGGACCAAAAGCTTTATGGACTCCATTTTAGCGGAAACTTTCATAGGGAAGAGGTTTGTATACCTTTAATAACCTCAGGAGTGGCCCCTTGGGAGGTGGCAGTGTGACTACACCAATAAATTTCCTCCCAAGTACTCATGGACATAAAGTGTCTACTGAGACACTGGAGACTACTAGAGGGGGACGGGGGAGGGGAGCAAGGGTTGAAAAACAAACTGTTGGGTACTATGCTCAATACCTGGGTGATGGGATCATTTGTACCCCAAACCTCAGCATCATGCAATATACCCAGGTAACAAACCTGCACATGTGCCCAATGAATCTAAAATAAAAGTTGAAAAAGAAATGACAAGGCATAAAAATGTTTTAATGAAGATGAAAACATTCCTCCCAAGTTAGTTTCATTACATGTCTTCTCATTATCGTTTATGTCTTCTGTAGGTTTGGAGTGTGTATGGATTTTTAAGGAGCCCTCAGAAAAGTAACATTGGGCAACAACTGCCCTCAAATAGTTTCTAAGTTTTTAATAACTGTGGTTTTGGACAAATTTCACAATAGCTATAAGCAAATAGTTATCAATGTGGGTGGAGAAACTCCCATGCAAACAGTAGTTAGATTTCTCCCTGAGATCAAATATGTTTCTTGTAAGAACTGTCTGTGCTGTGACACCACGAGCTATGAGTTGTTCACTGTGGGTAGCCAGCATTGCAATTGCTGTAGAGTTCACTTCCATTGAGTGTTATGTAAAACTTGCAGTTAGTATATTAAGATTAGGTTAGGGAAGAATTCCCAAGCTGGTTGTTTTGTGTGTGTGTGTGTGTGTGTGATTTTTTTTTTAAGAAATGTCTTGGCCCAGGTAATGTCATGTAGTATGCATTGCCTTAGAAGCCAATAATTGTAAAGGTATACACTGTGGGTGTCGATTGCACTTATTATAATTCCAGGGATAAGAAAAAGCTATCATTTTATCTATGCAATCCCGTAATGGCTTGTGGGTATTGTATCTGGATTATAGTATTAATAACAACACCAATCACAAGCATCCTGGTTGTAATATTTGGTGCATACTATCTCTGGGCATTCCTTAAACGAGGCTCAATAGATAGTGGCCCATTGCTCCATTTGTTTAATGGCACATGAGTTAATAATAGTGGGTATCATCTGATGTGAAGGAAAAGGCGGCCCACAGAGCTTAGAAGGCATCTATGAGTCACAAGTGAAATTGTACAATCTGACTTAGCTGGAAGGATGTTACTAAGTGGTAGTAGAGAGAGGAGGAGAAGTGCTAACCTCAGTGCTGATGTCTGTGGACTGACCCAGTGAAATGGGAGCATGGTTCCCTTTGTTCCCAGTCTGACCTATGTTGGGTGTCCCTGTGGTGTGTATGAGGCATGCTGTTTCCATACATACTCTGCCAGCAGTAGGGTGTGGATTACCAGGGATAGGGTGATCCACCAATCGAGGTATAATTGACATTGGTGAAGGTAGGAACTTTCTCAGGTAAGGAAAGGGCAGAACAACAGCATAGGCATAAATGTTGGAGGTCATTTGCAGCCAGCAGTAGGGAATCTGATTGTCCTCTGGGAGTCACCCAAATGGTGTTACCGGATACAAGGGTTGTTGGTTCAATCTCCTGGGTGTCCAGAGCAGGTCAAAGTTTGTTCCATAGTGCCCTTAGTGGAGCAAAGTACATGGGCAGAAAATGAGGATGCTTCCCTCTCCAGATGGTGGTGGGTGGTTTACTAGTTTTATTCTGGGTAATGAACAGACTAAGACTGAGAATGCACCCAGAGTGAGTGGTCCATGCCAGATCCTTGTCAGGATTGAGGGGAAAAGAAATGACCAGGCTCTGGATTTTCTATGAGGAAGAAGCAAGAGGTGAAAGAGCCAAGTTCCTTTGCTGTGGGCGATCACTTCAGGGCCCGCATGTTTGTTAATACTAGTAAATCATGTTGTGTCCAGTGGGTACATACATCACCAGAGGTTGCAGCATCTCTGTTGGTGGTCTCCTCATTTGCTGTGAATTAAAATACAGTGCGGTTATGCCAGAGAGGTATGGATTTAATGTAAGCATGACTATGGGCAGTATTTTTGGCTACTGGGAATGCTATTGTCCTGCATGTTCTTTCAATATCCCTTGTTTTAAAAAACCCATTCTGTCATTCTGTGACACCTGCTACTGTAGGACCAGAGAATAAATGAGAAATCCAAGCAGTGTTCTTTGGTAATGCCTATGGTTGAATCTTCTTTGCAGAGAAGTGAGAGTCTTGATCTGACTGGATAACTTTGTGTAACTTTTGTACTCCCAAAGGCCATACAAACTATTTTATCAGTTCCTCAATAACATTAGCAGAGCTTGGTGCCTTTCGTGGGTAAGCCAAGAGTAAGCCTGTGTAGGAATTACTACATTGTTGTGGCATATGTAATAGTTCCTGCTGCTTCAGAGAGGGGCCCAATAAAATTGACTGGATTTGCCAGCTCTGATATAGCCCTTCTCCTGTGCAGTAGGTCCAAGTCTCTAGATTTCTGGTCTATGGTACGGTCCCTAACAGCTTCATGTAAATGTCTCTCTGCTGGGTCTATTTCTCATTAACAGTTGATTTTCATGGTCTCATGATGCCCAAATGCCCTGACCTCTCCTTTATAGGGTGAAGGGTATCTCTTACCAAAGTTCTGCTGTCTCCCCTCTTTTCAAAAGGATTAACTACTTTGGTACTTTAGCTAGTTTGTCAGCTTCCAGGTTGTATTGTTTGCTGTGAGCTGAGGTATGGTGTACAAAGATGCACAGAGTGGAGGCCAATGTGCTGATATTTTCCCCCACATCTCCTTACCCCAAATGTGTCAGCCTTGTATGTTCCAGCCCTGATTTTGTCCAAGTCCCAACCCAATAGCCTATTAGCCACTGACCAGGAGTTGCCAAAAATGTGAAACTTAGTAAAATGTTTGTCGAAGGCCTTCTCTATTTCTAGGGGTGTTGCACACAGCCTGGCCCATTGGGCACTTTGGCCCATCCCCATATGGAAGTTGGAGTATTTGAATAAGGGTAGTAGGCTGTTGCTGTCCTTTATCTGACTCCCTTATACCCTGTGCTCACTCCATTGGTAAAGAAAAACATTAATTTTCTTGTTATGAAAGTGCTGGCCATACTCCCTCCATTCCCCAATGAGCAAGAGCCAGGGGCATTTCCAGGGGTTTTGGCAAGTTAACCTCACTGACAGAGTATGTGGCCATTTCCTCACACAGTAGTGACACTCCAGGAGGGCCAGGTGTAGTTCAATCCTGTAGATACCATTTTCATTTTAATAAAGAAGCTTCTGTTGCTGATCCAATTTTATGGGCAGCTCTGTCCATTACCCAGGGCATAACAGGAATCTCGGTCCATAGGGTAATTTTCTCTGCCCCACCAGGGCTTCAGTTTTGATAAGTGCCCCATATGCTGCCAGTGGGTGTCTGTCTAGTGAATACTTTAGGCTGAGGCTGAGAGCTACTTACACCAAAAGCCCATGGGTAGGCATTTACCTGTCCATTTGGTCCAGAGGCTCCAGGAAGCAAATTTGGGAGCAGTGGAAACTTATAATTGCAAGTCTTGTCCTTGGGAGCACTAGAGGGAGAGCCAAAGTATTAGCCTCCTTTAGCTCAACCAGTGACTGTAGATGTTCAGGTCCCTACTGAAAAAAGGAAGCTTTACAGGTGTCTCGATAGACAATTCAGCAAGGGTCAGCAAATATTGGAGGTGAGGAAGGCATTGTGCTATAATTCCTAATGAATGTTGGGGGTTCTTTACTGATGTGAGCGGTT